>NC_000002.12:44432776-44735806 GCF_000001405.40 Homo sapiens
CTTCTGGTTGCTAATAGAGACTGTGTTTGAGCTAACTTTTCATGTAAATTAAAAAAAAAAAAAACATATGCTTTCCAAGTAGTGTTTCATTCTTTTACTAAGATGTTACTGTTAATTTTCCGTGGC
Organism: Homo sapiens; assembly: GCF_000001405.40. NCBI lineage: Eukaryota > Metazoa > Chordata > Mammalia > Primates > Hominidae > Homo > Homo sapiens. The sequence continues at coordinate 44,432,903 of NC_000002.12, forward strand.
TATTGTGAGAATTAAATGAGTTAAATAATGAAAAGAGCTTAATAGTTGGCACATGGTAAATGCTCAGTAAATATCAGCTATAATAAAACATGACATAGTAATCATTAAACTCAGAAACGTATTTCCTTATATTCTCTCTCAAATGTTGTCCTTTTGGCAGAGAGGAATTTGAACACCCAGCTCATTTTCTTGTGTAGTTATGTTACATTAGAGCTGGTCTATCTATTGGTTTATATCTTTTTACAAATTTTAGTTCAAGTTAAAATAGTTGGGAGTATTTAAATACAGTGGACTTGAAATACATATATATATCCTTTTCCAGGGTGTATTTTATATATGAATGTCTAATATTATTTGATTCCAAGCAAGTAATTGATTCAGGTAAGCCAAGATCTGGACATTCATGACTGATGCAATAGAAGTGAAGAAAGATGAATTAACATAGTAAGTAATACATATCGTGGAACTTTTACTGAGTTTGTAAGCTTTAAGTGTATTTTTTTTTCAAATCCAAGTTGTCAATGATATAAGCATTTTGTGATCTTAGGGTTTTCATAAGTTTGTATACGAAAAGATGTTTTGTAGCCAGAATGTTTCTTATAAGAAAAATGGAAGTGTCTGACATTATGAGAATTTGTAACACTTTTTGCTTAGTCTAAATTAAAAAAAGTCTTAAGTTTTATTTTTGCCTTTGTTTCATGCAAAATAAGTTCTATATGCTGACCCTAAACTGTTGATTAAAAAATAATTATACTGAGCATGATAATGTCATATGAATGACTTGGTATAGCATGAACCACTAATATTTGATTAACTTTTGAAAACATGCTTACATATGGCTTATGCAAGTAAGTGCTTTTGAGTAGAATTTTTTAAAAATTCAGTTATCAATGTTTATTCAAAGTATTATTTTTCCTCAATTTAAGAGAAATCTTTTAGAATCAAAGATCTTGCTATAGTGGGATCTCACCATGCCCTTTTACATACCAAATACATTCATCTGTCTGGTGGTGTGTCTGTGTGCCGTGGTTTGTAAATAAATGTGTGTTTTGTAAACAAATGGAGTAGGTGAGTTGTTTGTAAGCTGTGCTGCTTCTGCCTGCCAACTAGATGTATCATCAACATTCCAGGTACAAAAGATGTTTAACCAGTTCAACTGAATAGTCCTCCTTTGTGTCCACACGTATTTCACAAAGAAAAGATGCTGCTTTCATGGTAACAGAAGGATGGTAGTCTAGGGTTTGCAGTGCCGTCTTCATTATGTGTATGCTGAATGAAAAGAAACCAAGTATTCAACTGTGGGCTGCTGTACGTTTGTGAGGGATTTTTTTTTTTTTGGTGTTGGTTGAGGTTTCCATTGATAGAATATTTTAGACTTTTAAAAAACCATCTGTTTATCTGAAGCACAGGAAGTGCATCCGTCTGTTGACTTTATTAAGTGTATTGCAAATAACAGATGGCTTAGTATTAGGTTTGCTCTTCTGTAGGAATTTGTTGCTTCTAAAAGTAACAAATTTTTGTCTTTCAATATTAACTCATTTAGGATATTTGGACTGATGTTTGATTTCATTCTAAAATAAAGCTTTCATTGACAATCTGACCTAAGCTCTCCATTTATGCCCTAATTGTAATATTGTCCTACTGTATGGTAATTATCTGCTTACTTGGCAATGTCCTTAGCAAAGAAGGTAGTGACTTTGTCTTATTCAATATTGTCTCCCCAAGATCAATTAACACAAGTATGTTGAATGAATGAAGCAGCTTTGTGTGTGTGTGTATGTGTCTGTGACAATCCAGAAGAAACATCCAGAGATGCTGTAAATTCCTCTGATTTAGGGATTGGTGAAATTCAGCTATTTTGTGAAAGCTCTCCTCCCATTTTTAGATAAAGGTTGCTAATAGGTTTCCAACAAAAAATGGCAGAAACCTAGACTGCTAATTTACTGTTTATGTTTGCATATATTAAACTAGGACCCTAAATGAAAATATCAGAGTAGCATGTTAATCACAATTTGAGGTCAAGTCAATTAGAAAACATTATAAGTAAGTTTGCTGTTATTTCCAACTTCATATAATGGCATCATTGTCTCTGGGGCACGTATGTTTTCAAATATGAGCATCGTTAGGTTCTTTTGAACAACAGTACACCATCTAATGAATTTACATACGTAAATACTACTAATTAACATTGGTTTATTATTTTGCATTTCACTGCTATTTACTAACAGATTTCAAGACAATGGACAATTTTGTAACCTCGATTTTATAAAAACCACTAGTATTTTTGGTCCCTAGCAACCATTTAGTATGTAAATTAGGTATTCTCAGGCTTAATGTACTTCATTTTTATAAAACAAATACATCATTAATCTGATTAAGTTCTTGGGTGGAAGTGCTGTCCTCAGATCATTGTGGATTATTTATTGTTGGGCACGCATCCAAAAAAAAATTCAAGCATGGCACTTACAGTCTAGATTTAGGAGAATTGTTGAAACCCCCTAAATGACATTTTCCAGAAGAATAGAAAGGCACTGCTTACTTACAATTGCAAGCATTACCTAAAACTTAATGATGTTCTTATCCTTAATTACAACTCAGTTGGATGATGATTCAGTGCCTGAAATTATGCCATGTTTTGCTTTGATGTTATAAAATGTATAATGAAATAAAGGTGATCCGAGTGAATCAAAAATAGATTCTGGCTTTCCAGTAGTGACTTAATCACTATGTTTCTGACTTCACAACTTGCTTGACTGTCATGGCTATTATTTGGTATGTCTTTAGCTTTTAGTCAAATTTACTACTTAAGAAGTGAGAATGTTTAATTTTAAGGTTAAGGAAAGTTCATGATGTTCTCATTCACATAGCAGAAGGACCTTTTAAAGAAAGCTTAAAATTATTTGAATTCTGCCTTTTTAGTTCATAGTTTACCAAGTTGTATATCTTCCTTTTGGAGGTAGTCTTTGTCTAATGGAGCACGACATAATAATGGTTTTCATTTACTGAATGTCTCCCATAGTACGTCATTCATTTTGCCTAGAAATCCTGTGAAGTTCGTTATGTTTATACCCATTTTACAAATGATTAAACAAAGGCTCTGTGAGGTTAAGGAGATACCCAAGGTCATTATAGATAGCATGTGCTTAATCTAGGAATCAAACCAATTCTTTTTTTCTTTTTTCTTGTTTTTTGAGACAGAGTCTCCCTCTGTCACCCAGGCTGGAGTGCAGTGGCGCAATCTCAGCTCACTGCAACCTCCACCTCCCAGGTTCAAGCGATTCTCGTGCCTCAGCCACCTGAGTAACTGGGACTACGGATGTGCGCCACCATGCCCAGCAAATTTTTTTGTATTTTTAGTAGAGACAGGGTTTCACCATGTTGGCCAGGCTGGTCTCGAACTCCTGACCTCAAATGATCTGCCCACCTCAGCCTCCCAAAGTGCTGGGATTATAGGTATGAGCCCCTGGTCCGGCCAAACTCAATTCTCACTTCAGAGCCTCTGCCTCCTCAGATAGGGCAGATAAAGAAAGGGGACACCAATTTCCAAGGCATGCTAGGCTGGGATCATTTCAGACAAGGATTGGGAAACTTTTTCTGTAAAAGGTCAGATAGTAAATATTTTAGGTTTTGAGGACCACACAGGGTTTTTGTCAAATATTCTTATTTTTAATTTTTTTTTTTTTACAAACTTTAAAAAATATAAAACCACTCTTAACTCCAGGGCCATACAAAAACATTCTGAGGGCCAGATTTGACCAAAAGTACTTAGTTTGCCAACCTCAGATTTAGGACTGTGTCAGTAAGCCCTATAGGTATCTATTCTCTCAGGACTATGTGATTACAGTCAACAATAAAATAACTTATATCCATAATAGTGACTTTTAAACACTAAGAAAATGGATAAATTATGGTTCTCTATGCCCTATTTAAGAAGGCTTGCAAGTATTACATCTTAGATTTTCATCAAAAAAATAAAAATAAGGTTTTGGTGTTTATAATGATATTTTAGGTACCTGAAAGATTCAACTTTTTGAAACACTTCATTTCATAACAGATAAAATGAAAGGTATTATTACAAGTGGATTTTGACAGTTACAGAATTTATAACATACCATTTTAGTTTCATACCTGAGCGTTTAATTTTATTTTTAAAAATCTTACCTCCTTGATATTTGAGTGCTTACTATTCTGTCCAGATTTTTCATATTGCAGACTGTTACTTCCTTACCCACCCCCCAACAGTATACATTTTATTGAAGAATACAAAGGAGTAGCTGAGAAAATGGTTCTTTATCCTTCTTAAGAAAAAAGCATTTTATAACAATAGGTATCAGTTATCTGAGATTTTTGCTGATAGATTAATGTTTATATACATATGAATGTTTCTTTCTCCAACTCCTTAATTCATTAACCATCTATTTTTGACAGGCTAAAGTGAATCAGACTTCTGCTTCAATCCCTTTGCTTAAAGAGGCCCCAAGCAGGGTTACTGGGGGGATAGTTGTTCTGTTGGGGAATAGGGGATGGCAAGGGACCTGGGGCCGTCAAACCAGTAGTTGAAAACGTTTTTTATTTAATTCCTTTATGTCCATGTTTTTCTGATTTCTTTGTTTTTCTTCAAGCCATAAGCCGTTAGTAGTGTTCTTTTGAAAAAGTCAGTATTGGCTGATCACAGTGGCTCACGCCTGTAATCCCAGCACTTTGGGAGGCTGAGGTGGTTGGATCATTTGCACTCAGGAGTTCAAGTCCAGTCTGGGCAACATGGTGAAACCCCCGTCTCTACAATAATTATAAAAATCATTTGGGCGTGGTGCATACTTGTAGACCCAGCTACTCGGGAGGTTGAGGTAGGAGGATTGCTTGAGCCCAGGAGTTTGAAGCTGCAGTGATTCAGCCACTGTACTTTGGCTCAGGCAACAGAGCAAGACTCTGCTACAAAAAAAAAAAAAAAAAAATGATCAAACAGGATTCAGATTCAGAGAACTACTACCTTCTCTGAGTCTTCTTTTCTATGTTTGCTCCTCCAGAGATCCACCAAGTAATGTGTGTTTTTTTTTCCTGCCACCTCTACTGGTTTTTTAATAAAGTAAAAAATACAGACAGCTTCTTATTCCATGTTCTAAGCTCTTTATATGTATTAGTTTACATTATCTTGGCAGTAACTCTTTGAGAAAGGTACTTATAGCCGCATGAGAAAACTAAGGCACCAAGAGGTTAAGTAATTTCTTAACTAGATCAAGGTCACTCAGCTAGTAAAATGGGGAGCTGGGAGTTGAACTCAGGCAGGCTAGCTCCAGTGTTCATGCTCTTAACCATTCCTCTAAACTCTTTCTCAACTATAATACTAGACTTGCATCTTCCTACTATTAAATTCAATATGAGTGAATTTGTTTCAGTAAAACAACATTATTCATTACATTAAATTGATAAGTTAAGTTTGAATATAATTGGTTTTGAAATTTCATTTGTGTTTAGTTTATAAACTTGTTTTGGTTTCATGGTTATATAAAAGCTATAACTTTGAGGAAGTTTTACTTGTTTTTGTGCATAATAATTATAATTACAAAAATAATAAGAGTTAAAGAGTAGTCCTCAACAACTATAAATTTTTTCCTATTCATTTACATAACATTGCTTAAGTTTAGGAAACACTAGTCTGTGACGTAAAGTTAGGCTCTTAATGCAGTATAGAGTTCCTTAAAGATATGATCCCTACCTGTCTTCAGTTTGATTTCTCACCATTTCCACCTTTATACTTTTTGACACTGAACTACTCAGGTGTGTGTTTTTTGTTTGTTTGTTTTGTTTTTTTTGAGATGGAGTCTCACTCTGCAGTGCAGGTTGGAGTGCAGTGGCACAATCACGGCTCGCTGCAGCCTTTGCCTCCCAGGTTCAAGTGATTCTCCTGCCTCAGCCTCTTGAGTACCAGGTGTGCTTTTTGTTTGCTTCAACTCACCCTTGCATAGGACTGTCTCCTCTTATCTGCCCCTCCTACTGGGAAAATGGACACGGCATCCCCTTAACCCCTTGCCTGATCTTGGTTGGTGCCCTTTTTTGGTAACCGCATAGTGTCCTGTGCACCCTTCTCTCATTTTACTCACCACATTGTTTCATAATTTTTGTACCTGTTTTAATTAAACTGATGACCTGAGCAAAGGGACAGGTACAGAAGAAACAGCTATAGTGAAAAGTAACCATACTTTCCTGGCCAGTTAGTTTCATTTTCTTGAAGCCACCATCTTTTTTTTCTCACTGTCTTTTGGAACCCAAATTGAAACCACCATCACTTGTTATTAAAACATTAAGAACTCTCATTGGGACACAGTTTATTATACTACATTCTTTCTCGTATAATTAGATCCTTCTCTTACCACCCCAATGACTTTATCCTACAATTAATCCTCTCTCTCTCCTACATCCTTAATTCCTCCTTCTTTGTAGAGTCATTTCCATCAGCAAACAAACATGTAGTACTTCCCTTCTTAAAAATAATTCTCTCTTGACCCCATTTCCAATCTAGTTGTTGTTCCACTTCCCTGCCACCCACCTCCTCTTTTGATTCCTTTTTATAGAAAAACTTTTTGGTAGAGTTAGTTCTAGTTGCTTCCCCTCACATTCTTTCTGCTGATACTGGATTCAAGAAATGCCAATATGGGCCGGGCGCAGTGGCTCACACCTGTAATCCCAGCACTTTGGGAGGCTGAAGCAGGTGGATCACGAGGTCAGGAGATCGAGACCATCCTGGCTAACACGGTGAAACCCCGTCTCTACTAAAAATACAAAAAATCAGCCGGGCGTCGTGGCGGGCGCCTGTAGTCCCAGCTACTCGGGAGGCTGAGGTAGGAGAATGGCATGAACCCGGGAGAGCAAGACTCCATCTCATAAAATAAATAAATAAATAAATAAATAAATAAATAAATAAATAAGAAATGCCGATATGCTGGGAGGACTTACATCCATCTGAAAACGTTTCCAGGGCTTATGAATGCTATAAGTCAAGAAATGTCAGGAGCCAACAACAGAGTTACTGAATGAAACCCCTGAAGATAAATATTTTCTACTTGGAGACAAAGGTCTCATTGGCAGGCTCAAGCCTCTCATCTTTTCTGACAGTGCCTCCATCTCATGGGATATGGCTTCTTATGGCGCAGGTCAGAATGAGAAAGGAGAGTGCTTAGAGGTAAAGAGTGTTGAATTAGAAAGGGTTTTATTTGTTGTTGTTTGTGTTTACTTATACAGGTCTTATAAAAATGTACTCATTTGAGCTGGACTTGGGATGCTGCATCCTCTAGTCCCATGATTCTAGTGCAGCCCATGATTTCCTTGAGTTTCCTGAGGTTCTAAAAGCCAACTTGGGCTCTTGATGTAACCTCGGGACCTCAGGGAAATCACACAAAGAGTGGGTCTTGATAGCAGTAATAGAAAATACGGTATTATTTTATTTTTTGGATGAAGAACCCAACATTCAGATTGTCCCCAGGGCACCATGCTAGTAAATACTAGTAAATGTCAATGCTGGCATTTGAAAACCAGATCCTACCTCATAGCATGTGCTCTTCCCACTCTTTCACCTATAAAAGATACACAAACACTTTAAGTCTTAAGCTGCACTATCCAATATGGTAGCCACTAACTCTATGGCTTTTTAAATTCTAAATTTAATGAATTATGATAAAATTTAATTTAATAAATTAAATCAAAATTTCAGCTCCCCATTTCACATTTCAATGCACATTTCAAGGGCTCAGTAGCCACATGTGGCTACTATATTGGACAGGAATGATATAGAGTATTTCTATCAGAAAGATGTATTAAGACAGTGCTACTTCCTTTCCAAGACATTAATTTTCCACAGTAGTATCACATACTCTTAGAATTCTGTGCTATTGGTATTGATCGTAATTGTAGAACCTTTTATCCCTTATTTTTTTTATTATCCATTTTTAATATCATGGTATTATTTTTCACAGAATCCCTCTTTTACTTGGTGTAGTCAGAATTCTCCATTCCTCCTCTTAACTTACATTTTCTCTTTTCTTAAAATGGCCTGTTTGGAATTAGCCTTGCCACCCCTACTAATTTGAATTCCACATCATGAAATGAAAGTTCCTACTTTGTGCTTACCTGGCCAGTACCTGGGGGAATTCACCTATTAAATCATATTCTTCCCCTTAATATATTCCTTTGGTTCCTCTTCCTTAACAATTTTTTTCTCACTTATTTGGTGTCTGTTAAATATCAAAACACTTTTCCTGTGACTCAATATATGTTTATATGCCAAGTCTTTTTTTCAGTTTGAGGTACTTGAAGTTCGTGCCTTTTCATTTGACTTGCTGGAAAATAGTTATTCCTTCCCTACATCATGAGTTTTCAGGATTAAAAGGTTTTTTGACCTTTAAATTGTAACTAATAATTTGCCTAAATCAGTGTTGCTGGGTGATAACATCTAGGATAACAAGTGAGTTACAGGTTCACAGTGATGACTCGGAATTAATCCTTAGCCTGTGTCATCAAGCTTGCAAATAGAGGAGTCTTTAGAACTAAGACTCTATCTGCTTTCTCTCATGGCACACGGCATAGTACCAAGCATTTCATCTTGTGCACTCAATAGATGTAGATGATTAACTGTATAAAAAGACTGCGCTATCTTAGGGTAGGGTTAACTATCTCTTGATACTTCTTTTTTTTTTTAAACCCAACACAGACTGAATAATATAGTGCCTTCGAATATCTTTCAGATTGGTGCATTGATATTTGTAGATATAATTTCAAATTTAGAAAGTGCTTGGTCTTCTGCCATATCACTCTGTAGGTATGTATTCTCCTTATATAACTAGTTGTACTGTAGAAGGTGATTTGGAGCCTTACAGCTTTAAATCATTCTTGCCTTTTTAATATTTATAAGGAACCACAGTTTTCTGTGCATTTTGACATGGTAGCTTTTATACTTGAAATAATATAATGGCAAGGAAAATATCCTCTTTTATCTAGACTTCTAAGGCTTAAGCTTTGTTTTTTGTTTTTTCATTTTCTTTCAGCACCTGCGGTATGCAGCTATATACAAGGCTGATGGAGAGCAAAAGAGGCTGCCCGATAGCACTTTAAAGAAAAGTTATTAGGCTGGTCTTCAAATTGGCCCTTGAGAAGCAGGTAGCTCCCTTGCTACTAAACAGATGTGCTGGTAGCAGCTTGGGAATAAAGAGCAGCAGCAGAGTCTGGCCCAAATACTCATTTTTACCCAAGCAAGACTCCAGTCTGAGAGAAAAAGAACTGCTTAGATAAGGTGAATGAAAGAGAAGTATGTATGACTCAGTTCTTTCATTTGCCTTGCAAACCCATCTGTGGCTCTAGTGGAGAGCAGGTCAGAAGCCCAAGAGCAATGGTTATCATTTCCCATAGAGTTGTGTGTATATATATACACACATATATAAAGCAAAATTATATACATAAAAATGATATATATCTCTCTATACATACATGTTCGTATACATATTTTACATCTGCTCATTTTGCTTTGTTAGTCTAATGCCAAGGTTTCTATGAGTATGGCACCCTTGTAGTCCTTCACAGAACAGACTTGAAACCTATGGTTTCTAGGCACTAAACGTTATCTCTTGCTACTAAGCCATATTGTATTCCTCACATTCTCAGGTCAAACCTTTTGATGACTCCTTGCATTTCAATATAATGTTAGCTCTGTCTTCAAGGGCTCCTCTTAATTCTCTGACCGACTTCTACTGATGTTTCTAAATACAATTGAAATGCTACCTTCTTGTTAAAGCCTTTCCAAATTCCTTCAGGCCAGTGGTTCTATCCCTTGTGCTCCCAAAGTACTTAGTTCATCCTGCTGTTGCAGCACTAGGCATCTACTGTAATTATCACTTTATTTGTCTGTCATCCCTCTTTCTGATGAGCTGCTGGAGCAGGGATTGTTTTCATATCCTTAACATCTAGCACAGACCTAGACTTCTTAATAGGTGCTCAATAAATGAGTGACTGCAAGAATAAATGAATGAATAAAATATACCACCTCATGTTTGAAATGTACTTGAATTCTTCCAACCAGCCTTTTCTTTTGTGCTGCTTTTCTTTATCTTCTTCCCGGCAGCACGTTCTTCTGTCCTACCTGGTAGATTTTAGAGCTTAGGAAATACGTGTTTGAAGATTTAAAATATAGTTCTTTGAACTCCTTAGAGGAAAAGTCTATGAATAAATAATTAGACTCATTTCACATCAAAATCTAAAGTGTGAAAAAATGTTCGTATCATTTGGTGCTTTATTCACTTGTATGGTAATCTAATGGCATACCCATTGTTAACACTGAACTGTACTGAAATATTTTACTCTCAGGGCTTTTCATCTGACAAAGGAGGCTTTTTGAAAATGAAAAATCACAGCTCCTGTCCCTGGTATGCTATGGGGAAATTTATTAGTTTTGTAATGCATGGGTTAATATTACCATTTTTTTATATTGAATATTACTTGAAAAAATTACTATTAATATCACTGCAGCATGTATGTATATAAGTCCTGTCATCTTTGGGGTATGTAAATCAGGAATGTTGCTGAAGAACTACTTAGCATTTTCTTGGGGGTGAAGTGCTTAGTTTTGGAATTTAATTGTAGGTTTTACATTTAAGCTGCTCAGTATTACTCTTCTAAAGGTTCTATAAATTTCTTGCTTTGTAGTTTAACAGGTTTAGTCACCACAGTTGAAAGGCATCATCCTCATAATGAAGCCAGAGAAGAATAAAGGTTGATCATGCAGGGCTGGCTGGCTGTGACATTGAACAATAGAGCTTGACTTCTTCATGTCTGTTAAATTAGACTATGGGGTGTGCTTATCTTGCTGCAATGATACTGAATTGTAACATGAAAATGTTATGTTGTGCAGCTCTGCGAAGGGAGTTCATCCGTTCTCACCTCATATGTATGGCAAAAGCTTTAAAATACTACTGAAGCTGCCTAGTGGGCTTAAAGTCTAATGGCACAGAATTGGGCATAATAATGAAACAAATAAAGAAAAAGTGCAAAGGCTTTTAAATGTCTTGTACAATTTTATTTATAGTAGTCTTTTAAGGGTCTAAGGCAGAACACAAGAAGGGTATGCTGGAAAAATTCCATTTGGAAGAGGTCTTTGAAGGAGATAAGTGTTACGGCCTGAAGGAAAAGTAAGAAGATATGTTGCGTAGGTGAGTGATTTATTCTAAACTTTTCTACACGTGTACTTGATACATACAACTCAATTCTTTAAATATTGATAAAATACCTACTATGTTCCCAGCACCGTGTTGGATACCATAGGAGATTTTGAAAGAGCATTAAATTCAGTCCTGCCTTGAGCAATTTAGTATTTTTTGAGGCGACAGAAATGAAATCCATGAAATAATTTCTTAGAATTGTCGGATATGTGAATGACAGTATTATAAGCTGTCAAGATCATGTAAAATTTTGATTCTGTTATTATATGTATCATTCCCAGATGTGTCACATGAGCTTTTGATAGGCATACCTTTTATGTTTTCAAGTCTCTGATAAAAATGTTAAAAAGTCAAGGCCATGGTTAGGTTAGGGGCAAGAAAGAGCCTTCTGACACTTCCCATACTTGTTCTTCACACATGCTTTTTGTCTACTTTTGAACCTGTGTTATTTTCTAAATGTGTATAAGCCACAAATTAGTAATCTGTTACAAAATTTTATCGTGGATGTTAAGCTACTGTTCAAGTTATACACACATACATGTGTGTGTAAAAATCTGGATTAATATTCTAGTTCTTTCAGAGCAATTATCCTGCAAATCCTGCCAGGTGATGGGAATAAATAGGGTGCCCATCACCCAGAGGTTTCCTTTTAGGGGAAGTAAGAGCATGGGAGCTAACCAACACCAAGCACCATGTACCCAAATCTTAGCAAGCATAACTATAGCTACCAGTTATCTGGGCATGTCACAGGACATCCAAGGAGGACTCAATTCCACAGTTTCACCTGGGCATTCGGCTTATGAAAAGGAGTCCATGCAACCCCCCAAGACACATTTTTGTCCCAAATTCAATTCCAAGCTTTGGGTCAAAGCCCTGGGAAAGAAAACTGGATCTAAGGGATCTAGAGGCAGATGATAATAGAGGTTAAAAGGCACAGTGCAGGTGAGCATGGCTAGTTTCTGCCAATTAAGCCAAGCCTCCCATTTCATGGATAAAGGTCAAGCTAATATTCATGGCATAAATGAGGTCCCGGGAACTCCAAGGCTACTGACAGTAGCAGGGATAGAGACATAGGTGAGAGCAGATAATTCCTATTCTCTAGGCCCTCCCTGCTTCATGGCTACAAACTGCTTTGGCACCCATGAGTGGCACCTGTTATGGTTTCTAGGACTCAGGGATGCAAGGATGGAAGAGGGAAAGAGGACTCACTTCCTTCTTTCCCTCACATACCCCAGGTATTTGCTAGGAAGAGAAGGGAACCAGGGATGCCTGCTCCCCTCTTTCTAGATGAGTAGCCATTCATCTTCAGTTTGTATCCCTTTCAAATGCATCCCGAACCCCTGGGATTCCCTTGAAAAATGCCCTCTTTTTTCTTTTCTCCTCCTTGGTTCTCTCTTCACAGATAGGTAATTGTGTCTCCATACTACGGGACATTCCCCTAAGATGCACCCTCCAAACTGGGAAAAGTTAATTTCCCAAACCTTAAACTGGTTGGCTTAGGACTGGGCTCAGGGGAAGTCCAACATGTCGGCAAAAGGGTAGTTTTTTTTTTTTTTTTTTTTTTTTTTTTTTTTTTTTTTTTTTTTTTTTACCAGTTGGGCTTTTGGTCTTCCTCTCCCCATGCAAACTGGTAAAAGGCCTCAGGATTTTTGAGTTGTCCTCAGCCCCCTCCTCTTGTTTCATTTTAATACATGTTTTCTAATAACCCAGTTTGTCTCTTCTTACTTTCAGACCATCAAACTCCAAATGGTCATGCAACCAAAGTCTTGAAGTCTCGGACAATGACCCCTTCTGCCAGGAACTCTTAGATAGGCTTCTGACTGCCATTTTCCCCAAAACAAGACCCTCTGTCAGCAGGAAGCAGTTAAGATCTGTCTTCATCCTTATCTTTATCCTTATTCTAATGTCAGTTAGACATACTTCTTTAGAGGGGGGAATGTGACAGCCAAGTATAAAGGGGTCGCTAGAGAACCTCTGGGACTACAGGTGTGTGCTACCACACCCGGCTAATTTTTTGTATTTTTAGTAGAGATGGAGTTTCAGCATGTTCGCCAGGCTGGTCTCGAATTCTTGACCTCAGGTGATCGGCTCACCTTGGCCTCCCAAAATGCTGGGATTACAGGTGTGAGCCACTGCGCCTGGCAACAGATATTTACTGAATGCCAGTTATGTGTCAGGTTCAGTTGCGTTGATTATTCACTCTCAGAGCCTCCCAGATTTGGTCTTTCCCTTATATTATTTATTTATTTATTTATTTATTTGAAACACAGTCTCGCTGTGTCACCCAGGCTGGAGTGTAGTGTTGTGATCTCAGTTCACTGCAACCTCTGCCTCCTGGGTTCAAGCAATTCTCATGCCTCAGTCACCGAGTAGCTTGGATTACAGGTGTGTGCCACCATGTCCAGCTAATTTTTGTATTTTTAGTAGAGACGGGGTTTTGCCATGTTGGCCAGGCTGGTCTTGAACTCCTGGCCTCAAGTGATCCACCCACCTCTGCCTCCCAAAGTGCTGGGATTACAGGCCGCGCCACTATGCCCAGCCTTTTCCCTTATATTCTCATTCACTTCAACAACTTAAGTTCCGACCTAGAGGCCTCCATCTCAGTCTTCCACCACACTGTATACCTTGTTGTGCTGCCACAGGGTTTGTGGTGTCAAAGCAGGCATCTCAGTCCAGCATTGAGGCCTTTCATCATCACAGTCTTTCTATCTGAAGTTTATCTTCTGTCATTCCTCATCATACCCACAAGATTTGGCCATACCTGTGTCATTACCTTTGTTGTTGTTGTACATACACATGTTATGATTTACATTTGGGCTTTTCCTTATTCCTTTTCCACGTTAGCATTTATGAAGGTAGTCTATACTTGATTACCCAGGTGTTCTTTATTTAATGTAACTCGTATTCCTGACAAGCTTATCTGCACAAAATTTTGGTACATTGGACCATTTAAGACAAGAGTAAATAATCAATTTTAATTTATCTTTGTTTAAAGTTGGAGTTTTATTTAGTGGAGATATGATGCATCTGTATATTGCTTTGTGCTTTGTTAATGTTCAGATAAGGAAACTGAGGTTCCTAGTGGTTAAGAGATTGGCATAGGACATTTGGCTAGTAAATAGAGAGAGTAGGATTAAAACTCACATTTTATAACTCATTGTCGAGTATGCTTTTCACTAGAATAGTTGATTTCCTTTTATTCTCCTCGTTTTATGTAATTCTGTTATAATATCCCTAAAGGTAAGAGCTGTATTTTGTATCATACCCCTCCTCCAAATATTCATAACATTAGTGCCTACCGTAGTTTTGGATAAAGAGATTTAATTGCCATGTTGATATATGTGAATGTATCAGTCATAGTGGGATAGGTTATGTTGCAATAATAAACAGCCCATCCCCCCCAACCTCAGTGGCTTACAACACTAACATTTCTTTCATGTTGCATGTTTATCTTGGGTTTATTGTGGCTATGTTTCATGTTGTCTGCAATGTGCAACCTGGGATCAGTAAGCAACTTCTTGAACACTTGTAGTGGATAGAAAAAGGGCACAGTAACCCATGTACTACTTCTCAAACAGTAATGTTTTCACATCTTATTGGCCAGAGCAATTTACATGGTGAAGCCTGTTGTCAGTAGGGCATAAAAGTATAATCCTTCTGTAGGTAGGGGCAGCAAATATTTTTGAAAAATAATACTCCGCCCAAAAAATCTGTGACCTTACATACAGAGCATTGAGCAACTTGTATTTTTCAGTTTATGGCATACTATCATCATTGGTCCCTGTCTGGCCACTTTGTTTTTTAATTCATTTGTCTGTCTGTTTTAATGTATTCTTATAAAATGCATTCTATTGTTTGGGATATGTATTTTAAATTTATAAGTGGTATAATGCTAGAGATTGTATTCTGTTTCTTAATTTTTTTTCACTTAACATTTATTACAAGATTTATTCACGTTGCTGCACATTCATCCAGTTTGTTGCATCTGGTGAATATAGTTGTCCCTTGGTACATGTGGGGAACTAACCAGTTCTATACCAAAATCCACACACAGTCACATCTGAAAGTTGACCCTGCAGAAACTGCATATATGAAAAGCACCCCACCACCCACTGCTCCTTACGCACGGGTTTGCATCTGGGGAATGTTGTATTTTCCATCTGCCTTTAGTTGAAAAAAAATCCACATATAAGTGTATCTGCACATTTCAAACCTGTGTTGTTCAAGGGTCAGCTATCTATAGTATTGCATGATAAATATCCACTACACTTTACCTGTCCACTTCCCTAGAGGGTCTTCAATTCTGTACTACAATAAATGGTGCTGCGTGAGAATTTCTTTGGGCTGTACACCCAGGTATAAGATTGCTGGGTCTTTGGACATACATATATTTAACTATTTAAGTATTGCTTTCTTATTGTTTTTGCTAAGTCTTCACAGCTATTAAGCCTTGGTATTATGAGAGTTTAGTAATTGTGTATTCTATCTTGTAAGTTAACCTTACTAATTCTGTAAAAAAAGTCCACCCAACTAAGAACACACGTGTAAGTAATGTGACATGTAATTCACCTCTGTAAACATATTTTTCACTAATGATTATGTATATGCGTATGTTATAAACTGTTATTCTGAGGCATTATTTTGTATCTCTGTAAATCAGTGAGTGGATAAACAAAATGTAGTATATTTATTCAATGGAATATTTTTCAGCAATAAAAATGAATGAATTAATGATACAACCTGGATGAACCTCAGAAACATTGTGCTAAGTATAAGAATCCAGTCACAAAAGACTATTTTAAGATAGCATTTATATGAACGGTCTAGGACAGGCAAATCTGTAGAGACAGTAGATTAGTAGTTGCCTCGTGCAGGAAACTAGGGAGTATGGACGGAATGGGGTTTCTTTTGGGGGTGATGAAAATGTTGAAAAATTGATTGCGACAATGTTTGCACACCTGTGTAAATACACAAAAAACTATTAAGTTGTACCATTTAACTGGGTGAACTTTGTGGCATGTAAATTATGTCTTAATAAACCTGTTAAAGACAAAACAAAACTTCAATCAGATCGTTTTCCAAGAAGCAGGCTAGAAATGAGTTAAATGTTGACCCCTTCATGTAGGGGGAAGATTTTCTCCCCTTGTGAGAACCTGAAGGGAAAAAATTGGGACAGTTTTATTCCCAAACTCTATCCTCAAGTTGTTTGAAAATAAACCCATGCATGTTATTTCAACTGACTATCTCTGTGCTGATATACCCTCAGCCCTGATAATTTGTTTAACTGTTTAGTTATCTTCAGGATATTTTTACTTGTATAACCCACCACTAATTTTCTTCCCAATTATCCAATTTCTGCTGTCCTTTCGGTTTTTTATATCTCAGTAGTTTATATCTCCATAAATCTTGGTGATCTCTTTCTTTTTTCTCATTTCTAGATTAACCTTTTATCATGTCATATCATATTATCTTGAAATTATTTTTCACATATGCTTCTTTTTATTCTTTAGACTTTACTCTGCCCAAAAGGAGAAAATAATTTCTTTCTTCAATGTTTTAGAAACAATAGCATTGGCAGATGTATGCTAATTAATACTTGCTTAAAAACAGCAAGGAAATTTCTTCTTTCAACACTATTAACAAGTATCTGACATGAAATAACACTTTCACAAGTAAAAGGGATTCTGATATTTTACGTTCCTTAGTAAATCTTTGGGGAGGGGGTTAGTACTAGAAATTTTTTTCCTTTGGAGGACTGGTAAATTCAGTTCTAATTTTTACATTGTTTTACATATGTCCTTTTATGATCACTATAACATTTGTGTTTATCAAATAAGTTAAAGTATAGTAATTTTTAAGTTAAGTAGCGAAATCCATGATAATCCAGAGATGCTCAAGTGACTTGAATGCTTCAACTTGAGATGGGTCAGCTTTAGGGGTGAAGTTGTGAAGAGAAAGCCATCACACACACTTCATCAACACTGTGGAATGAGGGACCGATGCTTTTACTGAGCAGTGGATTTCCAGTGAGCATATAAACTAATTGGTGGGTGAACATACCCCAGGAGCAATGATTTTAAGGTCATAGCAGGCTCAGTGAATAATGCTGACTTACACTGCGTCTCACTGATAGCTGATCTTACCAATGAGCAGTTTAGAGGCATTCAAGCCTGAGCTGTCTTCCATGTGCCTTGAATGGCATGTCAGTGGTCACTGTTTTTGACATCCTTTATATTTGTCCAGTCAGCTCTAAATCTTTAGGTTCAGCTTCAGAGTACTCAGGAAAGAAAAGAGAGAAGCAATTATTTTCAGTCATTGAGTTTTGAAGATCTTAGCGTTAATTATGCCAAACATTGTTGGTTCATCAACAAATACAAACCTTAAAAGGGGTTATGAAGCATTCTGAACTTGCTTAAACATAGTTTATGGTGATTAAGAGAATCTTGTATACACTAATATATTTTTAGTTACACTTTCACCCATATATTTTCATATACAGTTTCAAAACCAAATATTCAAATTAAAGCTAATTTCAGTTTTGGTTAATAAATTTTGAAATGCTTATTCACTTTAATTAGCATTTCTTTCGTATTTGAAAAAAGAGGAATAAAAAAGTACAATTCACTATTTCTCTGTGGAGTCCAGAGTAATTTTGGGTGTGAAAAATATTTCAATAAAACAAAAATCACAATGTCATAGCTCTAGTAATGCTATTTAAAAATTGATTTAATAGTGGGCTTTGAGATTTAGAAATTTTCTCCCACTTAAATCTTTAATTTATCAAAGATTATTTGAGCATTAAAAATGTGCTTTGCCTATTGTTTTCCAACTCTCTGTGCTCTCTGACTTGTTGAAGTTTTGCAGGAAGTGCCCAATCAAAGGATTTGAGGAAGCAGTACTGGACATTCTTTGGAAGTGTTCATCTGAGAAAATGAAAGTTAGAGGCTAAACTAGTTTTCTTGTTTGCAACTCAAATTTTAAATCTAATTTCCCATGTAAATAAAATAAGTGAAAAGCACAAAGGATGTAAACTTCCTAAATCTGCCAGAATCTTGTGTCTTAATTAAAAAATAATTTTATCATAGCAAAAGAAACACATTTAGTTCCTAAAGAAAATACCATGGGTGGTATTCTTTTGTTGTATTAGAGGTTTGAAGTAGAATAGTTGTTTCTCATGTACATGTATTACAGTAGACAAAGTGTTGAATAGTTTTCATTTCTGATACATTAATGATTAGAAAAATCGTTACCCTAATCCTTTTTTTATAACTCAAAAACAAACTAAAAAGGTTTTTGTTTTTTTGGAGGATCTGTTCTTTCCAAGAGGCTGGTGTTCTTCTACCTTTACTGTCCTAACCTTGCCTTTCAAATTAAGATATAATAGTTAGAATCTACTATAGAATTAATTTAGATTCAGTTGTCTCTATTAACAGAAAGTGATATGGTTTTAAAAAATGCAGATGATCATTTATGAGAATCTGGCTGTAATCAAAAGCAGTAACTACTATCCTTAGCAGTTCTTTATTCAGTAAAGAGTTATCCTCTTTTTGCTATTCTTTATTTCATTTATTCTTGTGAAATATGTTTACCTTTTTAACAAAACTTTCTATTTTACGTGGCTAGATATGTGATAAAACAAACACGGTAAAATGTTAAGGATAGAATCTAGGTGGTAGGTATATGGTCTTCTCTGTAAAATTTGCTTCTCTTTCACATTTGCTGTATGTTTGAAATTTTCATGAGACAATTTTAGAGAAAAAAAGCTTTCTATTTTGATTGTAATAGCCAATAGCCAAAAACCTTATTCCATTTTTGAAAAAAAACCTAGATATTTTAAGTTTCTTTTACTTATCTAAGCATAACAATGCAAATACCATATAATATATATTGATAATATCACACATTTAGTGAGTTAGAAAATATAAAACTGGCTTTTAATTGTTAAATATGTATACTATATACCATTCATATTTTAGCTGGTGGTTTAAAAAGCTAACTTAGGCATTATTTAAACTGAATTAGGGTAATTACATCAAAAGTAGTTTCTTAGCCAGAATAATTTTCCATTTTGTTAAAGGAGCCATGATGAAATGAAGTGTTTAGAGAGTTTTAGGAATAAAATGTGGGTGTGTATTCTTTAACATAGAATGAATATGCTTTCCAGTGGACTTTGGAATGGGAAAAGTATCAATAAATAATGCTTATTAAGCTTCTAACTAGGCATAGCGCCAGTTATCTCATACTTGAGAGAGAATTTTTTCCTTAAATAAATGCAACCATTGCATTTTGGGGGTGCTTTTCTTACTGTCTTCATTCAACTGTTTGCCACATGTGTGCCTGATACATTATTGAATCATAGAAATAATGTTTAAATATATGTGGGCTCCCCACCTACCTCCTTTTTAAAGAAATAGATATTAAACACACAAAAAAATATTACTATTGTTTCTTCCCTGAAATCTTTCATGGCACACTTGGCTTACAGAGTTTAATTTTGCTGAAATAAGAGTTTATAAGTCATTTTACCTTTGATATTCCAAAGTTGGAAACCTAGAGATAATTTTTAAGTAAAATTTATCTTTAACCTTTGTATTATAATCTGTATTTACATGAGTGTGCAAGTAGCCTCTCTTTATTAATGAAAATAAAGACTAGTGAAAAAATTTTACAAATGATTAACCTAGTTCTTGCATTCATTAGGTATATTTACAAGTCATCTGTGATCAGTTTAGTTACCATCCCTTTGATATCCTGCAGCCATTATTGGATGCCTTTGGGGTTGTGATATCATGCTGGGGAAGAATGGTTCGGCTGCAGGTTTTATGTGTCTTTTTATAGTTGTTCACAATATCCCATGCTAAATTATATGGTGAATTATTATACATTTGCTAGTTTAAAAGATGTCTAATTGATTTACTATGCTAAAATATCAAAGACTATATGCTGCAGGAGTGATGCTTCCAGTTAACAACTTATCATGTATTCATGGAGACGACAATGCTTGCTCACATATTGGCACTATTGTCTAATTTGGTGTGCCTTGTGTTGTAATTCAATCATCTATTATTAAAAGTAGATGTGGCTGTAGGGAGCAAAACCACATACAAATCCATAAACATACATATGTGCATATTTACTTATACTCACATATATGTTCAATAAGGTTTTTGTTTTACCTGCTATTAATGTTTGTACTAGTGAGTCATAAATGGAAAATATCTATTAGCTCTAAGGTAAAATAAAATAGGTTTTGATTTAGTTCAAGTGAACCATCTCATTTAAAATTAGCCCAGGGGTCTTGTAAAGAATGCAAGTAATCTAAACATAATAATGCACATTGCCCAATTGCTTCTGTGTATGATACAGGTTCAGTGCTGTAGTGCTTTGACAGCCCATTACTGAATGTAATGAACAGCTATTTTTAAACAGAAGAAATTCAAGTTGACAGCTTGGCAATGAAATTCAGCTAGTGGGATAATTTTTGTCATCTTTAGTATAGAGAATGGATTCAGTTTGGTTTAAGCAAATTTGTATCATGTAGTTTATAGCGCAAACATTTTTATTAAAAGATAATTTTATTGTCCATTTTGTGGAGAGGGGCAGATGTTACTGTTAAGAATATGTAATCAGCTTTTAATGAATACTTTAATGAATTACTGAAACATCATTTCTAGAACCTAGGTTTAAAATGAAATTTCTCATTTTTCTTTCCTGCCATGGGTGAAATAGTCTAATAAAACGACTATAAGATTAAGAGGTGTTTTTCTATGCTGCTTTTTAGTCTTTCAGAGTTTAAAACAAGTAGTTTTAAGAAATAAGATAGTCTTTGGAAATGGATATAAAGCTTGAGGCAGTGTTGTC
Source organism: Homo sapiens (assembly GCF_000001405.40). Taxonomy (NCBI): domain Eukaryota; kingdom Metazoa; phylum Chordata; class Mammalia; order Primates; family Hominidae; genus Homo; species Homo sapiens. The sequence goes on from NC_000002.12 coordinate 44,453,965, forward strand.
TTAATGGAAGTAAGAATTAGACAAAATACCATTGAGAGAGAGAAGGAAAATGTCTGCCTGACTATATTTTAGAGAAATTCTTTTACTAAGAATAAGGAGACGGTAACATCTGATTTTGACAACTCTTAAAAAATAAGTTGGAGAAGCTTCGTCTGCAATTCTTAAATAAAACATATATTTTTAACTCATACTATGAAAAATAATAGGGTAAGTCAGAGTGAGTTATTTCATTCTCTTCTGTTTACAGCAGAAATTGTTTGAGAATTCTAATTGCTATTTTTTCTAAGTTGAGCTAATTGCCAGAGCTTTTAAAATAGAGACTTCAGGTTCAACGTTGTGCATTGTGTTAAATGTGGCTTGAAAAATACATTACTCAACGAAATCTGGGTGAACAAAGTAAGTAAACTGAGTACTTTACCCAATATCCAATAATGTTTCTGACCCTACCAGTAAAATAAACTAAATATATAGCAGTGGTGAAAATTTTAAAATTGTCAGAAATCCCCCTCTAAATGCATTGCCAGAAAGCTTTGTTCATGGGTCTTCATTACCCCTTCATGCTTCCAGGGCACCTCCTCTGGGTTCCCAAGGCACTGGGAACTTAAAAGTTAGCTTTGCTTAGTAACTATGCCTTGAAGTAGGATAATAAAACAAATCATTTTTAATAGTCAGTAGATTTTTTTTCCATTTCTGATCTGTTTCTCTATTTTACTTATCTCTTGGACGGCATAATGGCCCCAAACCTAATATAGCAATGAATCTGTGTAGAAGTCAAGCATTTTTGGAGAGGCTTTCATGTTAGGTCACTACTGTACTCTTTAGAATTGTATTGTATCAGTGAATCAAAAGAATTTCTTGACATGAAAGAATTGGTACACATCTATAAACATTTTATTTAAACCTAGAGAGGATATTATTTATCTAACAGAATCCAGCTTACTTCTAGCAACAGTACCATCAGTTTGTAGCCTGGTCTTTGAACTCTTGATTTTGTTGTGAAGTGACCCTCTTGAAATCTTAATTTACCCATGGATAGAGGACGTTGTATGAGGCAGAAGGGCATCATCACATTAGCCCTGCTTCTCTATGGCATCATGAGATGCTAAGATAAGCACTTGAAAGGTATTTTAACTTTCTTGATCTCAGAATAACTTGAGAAGAAATTCATGGTACCCACATACTGGGTTAACAAAATAATTAGTCGCATTTGGTTATTTGTGAGGAGGAAACTGTGAAACGTGAAAGTAGGACTGGGGATTCCAGGACGAAGCCTAGAGATAGATTTTTTTTAGAAGGAGGCTTATCTCTGAAGATGGGCAGGATGAAAGAAGTCACCAGCGATTCCAGTGGATGCTTTCTGTGTTATGTGACTACATTTTTCTTTCTGCTTGCCCTTTGAACTTTGAGGTCTGAGCAGTGCAGGAAGAAGAGAAGAAATTGCGTTGCCATGATACACTGTAAGGGCTTCAGGAAAATGGGATATGGCAGTGGTTTGAAAGATATTGAGAAGGTTTCCAACCCAATTGTCATTCATTGCAGCTGTAAGAATTTAATGGGATATGGTCTAATGAAGCATACCCATTGAAAAATTCTTAAACTAGTGTCTTGAGAGTCAAAATTGTTTGCTGGTTAAGACACATTCTGTCTGGAGCTTGACTGCCTGGGCTTAAGCCCTATCACTAGCTGTGTAACTTTGACCAAGTTATTTAACCACTTTGTGCCATTGTTTCTTTATTTGCAACAAAAATCACAACTCCCAGGGTTAGTATAAGGATCACATGGGTTAAACATTTAAAATTCTTAAAAAGCTATTTTTTTTAATGCAAAAAGAGCTTAATTTGTGTAATCTATTGTTGTTGTTTTAGAATTCATTGTAGTTGGAATGCTGTGTGTCAAAAACGTTGGTCCTTAATTAAAGGTTAAAGTTATCAGGAATCCTAACTTTGAAAAAGGAAAGTCTAAATGAGAATTCAATTCCATTTGGTTAATATTTATCATTCATAAATATTAAGTAGCATGGGATGGGATTTATAAAATATTGAAATCATAGCTTCTACCCTACTAATAAACTCTTTGAGGATAGGGAACATGCTGTATGCTACCAGTCTTGTAACCTAAATGGTGCCTTGTGTAATTCAAATATTTGTTCAGTAAAAGTCAGGTCAACATGAATCCAAATATATTGCTAGTACATATTAGATACTTAATATGTGTAACTTAAGTGAAAGGATTTATTTATGTGCGTGAGTATGAAAACAAGTGTTCATTTTCACTAGTGATGAAGGACTTGAATTACAACAAAAGAGTTACAGGTTATAAATAGAAGTAATCTGACTATAGGGTTGGTAAACATCCTAGTTCTTTCCTAAGAGAAATAACAGAATCTATATATTGTAAAGAATAGGTTATCAGGTGACATTTAACTGTCTTTATTTGTTGTAGAAGAATATTTAGGTCTTTTAGCCCTCTTACCCTCTATTTCTCAGAATTATTATATAAATATGTACATTCTTGTGAAAGAAGAAACAAAAAGACCTTGGAATGAAAAGCTTTAACTACAGCCAAGTTTACCTTTTCTATACATGTCATCCTTTCTCTTTTAGGGGAAGCAACCAGGGGAAAATGAAGATATCACCATCAGTAGTAACTCTTCCTTTTTTGTTTAAATGGTAAATATGCCTGGGGAGATGGGACTTATAAGAAAAGATGTTTTGGCCAAGGCATCCTACCTCTGCTTGTCTTCATGATCTTCATTACAATCATAGCAGAAATCCTCATGCTAAATGTTTTTCTTTTCCTTCTTTTCTGGGAGATCATTAATCAGCTATCCTATTTTCCTATTTTACGATTTCTCCTTCTCCAGCCCAATTATGTTTTCTACAAAGCTAGTGTCTGGGATACTAACTCTTAACTCATTCAAGCAAGCTTCTCGGCTATATCATTACAATAAATTCTATTTAAAATACTTAGTGAAGTACAGTATTCATAAGCCAGTTATTGCATTAGGTGTAGCTGCAGTGACACTGATTAGCATTCATCATAAAGATAGTTGAATATGATTTATTTATATTTGTATGTAAGTATATATATTTTGAATATGTACTATGCTCATATGATTCAAAGTTCAAAATGGCCTCAAGAGTATAAACTGTGAAAAGTCTCCTTTCCATCTGTCCTTCATCAACCCAGTTTCCCTCTCTGGAAATAACCACAATGACTAATTTCTTTTGTATTCTTCCAGAGTTATTTTCTGCATACAAATAAAAACATGTATGGTTGCATATATTTCTGTATACTTAAAAAATGGAGATGACTCTTTTGTTTTTTGGTTAACATCACTTTCTGGAAGGCAAAAGATGATCATAAATTCCTTCTGAGAGTACCAACTTGCCAACTTACCTTAAGTCATATTTCTTTCTTTTTATTTTCTTTCTCTCTTTTTTTTTTTTTTTGAGACAGAATCTTGCTCTGTCACCCAGGCTGGAGTGCAGTGGCATGATCTTGGCTCACTGCAACCTCCACCCCCCGGGTTCAAGCGATTCTCCCACCTCAGCCTCCCGAGTAGCTGGGACTACAGGTGCGTGTCACCACGCCCGGCTAATTTTTGTATTTTTAGTAGAGATGGGGTTTCACCATGTTGGCCAGGCTGGTCTCAAACTCCTGACCTCGTGATCCACCCGCCTTGGCCTCCCAAAAGTGCTAGGATTACAGGCATGAGCCACCGTGCCCGGCCCTTAAGTCATATTTCTTAAAAGTGCCTAGTGTACAAGAGTCTTTGAAACTAGAAATAAGTAAGAAGAGAAAGCAAAGATAGATTAGAAACCCTCAATATTTGTTTTCTTCTTTTGGAAATTCTCAACAGAAATTCCAGATGTTACAAAGTTGAATTAGCTAGTTCCTCCATGGCTGCTTGGTGATGGATAAGCCATTCCCCTGCAAATGAATAGTGAACCCTCAGATTCTCTTGGAAGCATGGAACAGCCTGCACATTAGTGTAAAGAACATCCCCCATTTTGGAGTCAGATTAATCTGGGTTTGGAGACACAGATCTAGCATTAGGACTTTGTAGCTTTGTGACTTTTTTTTTTTTTTTTTTTTTTTTGCCAGAGTCTCGCTCTGTTGCTCAGGCTTGAGTGCAGTGGTGCATTCTCGGCTCACTGCAACCTCTGCCTCCCCGGTTCAAACGATCTTCCCACCTCAGCCTCCCACATAGCTGGAATTACAGGCATGTGCCATCATGCCCGGCTAATTTTTGTATTTTTAGTAGAGACAGGGTTTCACCATGTTGGCTAGGCTAGTCTCGAACTCCTGATCTCAAGTGATCCGCCCGCCTCGGCCTCCCAGAGTGCTGGGATAACAGGTGTGAGCCACTGCGCCCTGCCAGCTTTGACTTTTAGCAAATGACTGAGTCACCTCGTGAAAACTCTGTAAATAGAGAGTAATCAAACCAAACCTGTGGTATATTTCACACGGTTAAATGAGATCATGTAAGTGAATACTGTCTGGACAAAAAGTAGGTGCTCAATAAATGTCAGCTTCTTTATTCGCCATTCTGCCAGTACATTTAAGATGAAAAGGTCTGCTTTCAGGGGTTTGTGCTGTTCAGTCTTACTGTGCTTCTCAGAATTGAAAACAGCATTTAGAAAGACGTTTTTATATAATTATTCATCTTGTAAGGATGCAAGTGTCAGAATCTATTTTTAATCCAACAACCAGCTTTTCTGTAGTGTTTTAACAGTTTACAAATGTTAACTTTCCATTCTCTCTAGGGAGATGAGAGAAATCGATAAAAGGCGATTACAAGTGAATACTCCTATAGCAATACTTGATACATTAAATTGTTTAAAAGTGTTTTTTTTCTTCTTCCTCTTCTAGTTGCAGTAATACGAGGTTTCTAAAGGCCATACGTAACTGTGTACATAAAGAGGAAAGCTACTTGGGATAGAAGGACTCTCAGATTGGGTTTTAACTTCTCAAGTATAAAAATAAGACAAGTAGGCAAAAATATCACATTCTGAAGTTTTAAGTGACAGATAAACAAATTCAACATGCACCACCAACTTTTTGAGTTTTAGGTACACTAACTTATTGTGGGATCTGGGCCAGCTGCTCTACCTCTGTAGACATTTCTAAGTGGGAAAAAAAAAAAAGATTTAGGAATAGTACCCTTTTCAGATTCTCTCAGAATTATAGTTGTAAGCACTATGTAAATTCATAGAACATAGTTTTGAAGACCAGCTTTAGAATTTCAATAGTTATTGTATATTCAAAACAGCTACACAAGCACTTTATTTTCATTTTAAAGATTTACAATTAAAGTCATTTTATGTATACCTCAAATGCCTGATTATACACAAACCCATTACAGGGTTTATACACACATTAAATCCCTTCTTATTATGGGGTTTTGTGCACATTAAATGCCTGGTTGTTATAGATTGTTGTTTTTCTTGTTACCATTAAATGTAACATTTCCCTAGGTGATGAAATGTATTATTATTTAGAACATTTATTTTAGTGTGTGTTCTGTATTTTAAAAGAGAAAGGTATTTAAGCAGCAAAGATGTAACTGTTATGAAATTTATTTTTATAAATAGCTTTCAGCAGAAATCAGAACAGTGCTTTAAAATTACAGTTAAAAAATCATTTAATCATCACACTCCTTGATGGCTAATAGAGTAGTAAGTGACTCCCCCATATCCCCCGCAATAGGCTATTCTCGATATGCTCACTTAAGTGGCCCTAAGAATAGTACTAGTATATTTTATGTTAGCAAGCCTTGATAGCAAAGTGCCAAAAGTTCAGGGGGCATTTGTCTCCTTTCTCAAAAATTCATTTAAGTCTTGCTGGAGCTTTAACTGGGGCAGACAGCCATACAAATGACTTGAGATAAAATGAAAATAATGGACTGAGCTGGGTGCTGGGGATGGTAGTTATGCTGAGCACACATCAATAAGCTTGGAGTGTGATTCTATGCTAATGCAAGCCTGATGGATCAGCTTTCTCTTTTAGCCTGGAGGACCATTAAGCTCTGGAAGCTGAGTCAAACTGATAGAGTTGGCAAATACAGCCCATCAGTTAGCAGCAATAGTTAACTGACTGTGATTCCTAATATGCGAAACTAACATTGCTTAAAAACCCTCCATGTTCAGGACATAGATCAGAAAGGAGATAATAGATTCTGCTTTAATTTGCATAATCAAAGCTTCTCATTTTCCCACCTTATAGTTAACAGAAGAGGGAAAAAAAGCCATGGCTACCTTCATTTTGTTGTTAGTCTTGAATCATAGCAAATAATTTTCATAAAAATGTAAATAACTTGTTTCAAAATAAAAGAGTATATTTGAAAGATTCTCTGTGTTATTTCTTTGGAATTAAACTGTAGGCACAGTTACATGGGTTGGGTAGTAAGTGTCTTGGGGATATGAAAAGTAACAAAGTCTTAAAAAATTGTGAGTCTTTTTAGTGATTGATTATTTTCATATATAATTTATAAAGTTCTATACTTTTACTTGAGGATATTGGCTTTGCAAACTTATCAAAAACAGTTCAAATTCTGTTGAATTCATATTTTTGTGTTGTGAGGACTTTCTGTTCATTTAAAAACATTTGTTGAGCACCCATTTATTTCAGGCACTGCATTGGACACTGGTGATGTGGTTGTCCTCTTGGAGCTTACTTTTTTTTCTTTACAGGGGAGGTAATAAACTAGTAAACAAAGACATAATACAGTTTCAGTGAGTGATAGATTCTTTTTTTTTTTTTTTTTTTTTTGAGACAGAGTCTTGCTCTGTCACCCAGGCTGGAGTGTGCAGTGGCATGATCTCCACTTACTGCAACCTCCACTTCCCAGGTTCACACGATTCTCCAGCCTCAGCCTCCCGAGTAGCTGAGATCACAGGCGCATACCACCACACCCAGCTAATTTTTGTACTTTTGGTAAAGATGGCTTTTTGCCATGTTGGCCAGGCTGGTCTCGAACTCCTGGCCTCAAAGTGATCCACCCGCCTCAGCCTCCCAAAGTGCTGGGATTATAGGCATGAGCCACCATGCCTGCCCTGAGTGACAGATTCTTAAGTAGAGCCTTCTCCATCTGAGAGATTCTACTCTGACCAAGTTTTTGCCAAATAGACTCAAACATTAAATATGCTGTTTTCAATCACAGGTTTCCAGACGGTCTAAAAAATTTGTAAATGTAAGGAAAATAATAAATAAATTTGTGTTGAAGAAAAATTAAGGGCTTTTGTGTATACCTCGTTGTAATCCAGACTGACATCTCTGTGAAAACCCTAATAAAAGTCTATATGCACGACTTTCTGAGTGTTTAATATGTGCTGGCTCTCTTCTAAGCAGTTTACTCATTAAATATCTCATTAAAAAAAACCTCTAAAGAAGGTACTATTATTCCCAGATGAGGAAATTGAGACAATAAATGTTAAATAACTTGCTCAAAGTTATATAGCTAGTAAGTGGGTGAGGTGGGATTAAAACCTAGGCAGTTTGGCTCCAGAGTAAGTGTTCTTAATCACTGTTACTCTATGGCAACCTGAAGAAATTTGTTTAGCTGAAAATGTATTGCTACTTTAGAATGCAAGGTTTGAGAGGACAGGGAATGCATCTGTCTTGTTCACCTCTAACTCTGCACTTAGCACTGAACCTGGGTTATAGAGGGTGGCCAATAAGTATTTCTTGAATAAGTGAGTGTAAATGACTACTATTATATGTTTAAATTGAATAATATTTCATACAAATTCTTTTCAAAATTTATTTTGCTACATATGTTTTTCTGGTGCCCTAAATTAGTATATGCCTTATATGTACATTCCAGTGCTAGTTAGAATGATAATACGATCAATTCCTATGGATGGGGTAAGGGTAGGGCCAGAATTCCTTGACCTACATCATTTCTATAGCCTATCTACCCTAGGTATATGGGATTTCTCAGTGGATCACATCACATCGAGCTCATACTGTGTTCTTGTATAATACCTGCTACCCTTGACTCACAGAATGTTTTGTGTGATGTCAAGTAGCAAATGCTTACATATTTCTACTTCCAATTATGTTTCCTTTCTCCTTATATCTTTGGAGAAGACAATAACATTATTCTGTAAGTATCAAACTGATATTAAATGATTGAATGAATGGGGCTTTCTCCTGTACATGGTTTGTTTTTAGAATATAAAAATGAAAAATAATTTTTCTAAATATAATACACAGGACAACTCATGTAGAAAATTCAAATAATAAAGAAAAGGGTAATAAAGTAAAAATAAAACATATTCTCATTACTCAAAATAATTTATGTTATCACTTACATGTATTAATTCTCAGTTAACATTTTGGTAATCATCCTTTCAGATAACTCTATGTATACATAGACACTTACACATGATTTTAAATAAATGAGTTTATAATGTGCATATGATTGGATAACCTGCATTTTTTCACTCAATAATGAAACTTGGAAATTTTTTTTCATGTCAATGAACATTATTATAGTTTTTAATGACCTACTCTGTTGTTTGGATTTATGATTATTTAATTGGCCTTATAATAATAGATCTAAATTCCTTTTTTTGCTTTTATTTTTGATGTTCCAAACAAAACTGTAGTGAATATGTATTCATATATCTATATGAATTGTTGCTGGGTCAAAGGTTTTATTTTTTGGGTCATGTGTAATCTGACAGTTTAAAATTATACAAAAATGTGCTGAAGTCCTTGCGTTCATTGCTTAGGGAGTATCTGTGTGCAAGAGGAACATTATATGAATGAATAGAAATATAATTCAGGTCTCAGCTATTTAGAAAAAAAAATGCTTCTTAATTCTCTTAATCTAAAGATTTCTTCTTTATCTCCTTTTGCTTTTTCTCCTTGCACTTTGTTAAAGAAACTATTGTTCTGTAGGTTTTCCTGTAGAGTCTGAGTTTTGCTGATTGCATCCCCATATTGTCATTTAACATGAACTGCTACCTTCTGTATTTCCTATACATTGATCGTTAAATCTAGAGGCTTGAGCCAATTCAAGTTTGATTTTATTTACTTATTTATTCAAAGCTACTTCATAGGGAGAGCTTTTCTTCTCTGCCAGAAGGCCACAGTATCAATCTTATTGTAGTATTGTAGTACTTACAGCCATTCTTGATCAATGCCATGGATACCTATGTTAATGTCTTTGCAGTCCTTTAAGTTGTTCCAGTTTGGATTTGCATAACACACCACTTCAAAACTTAATGGCTTACAGTAATGTCAGCAAGAATAGGAAGCCCTAGACCTTGTTTTCCCACAAAGACACTGACTTAACAATATATGACCCAAAAACATTTAGGATAGCTCCAGAAGCCAGTTGTGAATTCACAGCACCCTAGGCAGGATCAAAGCCATGAATAGTTCTATTGAAAGAGATAAGACAAGTAGTTCCATTTGAATGATGTCAGCCCCTCTCTTAAGCCAGCATAGCTCATAATAGGGAGGAAAAGCCCAACTCATGGCTTCTGCCTTGAGAGGAAAACAGAAAAGTGAAATGTACATGCAATATACTAGCTTTTTAGGGGGTGAAAAAGTAAGGGGTTGGGTGGGAGTTGGGCTGCCCAGAATGTTGATTTCAGTCTTGCCTGACTCAGAGTGCTAGCTGAACCAGCATACCTTGGATACCTGGGGTCTACAGTGAACAAAAGAGAACTTAGTAGCTTTTTGCAGCACCAAGAACCCTGCCAGTACCACAGACAGGCGCAAGAGGGAGGAAGAAACTATAAACCGAAAAAGAAACTGACAAACTTCTCTAATTGGGAATTTACATGCAGAGAGTGAGAGAAGATACATCTCCCCATAAAAGGATTGAGAGGCTGTCAGATTCTCTGGCTGTGCTGTTTGGTGAAGGTCTTCCCCTATAGAAAGCCAGTATGTAAAGATTGGGAGAGGTGGCTGTTTTTCAAATGCAAAAATCACAACAAAAAATAACAAGGCACACAAAGAAACAGGGAAATCAGTCAAAGAAACAAAATAAATCTCCATTAACTGACTCCGAAGAAACAGAGATCTATTAGTTACCTGAAAAAGAATTTATGATAATCTTAAAGAAGCTCAATGTGTTACAAGAGAATACAGATAGACAGCTAAATGAAATCAGGCAAACAAAGCATGAACAGAATGAGGATATGAACAAAGATATAGAAACTATAAAAAAGAACAAACTAGAAATTCTGGAGCTGAAGAAAACAACTGGTTAGGAAAATTCACTGTGGAAGACCAACAAGAGACTTGATCAAACAGGAAAGAATCAGCTAACTCAAAGACAAGTCATTTGAAATTATTGAGTCAGAGTAACAACAGCAACACAAGAATGAAGAAAAGTAAAGAAAGCCTGAAGGACTTATGGTGTACCATCTGGCTGACCAATATATACATTATGGGAGTTCTAGAAGGAGAAGAGAGAATAGGACAGAGAGCTTATTTGAAGAAATAATGGTCAAAAACTTCCAAAATCTGAGGAAGAAAATGGACATTCAAATTCAAAAAACTCAACAGACTGTAGATATGATGAATCAGAAGAGGTGCACACTGTGACACATTATAAACTGTCGAATGTCAAAGACAGAATCTGCAAAGCAGCAAGAGAAAAGCAACTTGACACATACAAGGGAGCTCCCATAAGTTATCAGTGGATTTCTATCAGAAATGTTACAGGTCAGAAAGAGTTGGAAGATATACTAAAAGTGCTGAAAGAAAAAAAACTGCCAATAATACTGTATCTGGCAAAATTATCATTTAAAGATGAAGGAGAAATAAAGACCTTCTTGGATAAACAAAAGCTGAGGGAATTCATCATTTATCATCACTAGACCTTCTTTACAAGAAATGCTAAAAGGAATCTTTCAAGTTGAAACAAAAGGATGCTAGACAGCAACACAAAAACATATGAAAATGTAAAGCTCTCTAGTGAAGGAAAATATATAGATAAATACAGAATCCTATAATCTGTTATGAAGTGCATAAATCACTTAATTCCAAAGTGATTCCAATTTAAAATTGGATATTTATCTTTTAAATTGGATTATCTTTTAAATTCCAATTTAAAAGATAAAAGCACTGAAAATAGCTAACTATAAAACTATGTTAATGAATATAAAATATAAAAAGATACGTAATTTGTGACACTGGTAACATAGAGGGAAGAGATGTAAAGGAATGAAATATTTATATGTGATTTAAGTTATCAGTTTAAAAGAGATCATTATAACTATGTTTTATGTAATCCTCATAGTAACCACAAAGAAAATACCTACAGAAGCTGCACAAAAAAAATGAGAACAGAATAAAAACACATCACTAAAAAAATCAATGAAACAGGCTGGACGCAGTAGATCACTCCTGTAATCCCAGCACTTTGGTAGGCCAAGGCAGGTAGATCGCTTGAGGTTAGGAGTTCAAGACCAGCCTGACCAATATGGTGAAACCCCGTCTCTACTAAAAATACAAAAATTAGCTGGGTGGTGGCGCATGCCTGTACTCCCAGCTACTCGGGAGGCTGAGGCACGAGAATTGCTGGAACCTGGGAGGCAGAGGCTGCAGTGAGCCAAGTTTGTGCCACTGTACTCTGTCAAAAAAAAAAAAAAAATCAATGAAACATAAAGGGAGACAGCAAGAGAGAAAAGGAGAGACAAAATAACTGGAAAATATAGAAATAGTAAGTTCCATGGGAACGGTGAGAGCTTCTCTATCAGAAGTTACTTCAAATGTGAATGTTTACTTTAAACTCCTTAATCAAAGAACAGAGAGTAGCTGATTTAATTATAAAAACTTCAAACAATAAATGCTGTTTATAAGGCACTCACTGTAGATATGAAGACTTAGGCTGAAAGTGAAAGGATGGAAAAAGATACTCCATGCAAATAGCAACCAAAGGAAAAAGGAGGTTAGCCCTACTTAGACAAAATAAACTTTAAGTCAAAAACTCACAAGAGACAAAGAAGGACATTATATAATGATAAAAGGATCAGTTCTCCAGGAACTCAAAACAAGTCTAAATATATATGCATCTAACAGTAGAGCACCCAAATATATAAAGCAAACACTAGCAGAATTGAAGGAAGAAATAGTAACGCAGTTAACAGTAGGATATTTAAATATTTCACTTTTCATAAGGGATAGATCAACTAGACAGAAGATCATAAGGAAACAAAGGACTTCAATAACATTATAGTCCAATTGGATCTAACAGATATACAGAACACTCCACTCAACAACAGCATAACACACATTTTTCTCAAGCACATATAGAACGTTTTCCAGTATAAATCATGTTAGGCCATCAAAAGCGGTCTTAACAAATTTAAGTAGATTGAAATCACTTTATGTATTTTTTCTGACCACACTGAAATAAAACTAGAAATCAACATCAAAAGGGAAACTGGAAAATTCATAAATATGTGGTGATTAATCAACACACTCTTGAACAACCACTGTGTCAAAAAAATCACCAGAGAAATTAGAAAACATCTGAAGGCAAATGAAAACGAATACACAACATATTAAAACTTACGGAATGCAGCAAAAGCAGTACTCAGAGGAAAGTTTATAGTGGTAGACACATTAAAAAAGAAGGCTCTCATATCAACAAAATAACTTTACACTCAAGGAACCAGAAAAAGAACAAACTAATCCCGAAGCTAGTAGAAGGAAGGATATAATAAAGATTTGAACAGAAATAAATAAAAAGAGAATAAAAATGATTTTAAAAAATTAACAAAACTAAGATGGCTTTTAGAAAATATCAACAAAATTGACTAGCCATTAGCTAGACTTAAATAAAAAAAGACAAGACTCCAATAACAAAAATCAGAAATGAAAGAGCAGACAAAACAACGGATGCCACAGAACTGAAAAGGACTATAAGAGACTACTATGAACAATTACACAGCAACACATTTGATAACCTAGAAATGGATAAATTTCTAGAAACATATAACCTACCAAGACTGAATCACTAAGAAATAAAAATAGGCCAGTCACGGTGGCTCACACCTGTAATCCCAGCACCTTGGGAGGCCAATACAGGAGGATTGCTTGAGTCCAGGAGTTTGAGATCAGCCTGGGCAACATAGTGAGACCCTGTCTATACAAAAAATAAAAGCAAAATTAGCCAGGCATGGTGGCACATAGCTGCAGTCTCAGCTACTCAGGAGGCTGAGGTGGGAGGATTGCTTGAGCCTGGGAGGTCAAGGCTGCAGCAGTGAGCTGTGATCATGACACTGTACTCAGCAAGACCCTGTCTCCAAAAACAAAAACAAACAGGTGGCTCACGCCTGTAATCCCAGCACTTTGGGAGGCCAAGGCAGGCAGACCACCTGAGATCAGGAGTTCGAGACCAGCCTGGCCAACATGGTGAAACCCTGTCTCTACTAAAAATACAAAAATTAGCCAGGCATGGTGGTGGGTGCCTGTAATCCCAGCTGCTAGGGAGGATGAGACAGGAGAATCCCTTGAACATGGGAGGCAGAGGTTGTAGTGAGCTGTGAGCTGTGATTGCACCACTGCACTCCAGCCTGGGTGACAAGAGCGAAACTCTGTCTCAGAAAAAAAAACAAAAAAAAACAAAGCCAAACCAACAAACAAAAACTCACCACCACCACCACCAAAATATACTACAAAGCGACAGTCAGCAAAACAATATGGTACTGGCATGAAAACTAACATGTAGACCAATAGAATACAGAACCAAGAAATAAGTTTGTGTATCTATAGCCAACTGATTTTTGAGAAAGGTATTCCAAAAATATGTTGAGGGGAAGGACAGTCTCTTCAGTAAATAGTGGTGGGAAAACTGGATATCCATATGTAGAAGAATGAAACTAGACTCCTAGTTCTCACCATGCACAAAAATCATCTCAAGATGGATTACGGACTCAAATATAAGACCCAAAACTATGAAACTACCAGAAGAAAGTATGGGAGAAATGCTTCAGGGCATTGGTCTGGGCAAAGATTTTATGGCTAAGACCTCAAAAACATAGGCAACAAAAGCAAAAATAGACAAATAGTATTATATAAAACTAAAAAGCTTTTGCACAACAGAATAAACAATCAACAGAGTGAAAAGACAACTGGAAGAATGGGAGACAATATTTGCAAACTATCCAACAAGAGTTTAATATCCAGAATATACAAGGAACTCAACAATTCAACAGCAAAAAAGCAAATAATCTAACAAAAATGAGGCTATAATCTGAATAGATATTTTTCAGCAGAAGTCATATTAAAGGCCAACAAGTATATGAAACAATGTTCCACATCACTGGTCATCAGGAAAGTATAAATCAAAACCATGATGATATATCATCTCTCACTCCAGGTACAATGGCTGTCAACGAAAAGACAAAAAATAACAAATGCTGGTGAGGATACAGAGAAGGGGGAGCTCATACACTGCTGGTGGGAATGTAGATTAATACAGCCATTATGGAAAACAGTATGGAGTTTCCTCAGAAAACTAAAAATGGAACTATCATATGATTCACCAGTATCACTGCTGGGTATATATCCAAAGTAATTGAAATCAGTATATTGAAGAGCTATCTGCACTCCCATGTTTATTGCAGCACTGTTCATAGTAGCCAAGATATGGAATCAATCTGTGTTCATCTAGAGATGGATAGATAAAGAAAATATAAGGCCAGGTGTGGTGGCTTATGCCTGTAATCCCAGCACTTTGGGAGGCTGAGGAGAGAGGATTGTTTGAACCTAGAAGTTTGAGACCAGCCTGAGCAACAAAGCAAGACCCAGTCTCTACAAAAATTACAAAAATTATTTGGGTATGGTGGTACATGCCTATAATCCTAGGTACTCAGGAGGCTGAGGTGGGAGGATTGCTTGAGCTGGGAGGTTGAGGCTGTGGTGAGCCATGATTGCTCCATTGTACTACAGCCTGGATGACAGAGTGTGAGACCCTGTCTCAAAAACAACAACAAAAAAACAAAGGAAAAGAAAGAAAAATGTATGTTCTCACTCGTGTGGAAGCTAAAAATGTTGATCTCATGGAAGTAGGGAATGGAAGGCTAGGAAGAGTAGGGTGAAGGAAGGTATTGGGAGAGGTTGGTTAATGTATACAATATTAAAGCTAGATGAGAGGAATCAGTTCTAGTGTTCTACAGCACTGTAGAGTGACTATCGTTAACAAAGAAATGATATATGTTTGAGGTAAGATATACTAATTACCCTGATTTGATCATTACACATTGTACATATATATCAAAGTATCATACTGTATCCATAAATGTGTACAATTACTATGTGTTAGTTAAATATAATAATAATTTTTTAAAAATTAGCTTATTTTTTCATTGAGTGTCTTAATCTATTTGGCTGTTGAATCTTATTAAACCTGATTTTTTTTTTGTTATAAATAATTTGGTCATGTTGTCTGAAAATCCAAAGATTGTGTATTTGGTGTGTGCCCTTTCAATGCGTAGCTTTAAGTATATTTCTTTGTTTATAAATTTTAGAAACATTTTCTTGGATGATAATTCCACATTTGTTGTAATCCATTACTTTTCTTTTTCAGGAGCTCCTCTTACATGTATGTTAAATCTTCTTCTTTGTGTTTCTTTATATGTTACTTTATCTCATGTTTATAATTGCTTTCTTAATTTGTTTTCTTTCCAAATTTTTTATTGTGTTAAAATGCACCTATCACAAAATTTACCATCTTAACCATTTTTTAGTATTCAGTGGTATTGAATACATACATAATGTTGTACGCTTATCATCACCATGCATCTGTCTCCTCACATTTTCAGTTTTTATTTTGTCTTTAATTGTATCCTTTTCATCTTCTATTACTTTTAAGGTATTATCAGTTACGTTTGTTTGCTCTCATGTTCCTTCTGGTTTTGTTTTCATTTTTGAAAAAAATTTCTTTCATTTCTAATTTTTTTTTGCATTTTATCACCTTATTTCTGGGTTTTCTAATTCTGATTTATATATTTAAATATCTTCTATTGCTTTCTTAATTTCTTCTAGCTTGTTTGGACATAATAAGTTAGATTTTCTATATAGATATTTTCTGTATCTATCCATAGATATAATTTTTCCCTTTATCTTTTTTTTTCTCTCTAATAAGAACTTTCCATGAGATTCAACTGTAATATTTCCTGCGGCTCATTTTAATGTAAAAGTAGTTATTCTAAATATTTAGGTAGGAGGGTTGTGTCAATATAGCTTTTGTAGCTTTCCAGTTCTAACATTCTCAATTCTGTTTTTAAAACTATGGCCTCATACTGTGAAGTTTCCTGGGTTTTCTCCTCTCCCATTTTTACCTGGGTCATTTCTTTGCTTTAATTCTATTGCCCCATCCTGCCCAATTTGCATTCCACTACCAGCCACTTGTCCTTTGTGAGGGCAGCTTCAGACCCTTTGTACTCTCACCTGTGAGTTGGAATGGGCAGTAGTGTCTCTCATTTTCAGTTGCTGTTCTCAAATTGGCCCTCCATGCTTCTCAAGGAATACCTTGGAAGGAGTTTACAATTTGGAGGTGTCTGGTTTCTTCCCACCTGTTTGTATTTTGTCATTCATGGAGATACCTTGTTATAGCTTTGTTGTAGATTGTCAAGGGGGTTTTGGTTATTCTACTTAAAAAGTACGTTTACTGTCTTTATTTAAGAAGCTGATTATTGAATTTTGCTATACATTAATAAAATGATATCCAGACAAAGTCATTGCTAATATATATGCATGTCTGTTTTTTCCTTCTCCAACAACCTTGCGTATTATCTGTCTTTTGAAATTGTCAGTTGGCAAAAAGTAATACCTTATTGAGTTCTTATTTACATTTATTGATTACTTATGAGATTAACCACTTTTCATGTATTTGAGGTCCACTTGCATTTTTTTCTATTGTAAATTAATTGTTCTTTTGTCAGTTTATCTGCTATGTTTATCTTTTTCTTATTGGATTTTGAGAGCTCTTTGAATATTAGGAATATTAATGTTTTGTTTTTCACTATTGTTAATGTTTCTTCTCTCTCTCTCTCTTTTTTTTTTTTTTTTTTTTGAGACAGTTTCGCTCTCTCACCCAGGCTGGAGTGCAGTGGTGCGATCTTGGCTCACTGCAACCTCCGCCTTCCGATTTCAAGCAATTCTCCTGCCTCAGCCTCCCAAGTATCTGGGATTACAGGCACCCGCCATCACACCTAAGTTTTGTATTTTTAGTAGAGACGGGGTTTCACCATGTTGGCCAGGCTGGTCTGAAACTCCTGACCTCAGGTGGTCTGCCTGCCTTGGCCTCCCAAAGTGCTGGCATTACAGGGGTGAGCCACCGCGCCCGGCTCTAATGTTTCTTCTCTAGCTGTTTGCTTTTAATGCTTTAAAAACATTTTTTTATAAAATTTTATGGAATAGCCAGGCACAGTGGATCACTTGAGTCTAGGAGTTTGAGACCAGCCAAGGCAACATAGCAAAACCCCGTCTCTAAAAAATATATACAAAATTTAGCTGGTGGTGGTGGTGGGTGCCTGTCGTCCCAGTTACTAGGGAGGTTGAGGTAGGTGGATCGCTTGAGTCAAGGAGGTGGAGGCTGCAGAGAGCCATGATTGTGCCAATACACTCTAGCCTGAGTAACAGAGCAAGACCCTGTCTCAGAAAAAAAATTAACTAACAAAAGAAAGAACATGACCTTGGAGTCAAGTAGTTAGATGGTATAGCTTAAGCATTTACTAGCTATGTGAGTTGAGTCAAATCACTCTTCTCTGATTCTTGATGTAAAGTATGGAGTCTCACTCTGTTGCCCAGACTGTCTGCAGCCTCCACCTCCCGGTTCAAGTAATTCTTGTGCCTCAGCCTCCCGTGTGGCTGAGATTAGAGGTGTGCACCACCACGCCTGGGTAATTTTTGTATTTTTAGTAGAAATGGGGTTTCTCCACATAGAGAAGACTGGTCTCAAACTACTGACCTCAAGTGATCCACCTGCCTGGGGCTCCCAAAGTGCTGGGATTACAGGCGTGAGCCACCATGCCTGGCCTAAAGTACTATTTTCAAATAGTACTTTAAGGGGTTGGTATGAAGATTTTCAAAAGAACTATTTATGATTCTTCCTAAAAGAATTAAATGGGCAATTATTTTTTGCTTTGAGATGGAGTCTCGCTCTGTTGCCCCGGCTGGAGTGCAGTGGTACAATCTCGGCTAACTGCAAGCTCCGCTCCCTGGGTTCACGCCATTCTTCTGCCTCAGCATCCCGAGTAGCTGGGACTACAGGTGCCCGCCACCACACCTGGCTAATTTTTTTGTGTGTTTTTAGTAGAGATGGGGTTTCACTCTGTTAGCCAGGATATTAAATGGGCAATTCTTTTTTAATCAGTGTATGAAATTTGCTTTGGAATTTCATTTGAATGATTATTTTTTATTGTGAAGAATAAATGAGATAATGTATATAAAGTACATACCATAGTAGTCAGCGAATAAATTGTAGCTATTACTACTGTTGCTGTGAGGCTCAATCTAATAACTTGTCTAAGGTTCGAACTTTTGCATCAGCCCCCAAAATCCTGTTTGTACTAAAATATACTATCTAAAAACATTCATAATACAAATATTCCATATATCCTCTTTCATTTTTAACAAAAATTTATGGATGATACAATGTAAGCAAGAACCTGAGGATACAAAAAAGTAAGACTTGGTGCCTGTCACCTAGGAGCCCACAGTTGGTAGAGAGGACGGGCAGATATAGGAAAGAAGAAATTGCTTTTCCTAAATTATGCATCCCAGAAAATAGCATTCTGGAGTGTGGTTTTGAACAGAATTCTATTCTGCAGATAGCAAAACATAAGTTACATGTTGATGAGATTAAATGTTCAAATCAAATAATGAAATATATTTATTTAGATACATTTAATGTCTTCTTATATAAGTTATCAAGTTGCATTTTTTCTAGCTGCATTTAAATCTATGTGCATTTCCTTCCTACTTCTCCTGAGATTGATATGCAGCCAGCATTTCAGTTACCAGCGTGAGGAATAAACCGGGAGAGAGGAAAGATAGTGAAGCAGCTGTCTTCCATTACAACGTGTCTAAATGGATAGTTCTACCATGATGTTTCTTTCAATTCCTTCCGGGTTTGGGTGAGAGGGGTGGAAGGAATGTTTCCATTGGTGAAATGGTAGCTGAACTGCCAAATGGTATGACCTGCTATCAACACTACTAAAAAGAAAATCAGAGACATGGATTATTATTGGCCAACATATGTTTTTTTGTGGGCATTTCCTTTGTGTTTCATTTTATGAAAAATGATAGGTATCGCATTAAAAAATCAAATAATTTATAATAATTGGAACCTCATTAGTAGATTTTACATTTTATATACCAAAATGTTAACAATCTATGTTTTAAAAATTAAACCTCCAACCACTAACAAATCAGAGCTAAAGAAATAATCCCATTATTGAAGAAGGATCATTGTGGTAGATTGAGTGCCAGAATTTTTTTTAAAAACAGTGCTATGTTTAGTACATTTTAGAAATAATTCCATAAAATGGTATGTTTTATAAGCGTGGATTTAGAGATAAATTATCTTGGGAAGGTAAGTTAACGAAGACAAATTCTGTTTAATATGTAATAACCAACTCTGGACAATGAAACCTTTCCATCCATGACTTTACTCTGTGTGGAATTTTTTAGTAGATACCTGAAGTTACAAAATATAAAAACAATCCTCTCTCCTTGGGGAAGTTACAGTTTAATGTGGAATAAGTAAACTCCACATTTAATGTAGAATAAGTATGGTAGAAACCCAATTGACAAAAGTTAAAACAGTTTATGCGGTGAGAATTCAACTACCTAGAGACTTGTGGACTTTCTAGAATCATTGTCTTCTGTGCCTGATCTTTGGTTATTACTGGGATACCCGTCATTTATCTCTGCCCTTCTTTTACAAACCTTTCAATCCGTAAACTGGGACCAGTTGTTCTATTTAGAGATTACCCATGAGGCACCATCCAAATTGAATACTACTAAGCAGCAATTACATGATTTATAGCAGAGATTATTTGGCTATTTGCAGCACAAGGCAAAGGAGAAGGAATATAATCTCCATTCACATATACCTGTGTGCATATACATGGTATATGTGCATCATAATAAACATCACAGTTCTTCTTTGGAATTGTGAAATATCCTCTGAACTTAATAGAAATTTAGTAAGCATTGGGCCGGGCGTCGTGGCTCACACCTGTAATCCCAGCACTTTGGGAGGCCGAGGCAGGCGGATCACCTGAGGTTAGGAGTTCATGACTAGCCTGGCAAACATAGTGAAACCCCATCTCTACTAAAAATACAAAAAATTAGCCGGGTGTGGTGGCAGGTGCCTATAATACCAGCTACTCGGGAGGCTGAGGCAGGAGAATTGCTTGAACCCAGGAGATGGAGGTTGCAGTGGGCTGAGATTGTGCCATTGCACTCCAGCCTGGGTGACAGAGCGAGACTCCGTCTCAAAAAAAAAAAAAAAAAGAAAAAGAAAAAAGAAATGTAGTAAGTATCGAGAGGTAAGTAGTGAGTAAGAGAGAGATAAAGAGGGAGAGCGAAATGCTAATTTTTTTCAAAGGAAATATAACCAAGTCAACATGAAAATCATTCTGTTACTATTTAATTCCTATATGTCTATCAACCCAACTAGACCTATAATCTCTAAGGCAGTGACTGCTTCCTTTCAGATTCAAATTCAGCAAACAACTGTGTTAAATGTTATTCCTGACCTTCCTCACTATGCCAGACCAAATGCTCCTCCCTGTACTCCAAATAACATTGCTTGATATCTCTATTAATTGCACTAACAGCACTGTAAATACATGGAAACCCTCTATGCTGCAATTCTCTATTTCCGTTTTTGCTCTCTATTCTGCTAAAATGTAAGCTCCTCATACTAATAACTTTTCTTTATTCAGTGCCTGGTATGTAGAACTGAGTAATATTTATGACATTCATCGTGAAAGACTGGCCAGACACAAGAATGACAAGAAAAGACCTGAGACATAGTGATAGATGAAACTCGAGAATGTATTATTATTTGAACAAACTTGATTCTAATATTTACCAAAATGATACAGTTGAAAAGAGTCAAAATGTAATCCTTCTATAGCATGTGGCTTAGTTTAATATCCATGTTCCATTATTTCTTTTGTATCCTCTTGAGTATTTAATAAATTTTATTAATATCTGATTTAAATTTTAAAGTAGATAAATTAGGCTTTAATAAAAACAAATGGAAACTTTTAGTAAGTGGTTGGACTTGTTCTGAATAAAGGAATATAGAATGGACCTTATTTGAAAAGTTGAAGTTTTTAAATAGTAAGAATATAGGTTGAAATTTTTTTTTTTTTTTTGAGATGGAGTCTTGCTCTGTCACCCAGGCTGGAGTGCAGTGGCGTCATCTTGGCTCATTGCAACCTCCGCCTCCTGGGTTCTAGTGATTCTCCTGTCTCAGCTTCCTGAGTAGCTAGGATTACAGGTGCGTGCCACCACACCCAGCTAATTTTTGTTGTTTTAGTAGAGATGGGGTTTCACCATGTTGGCCAGGATGGTCTTGATCTCTTCACCTTGTGATCCGCCCGTCTTGGCTCCCAAAGTGCTGGGATTACAGGCATGAGCCACCGCGCCTGGCCTATAAGTAGAAATTTTTGAAAGGAATAACTGGTGTGGCAAGTAGAGCTGGCAACATTGTGTATATTACAAGGATGGCCTTCAAAAGGCAGAGGACTGTTGGATACCTCACTATTTTAAAGAGAAATTTTATTTAAAAAAGAAATCTTATGCATGATCTCATTTCAGTGTTGATTTACTAGAAGCATATGATGGACCTACGAACAGGACCCTTCAAATCAAAATGTATCGTTTAGGAATATTCTGAAGGGGAAAGTCTGTGACTGCATTCTCTGAGAACCATCTGCTCACCTACTTATGTCCCTTAAAACTGAAGCTTTAGGATATCCTTTGAAACCTTTTTGTTTCTTATCATATAATGTATGGTACCATAAATACCATTGCATTTGATTTTTGTGTGAAACAACACTAAATCACTATTAAAAAGGAAAGAATGAGGTTATCTTGCTGACAATTTAAAGAAAAGACTTCTTCATAATATATTTACGACATCTAAAATGCCTTTTGTCCTCAGGGTAGCACTGTAGTTCTTCGGTGCTTGAGTTGATACTGCAATTTAATACTGTACCTACAAAGAAAATTACAGTTTTTAAACTGTTTATTCCAAGTGCTTTCAAAATGAAGACACTACTAAAGTGGTGAAAGCATGTGGTTGGAAAAAAAAAAGTAGTAGGAGATTATTAATTTCTTAAAGGTAAAGATTATTGCAAATTCAAAAGATCCCACTCATTATCAATATGTGGTCCTTCTACAGTTTTGCATAGTATAACATATTCTTAAAATGGGATACATAGTGACTTTGTAGCATCAACTATTTAAATTTTCTAGCTCCTGAGTCCTTTTCTTGCTGTGAAATGTGTTCATTTTATTGTGTGATGATATTAACATATATCAAGAATATAAGTGAAATATTAAATCTTGTCATGTTCAGGGTTTTAGGGTTCTTAAAAATGTGTAAAGGTGTTTTTACACTGTGTAAAAAAAAACTTTATATGTTTGTGAGATTTTGAGTTACCTAATTTTATAAACTAAATTACTTTGTGAAAAAAAAAATGCTTAGAATCATATGTTCCATGTAGCTCAATATTGTTTTCTGGAATTGAATTAAATTATATCTACAGTTGCTTAACAGAAAGAGCACTTAATTTGTAATCCACAGACCTCGTGGTCTTAGGCAAGCCATGTAATTTACTTGTCTTTCAATTTCCTCATCTGTAAAATGGGGATAATAACTCAAAGGATTGGTCTAAGGATCAATGCTTATGAATAAAAAGCACCTAGTACATGACACATGGTGGGTGCTATATCCCAGCTATTATTATTATCCAAATGGCTTATTACTGAAGTAATGAAAGAAAGCTTTTATACAGTCATATCAATGGTAGTTCTGGGTTATAGTCTCAGAGACATCATTACTATGAGGATATAGAGAATTTAGGAAAATTTTAAAAATTATTTAAACAAAATTTGAAAAACATTGTAGGCATGTATTACCACATACAATTATATCTGCCTACCTATGTATTTAATCACTATCTTTTAGAAAACACACAACAAAAGTTCAGTTTGCCGTAGTTCATTATAGAGTTAATAGGAGCTTGGAGATTTGATCTAATAACATGCACTTCATAGTAGAGCAAACCCATGATGTTATCAGAAATTTTGGAGAAGTCCAGGATTGGGGTGTACAGGTGTACCCACCCTGAGAACCAGTGGATCTATATAAGTCTGGTGTATTGGTTTCAGTACAATGATATTTATATACAACTTTGTATCAAATAAGTTTGCTAAGCCCTATTATAAGTTAAAACTATTTTTAAACCATATTTCCCCACCCTGGTTTGGAAATTGATAAAACAGTTTAAAGCTGAAAAACATAAACTACAGTAACTCAATAAACAATTTAAAAATAAGTTGTGTAGGTAGCTGGAAAAAATTATAAATCTCAAAAGTATAGATTTAAGATAAAGCCCAGTTATCTAGAATTATAAGGTTATAGTACATTTTTGGTTGAGCACATTTAGCTTTTTCTATTCCTCCATTTTGCCTAGCTGCCATTTCTTAACTATGAAAGGAATTGAAGAGTCCATCAGAGCTTTTGTTCGCACTAAAGAATAGTCATTTGAAGAAAATGGTGCCAGGCCAGACATGTAAAGATATTTAAAGAAAAGAAGGAAGGTGATAGGCCTAAATTCAGGACTATTAGCATATTCACAATGGTACAGGTATAGGCTAAGCTTGGTCACAGGTGAAAGGCAGTAGTGTGAGAACTCATGGAATTAACAAAGCTACTTCACACAAAGGGACGGATGGTACTTCCTCCATGTCCATTCCTTTCTAAGATTTCAGTGGCAAACAGCGTATGTAAGGCTGCAGTGACAATTTGTTTCAGTGGCCCTAAAAAATACCTATATGTACCATAGATTTAATGTGTAAAATTAAAAGCAATGTATATTAAATATTTTCTAGGAATCTGTGATTTTGTGACCAAAGATCTGAATATACTTAAAAACAAATCCTAATTTTTTTCTAAAGAAACATGATAAATATCTGGATAGCTGGCTACATTTTGAAATATTCACCCAATATTTCTGCAATAGTCAGCATTTCAATAATAATTTTATTTGCTTTTTCATGGCTTTGAATTGGGTATTATTTTGTTTCTTTGTTTTGTTCTAAGTCTATATATTTTTTTTCTTGCCACCATTTGCTGTGATTACAGATATAGGTTTAGAGTTTAGCCTTTGCAATATCATCAGTTGATGGCATGTCTACAGCAATATGGTGGATAATATTTTTTATTTTCATAGTATGAGTGCTACTTGACTCTGACTGAATGATTTTCTGTTACAAGATTTTCTTTAGTTTATAGACCTACTTTACCTTGGCTTCTGAATATGCTGAAATCCTTCTGCCCTTGGTTATAACACCTTTTATTTGTTAACATTTAAAATGCTTTCAAATCTTTAACAATAATAAAGGCATTAGTTATTTTAATTAATTTGTATGGATGGAATAAAACCAAAGGGAAGGTGTCATTTTCTGGTTGCAATAAAAAGATATAAAAGTTAATTGCTTTTCTTTTCTTCCTTTTTTTTTTTTTTTTTGAGAGGCGTCTCGCTCTGTCGCCCAGGCTGGAGTGCAGTGGCACGATCTCGGCTCACTGCAAGCTCCACCTTCTGGGTTCACCCCATTCTCCTGCCTCAGCCTCCCGAGTAGCCGGGACTACAGGCGCCCGCCACCACGCCGGCTAATTTTTTGTATTTTTAGTAGAGACGGGGTTTCATCATGTTAGCCAGGATGGTCTCGATCTCCTGACCTCGTGATCCGCCCGCCTCGGCCTCCCAAGGTGCTGGGATTACAGGCGTGAGCCACCGCGCCCGGCAATTGCTTTTCTTTTCTAAGAAAATTTTGCTGACATCCTTGGTACATATTGCTATTCTTAAATGTTTGAGTTTACTAATCCTCAACAGTAAATATCTTTAAAAATGTATAACCTTGCTTAATATTAGTTACCTAAGAATGCCACAAGAAACTGGCATCTTTATAGTTACTTTATATTACAGAGTGTAATAAATTCTAGAAAGATGGGACTAATTATGGTAACAGACATTTTATACTCAATAAAAACTTTCCTTAATTTCACCCTTATGCAGGGAGTCTCAGTAGAGTACCTCTCTTTTGTGTCTTGGTTGGTATGGCATGGCACTAAGTGACATTAGATTAGCAACTGGGGAACAACTTTGTGAAACTGTTTATGGAAGTGAATTTTCAGAGTTCACGGTTGTGGGTTTTTTTCCTATCTCAGATCACCTAGCAACTTTAGATTCAGGCGGAAGTTGGAGTTTATTTTACAAAACATGAAAAAGCTTTTAAACCAACATTTTTGAGGTAAATCTGTAGCAAAAGTGAGGCCACCTGCTGTTAAGAAAAGTGCCTACACATTCATCACATTTCTGTCCCCAGTAGAGGGTACTGCTGAGTAAAACACTGCCATTGTTGTTCAGATCCTATAGGTGGCAGCAGTTCCTACAGTTTCAGAGCATAACAATGGCTCGATTTGTGGGTCTAAGAATAAAGCTGTCACGAACTCATGGAATCTTTATACTGTAAGGGCTCTTCTTTGAAATGTGATACATGAGAAAATTACCATTAATGTTTAGTTTCCCTTTTAAGATTTAAGTAGCTTATCTTTCTTTTAAGTTCCATTTTGTATTTGAAAGTGTGTCCCCAAACAAGTATTGACAGCCGTAATTTTATGGTGTTAAATTATGAAGTATAAATTTTTAGGTAATCTCAGGGAAAGATATGATGTAAACTTTTTTTTCTTTTCCTCTCCCACCCTAGCCTTCCACCCCAATTACAAGAATCATCCATTGTTAATGTTGACTGCTGCTGCAATCTTGAGAAGGAAGTCCTAGTTGCTATACAAGCATAATTTTCTCCATGTTCAGGAGCTGAGTGCTTAATGGTTTTAACATTGCCATTCAACTTTTAGGAGGCTTTGAACCAAATTGTAGCACCTATCAAAGAGTGATTTTATAACTCTCTTTAAGAAAAAAGATTTGAAACATACTGTAGTTTCTGTTAGGCGACACAGAACTGAGGATGTAAGTACTGTACTCTTAGAGCAACTCACCTTTTGCCACTCCCAAGCAGCAGAGTGCTTGTTACTTCAGTGGGTCACTTGCACACACATACACACACCCTCCACACATCCAGAATAAACTCCATATTAGGTATAACAATTGTAATTCATTCAGTTTTAACGGTCAAGTGAACATTAAAAAAATTTTCCCTGCTAATTATTGTGTTTAGTTCAGAGAGTTGCAAAATGCTAAATAAAACTAGTTTTTTGGTTCAAGTCAAAATAGAGTTAAGCCTATCTCTAGAAATGCCTATTCAGAAATTCAGCAACCCTTGTCTTATTGCTCAAATTAATTATCCAGAAACTGTATTATGATCGTTTACTCAAATTAATATGAAAATCTGAGAATTCTATCTTTGTTTTAAATTCAGGAAAGACTAGATTCTTTTTATTTATCATTTGAGATAACAAAGTAAACTAATGGCAATGTATGAGTATCTTAACGTATTTTGAAGGGAATAGGTTAAACTGTTACTCTTTTGGAGCTGATCTCTTTGTATCAATTAGGTACATTTGTAAACTCTATATTTTTGAACCATATTTTTGGAACTAATCTAAAGCTGTGAAATGAATACATTATTTCAAATTAAAACATACATATTTATATGTATTATACATATCATACATAGAGATGCATATATATATTTATTGAAGATAAAGGAAATGTAGGTTTTAGGGTTGTAGAACATTTGGATCATATAAATAGGAGATACATGCCTATACTTTCTATCATCCATATTATGTGTGTGTGTGTGTGTATGTATATATGAATACATTTATTCAATAGTATGTTCAGAATGATGTTTTTCATGAAGAATTATTAGTGTCACATATGATTCCATTTCCCATTTGGTGGATGTGAAAGGAAACAGAATTATATAAGCAAAAAAGTTTGCTGGGAACCTCACATGCTCTTAGTAATTATTTTGTGCATTGTCAGCTACTGAAAAAATTATTTGTTTTTAAAGGAACTACTAGGAGCAAAGTATAAATCAACTTATTTTTGAACACTTGTAATATTATATGTTCATATAAAATCTATTTTTGATGGCATAATGACAGTTTAATTATGTGCATTTTTTTGTCCTTGCTGTTGTTTTTAGCATATTTATAATAGCTAGCTGAATAGGAAAAAATCATCACTTAAGGCAAGGCTCTTCAGGTCATCTGTGAACATTCTGTCTATCCTTTCTTTAAAAATATTTTGAACACCAAGATATGACAAGATAAATTCCATTTTTATTTTTGCAATTCTCTTTCAGAAGCTTATGTTAAAATTAATTTCAGTTTATATTATTTTCTTATGTAACTTATGAACATGTAAGGATGATCACTTTGTTCTAATTTGTAAATTTTTACAAAGTATTTTAGTAAAATGATATATGTCCTTCAGTGAATTCATATTGCTATTCAACAAAACATTCCCTAATGATAAAGTTGATATTTATGTTTTGTAAGTAAAATCATTTCGATGAATGACAAAGCTTTTGATGAATCAGATACTATCAAAGCTTGGAGTTGTTTTCAGAAATTGAATGTATGCTGGTTTAAAAAATAAGCTAAAATATATTTTTAGGTATCATACATATGGGGAAAAAATGAGATATATAGTTAAGTTTGAACAGCTTAGACTCATTTAAACCCGGGTTTTAGAAATTTCAATTCCTTGTAATTAAAAATTCTGTTGATCTATTTAAAAATGAATATGTATTTAACTTTCCCATATTTAACAATAGTAAACTTTAATATTAGTAAAATATTACCTAAAAGATGTTCACAGAAACTGTTGACATGTTTGAAAGGATAGAATATAATTAACTCATGCATTTTGAGGGGAATTTTAGGGCTTAGAGAATTGCATAATAGACTGATAGGGAAAGACTTTCAGGAGAGGGAGCACAGTGACTGATATGCCTGAATTTGAGAAAGCAGCAGATACAATAAATGTCTGATTCTATGTAACAAGTAGTAAATGGAATTTTTCACTAATTGAATTTTTCTGTTTAACCTAGTGTCCATGTGTACGTATTGTACATATGACTAGTTTTGTAAGCATTAGAATATAATAAACTTAATCTTAAACATACACCCAAAACAATTACTTCCAAAAATTCTTCAGGAGGTCTATTGGAATCTTTAGTGTGAATGATTATCATTGTGAGCATCTATTGCTATTTTAGAGTCTTGCTTATGGGGAAAAATAATTTGATAATGATTGAGCTTTCTGATTACCTGGGTACTACATAAATAAGAGTGTTAACACTAATTTCTGTACATTTAGGTAAATATATTTACTTATAAACATTTAACGAAAATATTATTATTAAACATAGTTCTATTTTGAGTAAATAATTTAAAATGCTGGGACCGTTTTCTCTGAGTGGCCTTCTTCAGACTTCTGGACCCTAGAAATGGCCTTATACTTCACCCTAGGAGGGCCCTTTTTTTCACAGGCCTGAAACTCTGTAGAATCCATGTTGGATATTATTAATGAACATGTTTCTTTTTGTAGAGGGGAGAATGATGATTAGAAAGGTAAATTAGTATCATAAACACTCCAGATATTTCAGCATATGCGTGAAATTATTCTCTCTCTTCATGGAATCCATTGTCTTCATGTGCATCTAGTTTCGTGACCTACAAAAGAGGACTTCTGAGCCATGGGCATGTACAATCAGGTTCTGCTTAAAGTCAACATTTCTTATAAAGGCACCATCTGTATTACAAAGAATCATGATGCCAATGCTGTGGCTTTGAGTGCTGTCCAATGGAATCAACAAGTACATATAGCATGCATGTTGTGGGCAAGACATGTGCTTAGCACTATATAAAAATACACTAAAGGCTCCTACAACTGACATTTTCCCATTCAGGCCTGACTCTTCAGCCCTCTCTACTCTCTTACCTGAATAGATATGTCACCCTCAGTCAGTGTGGGGAGAATAAAGCTGAATGTGAAATTTAGCTGCCTTAACATTTAAAGTCAACTTTTCATTTAACTCATTTTTTTCTTCTGTGCTTTCAGAAAAACAATGATGAGATCAAAATTAGTTACTCATGAATTCAACCACAGTTATTAAACTTTACTATTTTTGAGGTATAGGGATCCAACAGTACCTGTTCTGAAGTTCATTTTAGTCTAATGGACTTTATTAGCCTTAAAGATGTTATCTAGTTAATGCAATATATTACACATAGGCAGTGTAATTGCTCTCCTCTGTTTAGAGAGTGTATATGAGTAGTCATAAATTCTTGATGGCATAACCCAAACTGGTATCCTAAATCCTTGACTTCTAATTTTAGACCATTGTACTTCTAAAGTTTGCTTGTAATTTGAGTATTAAGAAATTAAAGGACAAGAACATATGAAGGCCATCATGTAGCTCAAGGTCTAAGGGAAAATAATGCTGTTTCAGTTCTCAATATAAAACAAAAATAATTATATGAGTAATTATTCATTTTGAAAACTGATCTTCAAGTAAAACTGGGCTTAATCAAAAAAGGAGTAAGCCCTGAAGACCTTTTGCATTGTAAAATTCTAGCAAAGTTGTGATTCCCGTTGATTTTAAAGAGTGATAGGAGTGGAGCTTCTGAATATCCCCTGAGATTTTAGAAGTATATGATACTGGCAGTTGTCACAAAAATATATTTCTAGAGAAGTCTGAATAATTGACTCTTTAAAAATTATGTTTTCTTGCAAAATCTCTAAGGAACTGAAGAAGTTTCTAAGAATCACAGGCATGCTCTTAAAGCATTACCATGAGCCTTTACTCTGAAATACCTCATAGTGGTACCTCATACCTTCTTTGCAGAAATGAGTGCCTAAGTCCTAATGGGGAGAAATGTACTCCAAAATGATCTGAAGCCATTGGCAGGGAGACAGAAGAGATACTATTAGCAGAGCAGAAACAAAAATAGGTGGATAGAGCCAATGGGTTTTTTTTTTTTGGTAGAAACTGACAAACGATTTTAACGTTTATATGAAAATGTAAAGAACCAATAATAGTCAAAATCATCTGGAAGAAAAGGAAGAAAGTTGGAAGATTTACACTACCAGATATCAAGGCTTGTTATAAAGCTACAGTAATTAAGATAGCGTGGTATTGGTGTAAGGATTGATGAAAGTCAAATAAAATGATAAGGAGTCCAAAAATATACCCACATATATGTGGAAACTTGATTTTATAACATAGGTAGCACTGCAAAACAATGAAGATGGATGGTATTTTTAATAAAATATTCTGATTCAACTGGATAACCTCATGAAAAAAAATCATGGTCCTCTACCTCATACCATATACAAATATCAATTTCAGATTTCTATTTAGACTATAAGTCTAAATATAGAGGGTAAAGCAGTAAAGCTTCTAACATTAATGCATAAGAATATCTTCATGACCCTGAGTTAGGTAAGGATATCTTAAATAGGACAAAAAAAAAAAAACCATACAGAAAAGATTGATAAATTGGTCTATGTTATAATTAGGAATTTCTGTTATTGAAGGACACTATTTAGAAAGTAGAAATGTAAGTTACAGAGTAGGAGGCGGTATTTGAAATGCATATAACTAAGGACTTATTTTCAGAATATATAACAAATTCTTACAAATCAACAGGAAAAAAAAGAACCTAATTTCACAAATGTGAAAAACATGAACAGGCACTTCACGAACAGTATATCCAAATGGCCGATAAACAGAAAAAGATACTAAACCGAAATAGTCACCAGGTAAATACAAATTGAAACCAAAATAAGATACCAACATATTTCCAACAGAATGGTGAAAACTAAGACTGGCAAAACCAAGTATTGATAATAACGTTGAGCAATTGAAACTCATATACACTACTAATGGAAAAACCATTTTGGAAAACTGCTTGACAGTGTCTGTTAAAGCTGAAAGTATATGCATCCTGTTTCCTGGCAATTTCGTTCTCTGGTATAGTAGACCCTACAAAAATGTGTGCACCAAAAGACGTATGCAAGAATGTTCATAGTATTTTTTAATAGCTGAACACTGGAAATAACTCAAATGCCCATCAACATTAGAAAAGACAAATAAATTGTGGTTTATTCATATAATGGAATATTTTTAAAGCAAAGAAAATGAATCAACTATTTCCACACACAATATGCTGTACAAATCTCACAAACATAATGTTGAGCAAAAGATGACAGACTCAAAATAATACATACAGTCATGCATCACTTAACAATGGCGATACGTTCTGAGAAATGTGTCCTTAGGCAATTTTGTTGTGCGAACATCATAGAGTGTACTTACACAAACCTAGATGGTATAGCCTGCTGCACACATAGGCTATGTGGTATAGCCTGCCGCTCTGAGGCTACAAACCTCTCCAGCATGTTACTGTACTGGATACTGTGGGCAACTGTAACACAATGGTAAGTATTTATGTATCTAAACATAGGAAGGGTACAATAAAAAACTGATATTATAATCTGAAGGGACCAACATATATGTGGTCCTTCTCTTACCAAAACATCCTTATGCAACAGATGACTATACTATATGATTCCATTTGTATAAAGTCCAAAGGATGGCAAAACCAATCTGTGGTGTTAGAAATCAGGATAATGCTTACCTCTGGGGAAGAGAGAAAGGGAACAAGGGAAGCTTCAGGAGTGCTACTAATATTCCATTTCTTAAACTGGGTGATGATTATGTGGGTGTGTTCACTTTTTTTATTTTTATTTTTTGAGATGGAGTCTCACTCTGTCGCCCAGGCTTGAGTGCAGTGGTGCGGTCTCAGCCCACTGCAACCTCTGTCCCCTGGGTTCAAGCAATTCTCATGCCTCAGCCTCCTGAGTAGCTGGGATTACAGGCCCGTGCCACCACGCCTGGCTAATCTTTGTATTTTTTTAGTAGAGACGGAGTTTCACCATGTTGGCCAGGCTGGCCTTGAACTCCTGGCCTCAAGTGATCCACCCACCTTGGCCTCCCAAAGTGCTGGGATTACAGGTGTGAGCCACCGTCTCTGACCTGGGTGTGTTCACTCTGTGATAATTCTTTCAGCCATGATCTTATTTTTTTACTTTTCTGTATGTACATTGTACTTCAGTAAACAAGTTTAATAAAAAAGAGAGGTAACAGAAGTTGTGTTTTGTTTGTTGTTTGTTTGTTTGTTTTTTAGCTTTTCCAATACAGAGCAGAGGAAAAGCAGTCTGGAATGTGGATAAGAAGCTCTGGAAGCTTTTTCTGATTTGAAAGAGGTGGTTCACGAGATAAATATTTTTAACTTAGGCACAAACTCATAGTGTGTACTGATGTTGGTCATAGAATGCCTCAATGTTGCAAGGTTCTTCGGGCTGTGGTTCTTTACCTACACAGGATAGTGTTTATGAACCTGAATGTTGTTAAAGGAACTTTAGTCAGAGAGCTGAAAGCCATTGAGCATATATGTTGCTCAGCACAGATACCGCTTCTTCCAGAAAGCCTTCCCAGGCCCATCAGTTTGGGCCAAATGCTTTCCTTCTATGTTCCCACAAATCCTTGGTGTACCCCCCAAGAAACCGTAAGCTTCCTGAGTGAAGTTGTCTGTGTTGTCTGTCCTGAGAGACATTGTCTGTGTTGTTTATAATTTAGATTCCAGTGCCTAACATTGTGCCCAGTACTGAATAAAATAAGTACATGAATGAATGTTTGTAAGTCAGTCGTTCATAACATGAAATATGCTTAACTATGTGTTTCACTATTTTATAGATAGATTTGATCATTTTGGAACATGTAATTCTTATCAGCACTGAATATTAGGATGAGGAATTTGGGACCCTTTTGTAGGCACTAGCCTTTTGTTACTGTAGTTAAATTTTACGATAAACTAAAACTTGAGGATAAGTGGTCAAAATAAAAAAAAGTTTATGTTAAAGTAGAAACTTAAAAAGGCCTGGTATTCACTGTTAGAACAAACTACTTTTCTCAGAGTAACATTGTGCTCATCTTTAAGTTACTTTATAAAAATGTGAAATCAGCTTTTTTTTTTCTGATAACATAGAGCTTAGTGATATTTTGAAGTTGCTCTTAAATCATCTACAGCTTAAAAAGAACTTTCTAGCAAAGTCATTATAGGTAATGATTTCTCAAATGTTTTGAGTTTTTAGTATTTGTTTATTATATAAAGTTGAAATATGTACTATCATGATAATTATAATCAAATAGAGAGGTCAGACTTGAATTTTATATTTCTACCACTGACATGCTTTCTGTCAAATTAACAGGTTTTTTTTAAATAAAGTTTTGACATTGGATTCATAAGGACTGATGTCTGTATCATACTACAAATATAAACTGTTTAATTTAATGACAATGCCTAAACCAGGTAACCGGAGTGAAGACAAATGAAATTCTTCCTTTTGTACTGGTCATTGTGTGAAGGCAATCATAGACACAACCTGTGTCCTGGGATGAGATATGTGAAATGGATGCAAGTCCTCAAATGTTATCATTTTATGCATTCAAATGGATAGTCAGAAGACCCATAAGGCCCCTAATTTAGAAATTCCCACAGTTCTCAATAAAGTGGCTTTCCACTAGTTTGAGTTGTCACCTTTTCCAAAGACTTGACACCACATCTTCCTCAATGAAGTAATTCTGCTTCAAGCAGGTAGATTTTCATATTCATGGCCTACAGGCCAGATTTCAAATGCTCTTTAGTATTTTCTTTATGTCATAGCACACTTGGCTTTTGGGTAGTTTCTGCCTCATTTTCATACTAGCTTTGTAAAGATTTCTGTAGTATGTAAGAGAACTCTAAAATTGAGGCTTATGTAATTAAATGAGATATAGTTTAGACTTATGAAAGAACGGCATGAAGTATGTGTCTCATACCAATATCAATGACATTAAAGTCTCCATATGTATCAAGTTATCTATCTTTAGGGATATGAAATGTGTAAGTTTGCCAGTATATAATTCAGTAATATTTGAGTGTGTTGGCCGGGCGCGGTGGCTCACACCTGTAATCCCAGCCTTTTGGGAGGCCAAGGCGGGTGGATCACCTGAGGTCAGGAGTTCGAGACACCAGCCTGACCAACATGGTGAAACCCCATCTCTACTAAAAATACAAAAAAAATTAGCTGAGTGTGGTGGCGCATGCCTGTAATCCCAGCTATTTGGGAGGCTGAGGCAGGAGAATCGCTTGAACCCAGGAGGCAGAGGTTGTGGTAAGCCAAGATTGTGCCATTGCACTCCAGCCTGAGTAACAAGAGCAAAACTCTGTCTTTTAAAAAAAATTTGAGTATGTTATTAATAACTTATTTGTATACAGAAATTAGCCAGGCATGGTGGTGTGCACCTGTGATCCCAGCTACACAGGAGGCTGAGGTGGGAGGATCACTTGAGCCCAGGAAGTGAAGGTTGCAGTGAGCCATGATTGCTCCACTGCACTCCAGCCTGGGTGACAAGCGAGATCCTCTCTCAAATCAAACAAAAAAAAAACTCACCCCAAAAAACCCAAACTTATTTGTAAAGTGATGTTCAGTTGCATTGTTATGAAATATGGAGTCATACTTTTTTTAAGCACAAGGATACTTATTAAAAATTAGAAAAGCCTTAGGGTATTTGTGTGTGTGTGTGTGTGTGTGTGTGTGTGTGTGTTTTAAGAAATGGAGTCCCTTTCCATTGCCCAGACTGGAGTACAGTGGCACAGTCATAGCTCACTGCAGCCTTGAACTCGTGGGCTCAAGGGATCCTCCTGTCCCCCCGTCCTGAGGAGCTGGGACTGCAGGTATATACCACTATGCCTGGCTAAGTTTTAAACATTGTTTTAGAAATGGAGTCTAGCCATGTTGTCCAGGCTGGTTTCAAACTTCTGGTCTCAGGCAATCCTCCTCCTGCCTCAGCCTCCCAAAGTTCTGGGATTACAGGCATGACCCACCAACGCTGGACTTTTAATTTTTGACGTTTTTAAAATTCTTCCTCTAGTCTAATGGTTTTCATATTTATTTGTTCATGGAATACTATTTTTTTTTTTTTTTTTTTTGAGATGGAGTCTTGCTCTGTCGCCCAGGCTGGAGTGCAATGGCGCAATCTTGGCTCACTGCAATCTCTGCCTCCCAGGTTCAAGCAATTCTCCTGCCTAAGCCTCTTGAGTATTTGGGATTACAGGCACCCGCCAGCATGCCCAGCTAATTTTTGTATTTTTAGTAAAGACGGGGTTTCACCATGTTGGTCAGGCTGGTCTCGAACTCCTGAACTCAGATGATCCACCTGCCTTGGCCTCCCAAAGTGCCGGGATTACATGTGTGAGCCACTGCGCCTGGCCGGAATACTTTTTATATTCTGATGTCGTGGAAGAACTCCAAAATGAAGTAATGAGGTATAATAGTATATTGCAATACTTGGATTACAATTGACAGGAAAATAAAACCTTGCAAACTAATTGCCGTGAGAAGTAGCAATTGTGATTCTTATGCTTTGAAAACTTTAACAGAATGGAAAAAATAATGGTAACATATTAGAAAAATTGGATTATTGTAAAAAGAACAAGAAAAACCTAATTTAAAATGAAATTAAAAAAACACTTTCAATGAGAACAGTGTTTTTATGTCTTATCCATACCCATCTAATATAAGGAGAACTACTTATTGGGTTCCATGTTCACTATTTGGGTGAAAGGTTCACTTGAAGCCCAAACCTCAGTATTATGCAATATACCCATGTAATAAACCTGCACATGTACTTGCTGAATCTAATGTATATATTAGATTAATACACACACACGCACACTCACACACACACACAAATATATGGGCAATGTTTCACTGTTGGATCTGCATACCAGATGCAACATCCAGTTATAGTATTATATATATTTTTAATGCAGACAGATGCAAAAATCCTTTTCCACACAGATATGTTAGAAATAAAAGGAAAAATATATAGACTTTTACAATAGTTAGGTACTCTTGAATCAGACCATTCCAAAGTGTTTAATTATATAATTTTCAATAATAGCTCATTTGTCATCTTTCTTTTTCTTGTCTTTTTCTTTCTTTCTTTCTTTCTTTTTGAGATGGAGTTTTGCTCTCGTTGCCCAGACTGGAGTGCAATGGCGCGATCTTGGCTCACCACAACCTCCGCCTCCCGGGTTCAAGTGATTCTCCTGCCTCAGCCTCCTGAGTAGCTGGGATTACAGGCATGCGCCACCACACTCGGCTAATTTTGTATTTTTAGTAGAGATGGGGTTTCACCATGTTGGTCAGGCTGGTCTCGAACTCCCGACCTCAGGTGATCCACCTGCCTCGGCCTCCCAAAGTGCTGGGATTACAGGCATGAGCCACTGCACCCAGCCTTATCGTTTTTCTAGAAACTAAAATCTCCACATATTTATCTTCATTTTGAAGTATTCTGGATTTCAAGTACTCATGTACTTGAAAGTTATATGTATTATAACTTATGTTGTGAGAGCAGTATTTTACTAGATGAACAGTATGTATTTCTCTCCATTCCAGCCTAATAATTCAATAAGATCTAAATTCAGCTTTACTATTTTCTTTATAAAGTGCTTAAAATTGAACAAACAGGAGGAGAAAAAGGAAGAGAAGAAAACAGCAATGAAGTCATTTAGGAATGATAAGCAAATGTGGCCAGGTGAGGTGGCTCACACCTGTAATTACAACACTTTGGGAGTCCGAGGTGGGTGAATCAGTTGAGCTCAAGAATTTGACACCAGCTTGGGCAAAATGATGAAACCTTGTCTCTACAAAAAATACAAAAAAAATTAGCTGGGCATGGTGGCATGCCTGTAGTCTCAGCTACTTGGGAGGCGGAGGTGGGAGGATGGCTCAAGCCCAGGAGACAGAGGTTGCAGTGAGCTGAGAGCACGCCACTGCACTCCAGCCTGAGCAGTAGAGCCAGACCTTGTCTCAAAAAAAAAAAAAAAAAAAAGGTAAATGCAGAGTATTCCAGAGATTGTGACAAACTCTTAGCTATTTCTATGTTTTTGAGATTTCCAGCAAGGTTGTGCCAATGGCTGGAGGGGATAGAAGAGGTGGTCCATTCTAGGGCAATGAAGTGAGTTAGATAATTTTTCAAAAAAAATAATAAAATTGAAAGTTGTTCTGCTTTTAATTATCATATGTGCCTAAAATTTTTTTAAATGCCAGTGGTAAAATACCTCTCCCTATCCTTATTCATGTAGACCACTCCTACCATGCCGTACCTTTTGGTACACCATTGGCTTCCAGGATATTTAAAAACTGAAGAAAATACCGAAAACAGGGTTACAAAAATTTTGGAATATTTTAAATGTGTTAATTTAATAAAGTAACTCTTTGTACAAAGGCAATTTAATTGAGCTATTCATAGGATAGTTGTATAATATAGAAATATGTAACTTACACTGCACTATGATAAATGCCTGACTTTCGGCCCTGTCAGGTTATCACTTGTGACTATACATCTGACCTTTTTTTGATTTTCTTTATGGCTATGAGGGCAGACCATACACTTTTCTTGTTGCTGTTCTTTTACCTATTGCACCCCCTTAACCAGAATGGGCCCTTTTTAATTGGTAACTAATTGCCTTAAAGGTATGTTGAGAATATAGCATTCTTTGAAGGTATCAACAAATTTATAAGAAAAGTTTGTAGAGCATGAAATTCAGGAAATGTTTTCTTTCTTTCTTTTTTAATCAATTAAGTAATTAGATTTAGTTCTACTAATATTACTGATTTACCTTAAATCGTGAATCCAGCTGATGAACTTTTTGAAATGTGAAGCACTGGTTAGGAATTTGAGAACTGCAGATGTGAGACTCATCTAGATCTTAGTTATGATTTTATTGTTCACTTCATTTGAAGGACAGAGAAAAAAAGGCAGGGGTTGAACATAAATCTCAGAGACTGTATGAGGATTAATGAAATTATGTCCCTTATAAAACATTTGAGTTTTTTTTTTGGTAGAATGCCAGTATGTGAGAATAAAGGAGGATATTCACCAGTGTCTTCTAACATTTAAAATGTTAGGAGAAGCAGATCATATTTGAAAATGAAATTTAGTCTGTGGTTAATAGTTTATTTCCTCTTAAAATTGTTATCAACTTCCATAAATGTAAATTATATATTTTTATTTTCATATTTTTTGATAGTCAATACTTGTTTCCAACATGGACAATATTAAACTGTAAAGTTTCTGAAGTACTCCAGGTTTCTCAAATACTCTTATTTCCAGGTAAGAATAAAAAATGTAAAAAATATTTTAAAAGTTAAAAAAATAATATTGCAAGTAAGCAATGTAGGTAAGGTGTTTTGCATCTGAGAGTGCGTTTGCCCAACTTAACTAATAGGGCAAAAGCACTATTGTGATGACATCTTTGACGAATCTTTCTTGGACCCAATATCACCGATGATGTTGGTTTGTGGGTTGGGCCTTCTTCACTGCTTGGTTTATCTTTGGTGTCAATCAGTGGTAATGATACAATCCATGACAAAATATTTTTTGTTGAATATTTATCATCACTCAAAATAGGACACAGTTCTTTCTAAAGATAAAGGCTTTCTCCTAAGGCATTTGTTCCTACTTTAAGGATTTACTGTAGCAGAATATGCTTCTTGGATTTTATTTATTAGAGCTAAGTTATCTGATCTTTGGGGGACATATTGTATCTTTTTTTTTTTTTTCTTTTTTTGAGACACAGTCTTGCCCTGTCGCCCAGGCTAGAGTGCAATGGCATGATCTTAGCTCACTGCAACCTCCACCTCCTGGGTTCAAGCGATTCTCCTGCCTCAGCCTCCTGAGTAGCTGGGATTACAGGCATGTACCACCATGCCCAGCTAATTTTTGTAATTTTTTTAGCAGAGACGGGGTTTCACCATGCTGGCCAGGCTGGTCTCGAGCTCCTGACCTCGTGATCCACCCACCTCAGGCTTCCAAAGTGCTGGGATTACAGGCATGAGCCACTGCACCTGGCCTTAATATTTTGCTCTATTAAGCACTGGTCAACAGGAAAAAAACATGAATTTACTTTGAATCCTAAAAAAGTTATGACTTTAGAACTAAAGTCACCTGTGCCAGGTACCTGAGGCCTCAGAAACAAATATCTGCCTATATACTGTATATTTGAAAACAAAGTAGCAAAACTTTTTGTTTTTAAGTTTTAGTTCTGGACTTCTACTCCTGCAGCCCGTTAGAAATCATTCTGTCTTTCTCTGTCTCTCTCAAGTCTAAACAACCCCAGAGGATGTACTGTTGTTTTTATTTGTTTTATAAAGTGCTAATCAAACTATTGATGGTTTAAAAAATTATTTGATAATAATGATTTTGCTTTTTGTTTTTATTCTTCTTCATGAGATGTGTTTTTCCCAGGGCAAGTTGATAAAGACATTTTTGACCACCTGATTTTTGCCTGTTGCCATTGACTTTTCCTTTTTGAAGTGTGACTAAACTTTGAGAGCTCCTTCTTTGGTAATTTATAGAAGAAAAAGCCTTGGAAAAAATATTTGTACTTGATTTTAAGGGGTAACAAAATTTCTTTGTTGTTTGTTTTTTGGAATTGTGTTAAAGAAAATTACGAAATTGTAATGACTAAGTGCATATTTTTGAAGGGTTTTACTTTGTTTATTTCCTTCATCAAAAAAATAAGCAAACCAGTAACTGTTAACCCTAATTTATTTTTACTCTTCAAGTGACATTACTTTTAACTGGCTACATTTGGATAATAAAAGCCATGGATTTTAAACCACTTAGTAATTTGGTTTCATTTTTAACACAAATAACACCTTTTCATCCATTTTATATAAACTTCAAACAACATA
The DNA here is from genome assembly GCF_000001405.40 of Homo sapiens. Classification (NCBI taxonomy): domain Eukaryota; kingdom Metazoa; phylum Chordata; class Mammalia; order Primates; family Hominidae; genus Homo; species Homo sapiens. The sequence continues at coordinate 44,494,038 of NC_000002.12, forward strand.
TGTTTTAACTTACTGCCAAATAAGAAGAAATGTGTTACATTAAAGTGCATGTTGTTTGCCTGTGCATTTGGAAATACCATTCATTTTATAGCAATTTTGAGTTATTTTTCTGTCACTTTGTATTCCTATTCAAAGAGACATACAGAAACCCTCGCTCAAAACAACTCCCTTAGGGTTTACTCTTGGATGTCAGTAGACATGAACGGGAGGTACTGTATACAACAAGCTTAGGTGATGGAAATGTCAACTCTTGTTGACTTGCATTTATTATTATCCTTTGAATTGTGTCCTCTTGAGATTTTGTGAGTGGTATTTTAATATATTTCTTTTATGTTTGAGGTGGGCAAAAGAGAGAGACCACCTCACTTTTTTTCCCCCCTCTTCCCTCTGTTTACGTACAAAAATGAGATACTCTCATTCTCTAGAATTTGATCCAAATTTTAAAACTGTTGCTAAGGGATAATGGTCATGCAGAATGTGAAATGTTAATAACATAAAACACTAGGACATAAAAATGGAAACATTTTCAGTGCTAACATGCAATTCAAAGTGTTGGATTGTTTTTAAATTAATGAGAAAGTATTTTTAAAGCCCTTTTTCTTTAGGATCTTAAATTGTACCAAGAGAACATGGATTCTTTTAAAGAACACAGGTTAGAGTTAGTTAAAACCTACCAATTAGTATAGGAAAGAGAGACTCCATTATGACAGATAAGGTTTAGATAGAATTATTATTAGTAAATTAGAAAATTTAAAAACATCCCCAGGAAGCTTTCTCTGACCTCTCACCTCCTGCCCTTGTTGGGTTAGGTGCCTGCCACTCTGTGAAGCTCAAGTAATCAGAGCACTGTGCTTAGCACATCCTCACTAGTCTGTGAGCTCTTTCAAGGCAGGTACTGTATCTTATTTGGCTTAGTTTTTTCATCCATCTCACACAGTAGTTGCTCAGGAAGTATCTGTTGAATGAACGTGAGATGTAGAGTGATGATGGATAGACCCTAATTATGTCCACATCCATGTAATAAAATAAGCAGTATATTTAGGTTTGAGAATAATCTCACTACTTTTTTAAAGAAATAAATGCCTCTGCAATCTTTCTAAAAATAATTGATTTTTATTTTTAGCCAGGTTCTTGCTCTGTCACCCAGGCTAGAATGGTAGTAGTGTGATCATAGGTCACTGCAGCCTTGAACTCCTAAGCTTAAGCAATCCTCCTGCCTACGCCTCCTGAGTAGCCTGGACTACAGGTGCATGCCACCTGCCCAGCTAATTTTTTAAATTTTTTTGGTAGCGGTCAGGATCTTGCTATGGTGCCCAGGCTGGTCTTGAACTCCTGGCCTCAAGCAATCCTCCTGCCTTGGTCTACCAAAGTGCTGGAATTAAAGATGTGAGCCACCGTGCACAGCCAAGAATTGATATTTATTTTGAGGACTGACTAGAAGTTTTAAAATTAAAAAGAAAATTCATTGCAGTTTTGTAATATGTGAAAAAAATCATGAAAATATATTGTTAAAAATGTCATCACAATTCTGGTAATCTAACTTTGGGTTTCTAAAAGCTTTTGTAGTGTTAATGTTAATACTGCCCTTTATTGTAGGCCAAGGATGTCAATTGGAAGCAATTCTTACTACTGGTTGTTGGCAAGTTGCATGAGCAAGGCAGATTTGGACCCAGCCTGAAATCTCTAGTCAGCTCCATTCTTTAGCAGCTGTCACAGTGTAGTTCCAGCAGTGGTGTGTACCTTTCTTGTTCCACATTATGAGCCCACAAAGAAAGCCACCAGTGAACAGGACCAGCTAAAAGTTTTATTCTCCTTCTATTGGGTTGCTTTTGAGTAGATCCAATTTCATTTTTATTAGTGATTCAGTTTCTTCCACGTATAATCACATGTCTTTGGCAGAATCTCTTACTTTCTTATGAATACCTAGTAACTCAAAGTAAAGAACAGTGAATAATCCTTAAATACAGAGTATTTAGTTTTTTTCCCTCCTGCATTCAGAGTAAGGCCATGGTTGCACTAGGCCATACCCAAGTTAATAATTTGTAAAATGCCAAAGCATTTGAAGCTTTTCAGATTTCTATTGTAAAAGTCCTCAGTACAATTTTACACTGTCCTTTATATTGACCAATCTAAAGATTTGACTATTAATTTAACCAGCATTATTGTACTTTTCCTCTGGAATAAATCAGGGCTTTTTAAATGAATTGATCCCTTACTGTCTTATAACAATAAAGCATATTCAGCGTCATATTTTTCCGATACTATTGCACAATATTGTCAATACTTGAATAGAAGAACAGCTGTTGTCTAGGGAGTGAAGGTTAAAGGTAAACACTCCCTACTGATTCAAAGAAACACGGGCACCCTATTTATTATGTATTTGTAAGTAGAGCTCTGCAGAGTATTGCCACATTTAATGTATATTTCATAGAGTAACAAAAGCATTTTCCACTTTTGACTAATACAGTTTTTAGAGCCCATCCTTGTAGGTGACTTGTACGTATGCCTTACAGGCACACAATAAATATTAGCTGATGATGAGAGATGAATATCCTTGCTTTTCACTTCTGAACATGAGATAACCAAGCCTTTTAGGTAGAGTTAATTAATATCTGGTGGTCTTCTACGTTCCTAAGGGAATATGACTTTGAATTCTCTCTCTTCATCATAGATAAATGTGTAGTCACAAATGTGGTGTTCCAGTTTTGGGCTTGGGAAATGAAGTTTAAATGAATAATGGTAATCCATGGTAATAGAAATGCTTAGTTCTACTGGGTATTTAAGTCTAATATGTAGGCATCTGGGGACTCTGATACACTGATTTACTTGTAGGTAAAAACGTTTAGAGCTGCTGGCAGTGTTTTTTGTTGGGATCATTTGTTGCATTTTTAGTGTAACAGTGGACTTAGAAGTTAAATGTCAACCTTTGGCCGAAATAATCTGCTAGTCAAAGACCTTGGACATTTAGGGGTTTTTAAATTGGAAGTGGAAGGGTATCCTCATTTATTATTCATAGCTACAGTATGTTAGTTATTATTCTTTTGTTAAAAATGTGACAAAATTAAAGGCAAATGTAGTTTTAAAGGCTCCAGAGTAAATTAGAAAACTGATTTCGTACATCTGCAAAAATTTTATTAGCTGATTATTTTACCTCAATTAATATTGGGAATGTTGACAGATAACTACACATCGCTGTTTCACAAGAAATATTTTGTGTATGTTTATTCTTTATGATCAGAAAAATAAATAGTGTAGATTGGACAGTGTTCATTTTTCATAAATGGAAAAGAACATTGTTCTTTTACTAGCCAGAGTTGGAAGAAAGTACTTGGGATAAGAAATAAAAATGAATGTGTACATTTCAGTATGTGTAGTGGAATGGATTCAGGAAATTCATTCTTTCATATTAATTTTTCTAAACATTTTTTATGTAGGGATAACAGATAAGAGAGAGTAAAAAAAATCCCATTTAGTAAAAAAACAAACATATTTGTATAGATGTAGTAAAGATACACCTGAAAGTTACATACCAAATTATTAACTGTTCTTTTGGGGGAATAAACCTCTAACCAGGGACCTTTTCTTTTTAAGAATTTTTATACCTCCATATTATTTGATTTTATTTTGAGGAGCATGTATTATACCTGTAATTTAAAAAAATTAAGCAGGCAAAGAGAGAGAGAGAGAGAGAGAGAGAGAGAGAGAGGGATAGTATATGAAGGGCTATAGGCAGCCCCAGAAGAGCAAGAAAGGCAAAGACCAAGCAGGCATCAGAGCTGGATCCTGACATAGCAAGCAATTCAGACACCTGCCGGGCATCGGGGCAGGGTGAAGTCTTCTTACCAGAAGAGAAATCTGGAGCAGGGAAGTTGGGGGACCTGTGTGGGGTAGGGAGTAGGTTTGTAAATTGGAATGTTGTGGTAGAGTAAGACTGGAAAGGTTAGGTCATTCATTATGGAGATAGTCTGAAATAAAGACATCAGGGATCATGGAGTGTAGTTAGGATATAAGCATTTTGTACAAGAGTTTGATGCTTGTTTCCTTTATATTTTTACCCTGTGGAGCCCTTGGGAGTTCAAGTATGTGTCTATTGAGAGAGATCCATCATAGCACCTTTATTTATTTATTATTACTATTTATTAGAAAATGAGCAATGCTTAACCTCTCTAGATAGCTTTAATACAGTGACATGACTTCATGTTGTGGAGTTGGACAGGTTATATGAACATGCAGAAATGTAGCTATTCAGTTTCTCAGTTTTGGTGATGACCCATGTCAAATAATTTTTAAATTGTCTAATATGAGATTAGGCTCTTACACTGAGAAATTAAAGTAAAACAAGCTATTTATTAACAGAGTAGGTGGACTAATCCTTTGCTAGAGTAAATATGAGGAGCTACATCAACACACATATACATTCTCTACGTAAGGTTAAGATGTATGTAGCTAAATATATTCATTAGTATTACTTAGGAGATGCTCTTTCTTTTGTCATGTTTCTTTGGCAAAAGCTAGCAGTTCTGTTAGCAGTGGTTTTGATGATAAAATCCTGTAATTCAAGAGGTTGGCTTATTCAACTAAACAACTGCTACCTTGGGCAATACTGGACCAACTGCGAGGGGACTGTTTTCTTGAGACCTGGAAAGCTGTTCTGTTTGCTAAACAAAGGAATTGTTGATTTCAGTGATTTAATTCCCCTTTTGGCTAAAGGCTGCTGAATGAAAACAGTGCTTGTTTGGGAAGGAATCTGTTGCTAAGGCAACTGATATCTCCTTAATTATTGGCCAATATTCCCAAATGAGATTGGTCTCTTTTGACTGTTGGAAATAACCAAATTATCCTGAGCACTTTCAAGTCTTGAATTTTGTGGTAATGGCGGGGGTTGGGGGAGGGATTTCTCTCAAGTATATAAACAGATATCTCCCATTTGGGTTGGCATAGTGTGAGCACTGTGTTTATGAGGGTAAAAATATAGATGATATTTGCAAAACCTCTTTTATTGTAAGAGATCTTATTACTTAAGACGAGTTGCAATTCTGAGATGAGTGACCTATGTTTAATCTTTTTTTAAAAAATGAATTATTTGATTTCTGTAAGAAAATAGAATACATCTAATCATTTATCCTCAAGAATAGGCAGATATATGGAGAAACTTGTAAGTATTATTTGAATGATGCTAACAAGGACTGTCTTCAGAAGCGTCTGCAGCCATTTATGTGAGGTTCTTTACTTGAATGTTTCTAGCACTGCATATGCTGACCTTGGAGAGTGACCTCTTTTCTGTCTATTACTTTGTAGGATCATGTAAAAGACCTGTGGTTTCTTGTCTCTTGGCAGTACAGTTGTTTGATCATTTAAAATTAATTGAAGCTTTGAATATAGTCAGGCTCAAGTTCTAGTGTATTCATATCATACTTTGTAATTGCTCTCTAGTGTGAAGGACATACTAAAACATCAGTACAGTTCTTACAAAATGGGAATTTGTCTTTATAATTTTATTGTATGTCTTTTAAATTCTTATAGTGAATCATAGAGATCACACATTATTATCTTATATCCTTACAACAAAACGGGAATTCACTGTTCTTTGGTACTTGTCCTGTGACAAGCCTGGTGAGTATTGATGAAATTCTTCTAATATTACTTGGGGTATCCCAGATCTTCCAGTTGAGTGAACATGAGGTTCTGAAGTGTGACTGTTTATGATTTCTGTGTTGTAGAACCATGAAAATTTTGTAGGAGTCTCACATGAAAGGCTTTTGGCACAATAGCACTGAGTAAAATCTGTTTTGTGATACTTCTGAATGGTTATAGTTCTTACTTAGGAGTAGTCTTTCCATGTTTCATTCATAGAGATGACATTGGGTTTATACCTTGGGTTGAATTGAATATAAAAAGCTTTGTGTACTATGTATTGGAAGAATACTTGAGTTGGATTTCATGTACATATTTATTATCTATCCTAGATTTATGAAATTTCACTCTTCATTTTAAATAGCTTCAAGAAGTAAATACAAGATTCACTTGATGAAAATATTAAAATACATGAAAAGGACAATATCCTGCGAAACTGTTGACTAAAATATAAGCACAGAACCACAGAATATAAGTTCAAAGCTGTCCCTACATGTCTCTAGAGTATCATTAATCTAGTTCTCACTAGGGTTTTAGAGTATCTAAGTAGGTTTTACACTATCTACTGAAGTTCTTCCATATCAGACTATAAATATAAGCATACAGTTAAATCTGTGATACATTTTGAATTAGCCTCCCTTTTTAGGACTCTTTTGAGCTTGTCTTATTTAAAATATGTTGAAGTATGAACTATCAGACTTCAAAAACATTGTTCTTTGAAAAACATTTTTGTGCTGTATTTTTAAATTCCTTGATATTTATAATTATTTAAAAGATTTTTGTTGTAGTCATCTAGTTTATAAGATTAATTTTTTCCTGGATTATTGTAGGAAAAAAACAAGTTTTTAAATAAGATAATGTAAAGAGAATTTATATATTTATGTTGATTAGATCATAAAAATTTGACCCAAGTTATTATATATGTTAAATTCTATGAATTTATTACTTTGTTTTGTCACATATTAGTTGACTCAATTTTCCAACATTTCCAGCATTTTGCCCTTTTCTCAGATACTTTTTTTTTTTTTTTTCTGGAGTCTTGCTCTGTTGCCCAGGCTGGAGTGCAGTGGCACAATCTCAGCTCACTGTAACCTTTGCCTCCTGGATTCAAACGATTCTCCTGCCTCAGCCTCCTGAGTAGCTGGGATTATAGGCACGCACCATCACACCCAGCTAATTTTTGTATTTTTAGTAGAGATGGGGTTTCACCATGTTGACCAGACTGGTCTTGAACTCCTGACCTCAAATGATCCTCCCACTTTGGCCTCCCAAATTGCTGTGATTACAGGCATGAGTCATCATGCCCAGCCTCAGATTAGTTGAAGATCAAAGATATAGAGAGAATATTTTGTTAGCAATTTCTTAGCTTTTTTTTTAACCTTATATATTTTGGTTTTTTTTTTTCCTGGAGACTTGTACTTAGTACTAACTTCAGTTTGCATAATATATATTTATATATTCAATGTGAATATTTTATATACATACCTATGACAAATCTTAATTTTTATATACAAATATATGGCAGTGTTCTTTTTCTTTCTGCAATGGTAGGTTTTTTCTTCAATTCAAGACTAATTCAGTATTTTATTTACCTTTATTTATAACCACGTGTGGTATCTTTCTTTTGAGAAAGCATTGACACTCTATTGCTATTAAACACTTTCACTGGGTGAGATAGAACTGTTGTTGACTGTACATTATGTGTGTGCCAGAGAATATAAAGGAACAATGGAGAAATGTCCCATCACAATTTTGAAAGGGTCTATTTTAAATGCTACGTGTTTCTACTAGAATATAGAGCTGTAATTTGGAACAGGAGTGAAGAAAGAGACTTGTAGAATTTAAGTTGCCTATCTCCTATCTCCTAACTCATTGGGAGGCTGGGTCTTCATTGTGAAGTCTCTCATGTATACCTGTTAAATGAATTTGTATGCCTTTTGTCCTATTAAAAAATTAATTAATAAAGGGCTCGGACAAATTGAAACACTGGGTCTACTCAGGAAATATTTTTATAGGTGCAGTTCGAATGTTTGAATTAGGATGTAACATTAGAAAACGTAAAGGAGCTGGGCATGGTGGCTCGTGCTTGTAGTCCCAGCAGGAGGCTGAGGCAGGAGTTTCGCTTGAGCCCAGGAGTTGGAGTTGAAGGTTGCAGTGAGCTATAATTACATCACTGCATTCCAACCTGGGCAATAGAGTAGCGGGGTGGGTTGGAGGCGAAACAAGAATAAAATGATACAACAAAAACAAAAAAGCAAAACAACAAAAAGAGAAAATGTAAAGGCTATGTAAGGCTTGCCTCAGGCAAAAATTATCAAATAGGCCAGGCGCAGTGCCTCACACATGTAATGTCAGCCTGGCCAACATGGTGAAACTTGTCTCTACAAAAAATACAAAATATTAGCTGGATATGGTGGCAGGTACCTGTAATCCCAACTACTCAGGAGGCTGAGGCAGGAGAATTGCTTGAACCCAGGAGGCAGAGGTTGCGGTGAGCCAAGATCGCACCACTACACTCCAGCCTGGACAACAGAGTTGAAACTCTGTCTTTAAAAAAAAAAAATTACCGAATAAATATACATTTATCTTTGGTGTTTCCCAACTTAGATTTGAATTGTTGTATCTCTCCCCTAAACCCTGCCCTGTGCTCTTGTGTGCCCTGTGACTGATTAGTATCCTTGTCTCTGTCACTCCAGGTCTGCTCTCTTTTTCTTTTCCCTTTCTGCACTTCAAGCCTTCCTTACCTCCCATGCCCTTGTACCCTTTTAACTTTCTTTAAAAATGGCCAGTGCTTTATTTCAGTTTCACTGTGTCCATTCTCTAGAAATTAATCTGATGCACTAATCACCATTAAATTGATAATGCTTGATAATGTCTTGCCTTGATCTGGTTTGCCATCTTAATTAGAATTTTAACTTAGCTTTTTAGAGGAGAACATTTCAAGACATACCACCTTGATTGTTGAACTTGGGTTAGGTAATATTTCAAGGTGGTTCATAAAGGTATTTATTTTAAAGGAAAAAGAACACTGAGAGCCCAGCATGCATATCCACCTTCAAGATTTAATAATTTGAGATTTCAACTGTCCCTTAAGGAAAGCTGATTTTAGAAGAGAGAAGGTAAAACTATTCAATAATTATTATCCATAATAAAATATATTATAGTTCCTTTTTCTTAGCCAATTAAAGGAAAATACTATGTATTAATAGGATATGTAATTTGGGGGTATAGAAAACATTTTTTTAACTCATCTAATTATTTTTAGTTTTTGTGATGATGACTACTGATTTGTCCTGTGCTACATATAATTCTTTGTCACAGTTTTATTAGCATATATTATAGCCAAGTGCTTGCTTGGCTATGAAGAGGGCATTTTTATTCTGTTCCATGTTATTTTTCTTACCAAAAAATGCAACAAAAAACTAAAGTCTATTCAAAAAAAGCTTATTTCATTATTTAAAAAAATTCTTTCCCATATTCCATATTTCTTTTGTTAGTGTAATAACCAATTTTTTTTTCCAGAAATTTAACCTCTCCCCTGCTTGTGTCATTCAGGTTTGGCCCAAAAGCAAACAATGGAAGTACTTCTGACCTACCTTTGTTAGAAACTTTGCATATCTAAATCATTGCTTGCAAGAGTGTGAGGGAAAGTAAGAGTAAAGAGGATAGAATATAAGAGATTGCTCTGTCCTAAGATATTGATGGTCTATTGGGAAATCAGATAACCACATATGACACACTCTATCAGCAAGCCAGATTACTTTTAAGTTCTAAGATATGTGAAAAAGTTAATAGTATCAGTCTTCAGAGAGAAAAGAGAAATTACAGCAGGCTTGAGATGTCATAGAAGTTTTAGACTAAACTTTGGTGATAAAAGGGAAGAGGACCTTTGAGATGAAAATTTTCAAATATTCCTATCAGAATTCTCAGCCCAGAGATGATACATGCAGCAAACTGAGAAAAAGAGGAAAAAAGAATCGCTTCTAGGCTTCTTCATTTGTCCACGTGAAGTCTGTCCAAACCCAGTGTGACAGAGTTGTAGTTTCAAGCACGCTGTTCTTAGATCTTAGACTGCTGTGACAAAATACCTTAGACTGGTTGGCTTAAACAACAGAAATCTATTTCTCACACTTCTGGAGGCTAGGAAATCTAAGATCAAGGTGCCTCCAGATTCTGTTCTTGCTGAGTTCGTCTCCTGGCTTGTCCTAGAAGGGCTGTCTTATCCTTATGTTCTTACATGGCTTTTCCTTGATGAATTTACTTGTGGAGAGAGGTAGAGAAAGAGGAAAAGAGAGAGGGGAAGAGCGGGTGGGGAGAGAGAGAGAGAGAGAGAGAGAAAACGAAACGGGAAGGGGGAGAGAGAGTTGTCTCTTTTTGTAAGGGCCCAGATGCTGTTATGAAGGCCCCATCTTCATGACCTCATCTAAGCCTTATTACTTCCCAAAGGCCCTATCTTCAAATACCATCACATTAGGGATTAGGGTTTCAACATATTAATTTTGAGGGACACAAACATTCAGACCATAACACAACCCAGAACTCATCTGTGTTATGGTGAGTCCCACCCTTGCCTTAATTCCCTATCTTCCCCCAGAATCCTAGAAGATAAGACACACTGCTCAAATGACTTAGGACTTAGTTTAGGGCACTCCCTTTAGGGTCATATGTTGTATTAGTTCAGATTTCAAGTATTTATAGATATTTTTGAATTTATGTTTAATTCTTTATTCAAAATGAGCTTTTTGAGAGCTCATAATTGGCTTACCTTATGATTCCATAAAAGTGAATATTTGGCTTTAGACAAGTGTAATTTGTTTATTTAACAACCATTTAATGGATGCCTATGATGTGCTTCTTTCTGATTTTTGGCCTAGGGGTTTGTTCAATTTCCTATGCCTCTTACAAGGGCAGAATTGAGGTGGGGCCTTTTAGTTTTTCTGCGTCCTTGCCAGCCTTTGGTGTTGCTGTTATTTTTATTTTAGCCATTTTAATAGATGTATGGTGATATCTCATTATGGCTTTAATTTGCATTTCCTTAATGGCTGATGTTGTCAAAGATCTCTTAATGTGCTTATTTTCCATCTGTATATCCTTTTTTGTGAAATACCTGTTCAGTGTCTTGCCCATTGTGTTAGTCTGGTTTTTTGTTGCTATGAAGGAATATCTGAAGCTGGGTAATTTGTAAAGAAAAGAGGTTTATTTGGCTCATGGTTCTACAGCTTGTACAAGAAGCATGGCACCAGCATCTGCTTCTGGTGATGGCCTCCAGCTGCTTCCACTCATGGCAGAAGGCAAAGGGGAGCCAGTGTGCACAGAGGTCATGTGGTGAGGGGTGGGAGGAGAGATGCCAGGCTCTTTTTCACAACTAGCTCTCACTGAATCTAATAGACCAAGAACTCACTTATTACTGCAAGGATGATACCAAGCCATTTGTGAATGATCCCATCCCTGTGAACCAAACACCTCACGTTAGGCCCCACCTCCAACACTGGGGATCAGATTTCAACATGAGATTTGGAGGGGTCAAACAAACCATATTGAAACTAGAGCACCCACTTTCTAATTGTTTTTTTTTAATAATTGAGTTTTGAGAATTTGTAAATATATTCTACATGCTACTCTTTGTTGGATATGCAGTAGTTTGCAAATGTTTTCTCTCAGTCTGCAGCTACTCTTTTCATCTGCTTAATAGGGTCTTTTGCTGAGCAAAGGCTTTTAGTTTTGATGAAGTCCAATTTATTTTTCTTTGTGGGTTGTGCTTTTGGCATCAATTCTAAGAACTAGTTTTGTAGCTCTAGGTCCTGAAAACTTTTCTTCTGTTTTTATCTGAAAGTTTTATAGTCTTATGTTTTACATTAAGTCTGTGGTCCAGTTTGAGTTAATTTTTTGTATAAGGTGGGAGTTTTTGGTGAAGATTCACTTTTTTGCTGATGTCCAGTTGCTCTATTCTTTATCATAAAGGTCTTCATCCTCATCATCTTACCATTGAATAGGCTGAGGTGAAGGAGGCGGAAAAGGAGGAGTTTGTCTTGCTGTCAGAGGCGGAAGAAAATCCATGTGTAAGTGGACCCGTGCAGTTCAAATCCGTGTTGTCCAAGAGTCAACTGTGCTTCCTTTATAAAATGTCAGCTTGTTCCTGTTACATTAAGGAGAAACAAGGAGTTTATTTACTTTATTTATTTATTTATTTATTTATTTATTTATTTATTTATTTGAGACAGAGTCTGGCTCTGTTGCCCAGGCTGAAGTGCAGTGGCGCGATCTTGGCTTACTGCAACCTCCTCCTCTCGGGTTCAAGCATCCTCCCAGCTCAGCCTCCCAAGTAGCTGTGCATCACCATGCCTGGCTAATTTTTGTATTTTTTTATAGAGACAGGATTTCACCATGTTGCTCAGGCTGGTCTCGAACTCCTGGGCTCAAGCAGTTCATTCCACCGTGGCCTCCCAAAGTGCTAGCATTACAGGCATGAGCCACCGCATCCTGTGAAACTAAAAGTTTAAATCTGTGCTTTTTTCAAGGAAAGAAGGAGCAAATGGTAAATGTTCCTAAGCTAAGTGGTAGGGGTATAAAAGTGAGAAAATGAAATAAGGAAAGTTGAAATTCAAGGAGAATGAGTTGAAGACTACTTGTATACCTCATCTCTTCTACACAATATATTTATTTCTATTGGAGAATTTTTCTCATGCCTTAAGGATTTTGTAAATAAAGGGATGATTCTCTTCCTTGCATGTGAGACAGTTTTCAGCGATTTTCATTTAAATATGTGAGTTATTTTTCATATTTCTTTCTGATTATACTGTTTTAAACATCTGGGGATAATAGTGGTTGGTTTTAGTCAATATCTGTATAATTTATTCTTTGTTTATATTTTGGGATAGATATTATGTTAAAATCCTAGTTATGTTCTGGTCGGACAGAAATAAACGCCATTTCTCAATGTAGGGGGACTCTATGAATACAGATACTGGTAAACCCAGATTTTTAGTGCTAATAATGAATAACAACATGAGACATTTCACATAGTATAAATATAGTTCAAGAAATCCATCTCCTTATACCAAATTGGATTTCTGTAATAAGTGTGCTTTACTGACTAATTTTCTTTCAAAATTAACTCTGTTTAAACCGTTCTTGCTTTTTGTCATATTTCAAAATGTGTTAGCTAATATTACTTTAAATAATCAAGGTATCATTTTTATCTTGCAAATTTATGCTGATCAAAAAATCTTCAAATCTGAAATGTTTATAAAAATGACTATGTGACGGAATGGCAAACATACTCTTTAAAACGTTTTAATTCGAAAAGCTCACAAGGCATTTAGAAAGGTAGTGCCTACAAGAAAATTCTTATCTTCAATATTATTTACCTGTTCATTTTGGAATTCATAAAATTTGTGCAATCTTTTTTTTTTTGAATATGTGTGTCCTTATCAGAAAGGAATAGAAAAATTGAAGGCAGTTTGGAGCTGAATAGAAGTTATTAATGAGCTTAACTTTGACTGAAATGACAGATTAATGGCTAAATTTTCTTCTATAGCAAGTCTGTTAGAACTTCTACCTTGCTTCAGTAAATTCTTTTTGTCATTACAAATTGGAGGCAAAAGGCAAAGTAGGTTTAATTTCAATTTTGAAACTCAGACCTTAAATCTTTAATGACCTTCACTCAGAACCAGGATTGGTTGTACTTCTTTGGAGCACTTATAAAAAAAACCTTATGGATAGTGTGCATCATGGAACACATCACATTTTCTCCTTTTTATTGACTGCAAAAAAGCACTGAACCAAATTCATGGTGGCCTACTTCTAATTGGTGTACTGTACCATGTAGTATGCCTTTTTTGTAATGACCCTGATTTCATCTCATTTTTTTCTTGTCTATTTTCTGTTTGCAGTGATCTCCTCATCATTTTAGAAGTCCTGTTGTGATAATAGTAAAAGTAATAATTATTCATATTTATTTAGTTCTGTTTATAAGCACTCTACATGTTTCATTAAGTTTAATGTTTAACATCGCTTTGTGATAGTTACTCTCATTATCCCCATTTTACTGATGAAGTAGAGTAGTGCTACTCAAAGCACTAGACTGAGAGGAGTTTAGCAGCTTGTACCAGAATTAAATCAACTTACTGCTTCCTTCATCAAGAAAGTCATGCTGTGAAAAAAGTGTCAGCCGAACTAAACAATGTGCTTAATGATCTGCATTCTGATGCAAGAAACTTACCTCGGCACAAACTGGCAACAGACACTTCATTGTCAGCCTGGACATCAAACTTTGAGTAGCACTGTTCCAGAACAGTGTTTCTCAAACTATCTGTGGTGAAGGACTTTTATGCATGTGTTTAAATGTTTAGCACTTATGGGCTGAGACTTTGATAAAGTAAAAACGTTGTGGTAATGTGAAAAGTTTCTAAGTACTTTAATGTAATGACCTTGTCTTGAACAAGTAACAGTGACTTTAAGGACTGGCATAGGTAGACCCTGTTTTGAGTAGCACTGGTATAGAGTGAATTAGTGTATCAATTGTGATTGATTCTAGATCCTAGGGAGAATCACAGTGCCTTATTCAGCATCAACACATGAGAGTTGCCTAATTTGCGTAAATGTAAACCTATAGCCACATTGGTGGGAAATAGCAGAGCAAATATCTAGGTATTAATCCTGTGGCATCAGCACCTTAGGTTTATCTGGTTTGCATATAGCCAGTCACAGCAAGGGAGTGAGTAGGCAGTATACCTATAGGTATAGAACCAGTTACAGGAAGGGAGTTCCCCACTACAGTGTTTAAAAATTCCGAGCTTTCATGCACAATGAAAGCATGTTTCTTTCCTTCCCTCACACTCAAAGGTTGTGAACATCCTACAAGAGACCATTGTAGACATCCACCTAGAGGTTCCAGTACTGTGGCTAAACGTTTACCTTATCTCAAAGGAATACGTATGTGTATATGTAGGATGTGTAGTAAAAGGAAAGTTTGGCCTGGATAGATTGAATAACTTTCTATGGGATTTTTTTTCCTTTAGGTAAATAATCCTATGATAAATATAAGTAATCTGGTTAGGATATCCTTATCAATTTCTATAATATTATGTTAAAGGCAGTGGAAAAATATGATGTAACTTGTATGTCTTAAATTGTATGTCTCAGCTGGGTGTGGTGGCTCACGCCTGTAATCCCAGCACTCCGGGAGGCCAAGGCAGGTGGATCACCTGAGGTCATGAGTTCGAGACCAGCCTGACCAATATGGTGAAACCCTGTCTCTACTAAAAATACAAAAATTAGCCGGGTGTGGTGGCATGTGCCTGTAGTCCCAGCTACTCGGGAGGCTGAGACAGGAGAATTGCTTGAACCTGGGAGGTGGAGGTTGCAGTGAGCCGAGATCATGCCACTACACTCCAGGCTGGATGACAGACCCAGACCCCATGTCAAAAAAAAAAAAATTATATGTCTTAAATTCCTGTAGCTTTAATGTGAGAACACTGAAGCACAGAAAGGTGACAAGAGCTAATGAGGGACTGAGCCAGGGTTTCAGCTCAGCCAGGATTTGAGCTCAGGGAACTGTCTCCAATAGCCTAATTATTTTTCTTTGTTTTTAACTTTTAGTTATTTTAGACTATTACAAAAAAAAAGTTTTTTGTTTTTGTTTTTTGTTTTGTTTTGTTTTGAGTCAGGGTCTCTCTTTGTCACCCAGGCTGGAGTGCAGTCATCTTGGCTCACTGCAACCTCCACCTCCTGGACTCAAGTGATCTTCCCACCTCAGCCTTCTAAGTAGCTGGGACTACAAGCACATGCCACCATGCCTGGCCAATTTTTTGTGTTTTTTGTAGAGATGGGGTTTCACCATGTTGCCCAGGCTGGTCTTGATCTCTTGAGCTCAAGCAATCTTCCCACCTCGGCCTCCTGAATAAAAGTTTTAAAATAAGTATAATTCCTGCTGTGGTTTGAGTATGTCACCAGAATTCATGTGTTGGAAATATGGTCCCTGGTATGGCAGTGTTGGGAGGTGGGGCCTTAAGGTGGTTAAGAGGGATTAATGCTGCTCTTGCAGGACTCGGTAATTCTCATGGGAGTGAGTTGTCACTATTGTAGAACTGAATTGGTACCATGAGAGCAAGTTGTTATAAAGTGAGGCTACCCTTTGTGTTTTGCTCACTTCCTTTTTGACTTCTGTGCTATGTTACAACGTGGGACAAGACTTTCACCAGAAACCAACCAGTTGTGGCTGCCCAATCTTGGGCTTCCCGGTCTCCAGAACTGTGAATCAGAATAAACCTTTTTTCTTTGTAAATTACCCAGGCTCAGGTATTCTGTTATAGCAATAAAAAATGGACTATGACAGTTCTCAAATACTTTTCCCCTGGCTTCCCTGAATGTTAACATCTTACATTACCATAGAATAATTATTGAAATCTCAAAATTGACATTGATACTGTTAACTGCTCTACAGAGCTTATTCAAATTTCACCAGAATTTTAGTTTTTCTATTAATATCCTTTTTCTGGTCCATGATCCAATCCAAGAGCACATACTGCATTTAGCTGTCATTTTATTTTAGTCTCTTTAAATCTGTGGTAATTCCTTAGTCTTTCTCTGTCTTTCACGGCCTTGATACTTTAAAGAGTACTAGTCAATTATTTTGTAGAATGTCTGTTAATTTGAGTTCATCTGATGTCTTCTCATGATTACATTGAGATTTTAAAGTTTAAACTAGAATATTACAGAAGTGATGTGCTCCTTCTCAGTGAATCATACTGGGGCTACATGATTCTAACATGACTCAATTACTGGTAATGTTCACCTTGATCACTTGGCTGAAGTGGTGGATCCTAGGATCCTCCATTACAACACTACTATTTTCCCCTTTGTAATTAATATTAATAAATATCTTGTTGAGACATACTTTGAGACTATACAAATATCCCATTTCTCATTATACTTTCCCTCTCAGATTTTACATTCCACTGATTCCATCGCCTACATTCTTTTTAAAAAACTTCATTTCAATAGTTTTCGGGGTACAGATGGTTTTTGGTCACATGGATAAGTTCTTTAGTGGTGATTTCTGAGATTTTAGTGCACCCATCACCTGAACGGTATACACTGTACCCAGTATGTAGTCTTTTATCCCTCACCTCCCTGTCAACCTTCCTCCTCGAGTCCCCAAAGTCCATTATATCACTTTTTTTTTTTGAGGTGGAGTCTTGCTGTGTTGCCCAGGCTGGAGTTTCGTGGCATGATCTTGGCTCACTGCATGCTCCACCTCTTGGGTTCAAGTGATTCTCCTGCCTCAGCCTCCCAAGTAGCTGGGATTACAGGAATGTGCCACTGTGCTCAGCTCATTTTTGTATTTTTAGTAGAGACGGGGTTTCACCATATTGGCCAGGTTGGTCTTGGGCTCCTCACCTCAAGTGATCTGCCCGCCTCAGCCTCCCAAAGTGCTGGGATTACAGGCGTGAGCCACTGTGCCTGGCCCATTATATCAATCTTATGCCTTTTCATCCCCATAGCTTAGCTCCCACTTTTAAGTGACAACATACGATATTTAGTTTTCCATTCCTGAGTTGCTTCACTTAGAATAATGGCCTGTGGCTCCATCCAAGTTGCTGCAAAGGACATTATTTCATTCCTTTTATTTTTTAAGACGGAGTCTTGCTCTGTCACGCAGGCTGGCGTACAATGGCGCCATCTCGGCTCACTGCAACCTCCGCCTACTAGGTTCAAGCAATTCTCATGCCTCAGCTACCTGAGTAGCTGGGACTACAGGTGTGCACTAACACGCCTGGCTAATTTTTGTATTTTTGGTAGAGACAGGGTATCACCATGTTAGCCAGGCTGGTCTCAAACTCCTGACCTCAGGCAATCCGCCTGCCTCAGCCTCCCAAAGTGTTGGGATTACAGATATGAGCCACCACGCCTGGCCTATTTCATTCCTTTTTATGGCTGACTAGTATTTCACGTCCTACATTCTTAATCGTTACATTGGACTTTTGTAAATTATCTGAAAGTAAAAAGGTACTTCAACTGAGGGCTGAGAGATCTGCCTCCTAAAACCATCTGGGGCTCTTGCTCCCTCCAGCTGTTCCCTCCTCCTGGACTGTTCTTCCCTCAGATTTTATCTTTTGGTTGGGTCCCTCACTTCAAGTGTTTACACAAATTTGACCTTGTTAGTGAGACCTCCTTGACCACCCTATTTAATAATACTGCAAACCAATCTGTCCAACCTGCTTACTCTGCCCACCCCCCATCTTCTAATAGTACTGTACTTTGTGCTTACCTAGGCTGTCCCTCTTGTAGCTCCTTGTAATTTCAGACTTTAGAACAGGTATGAATGAAAACGTTCTGAGAACTTTCTCTGCTTGTGGGTGGAGGAAGGAGTGCACAGTGAAATTGTTCTTCCGATTGCGTCTTCCTTACGTCAGCCATGACACTTGTAGTCACTGCTGCTACCACTTACCAAGGAACTCAGACTCCAGGCTGCCACTACCTTGCAGGACAATATTAGCTGATGCTTGACCATGTCTATGTAATTTTGTACACAAGACAAAAAAGGGGCAAAAAGTTACTAGCTCCTCCCCTTAGCCAACATTTTGACTTTGGACAAATAAGTTCACCTTTCTGTTTCTCATTTTCTTTATAAACTGAGGCTAATAAATCATAGGTTTGCTGTAGGGATGAAATAAGAAAACATATAAAGCACTTAGCATAGCACCTGGCATGTTGTAAGCATTAAATGAGTGGCAGCCATTATTATTATTTTCTAGCTTTTATGGATGTATTTTACACATGGCACAAAATTGTACTTTCATTTATCTCATTTTGACAGTATACCTCTTCTTCTGACCTACAGGTACCTAAATTTAAAGAACAGTTTTTCCTACCCTTTCATTGTTGCTAGCCTTTCAAGAGTCTCCTACTTTTTTTGTGCTTTCTCAATTCCTGTATGATGTTTCTAAACTACAATAAATTAAAGCTAGTATTTCTTCTCTATTGGAAGGCCAGCTGGTTAAAGACAACATCAAAATATCTATACCTAAATCTGTATGAAATTTTGAAAGACATGATGTATAGTCAACTTACAATGGGCTTCATTATACTTGCTTAAAATTATATTTTTATTTGATTTATATTTTCAATGTTTTTTTCTTAAGATAAATGCAAACCAACTTCCATTCTCAAAGCAAATAAAATAAATGTCAGTATTCCTAGGATCTCCTGAAGAGCTTGGAATGATATGATGTATGCTGTCCCCCATCTGTATGGATGAAGCCAGTTCAGGAAAACAAAAACAAAATATCTATTTAATTACATTTGGTGTTAATCTTTTCACAAGCAGTCCTGCATTTTCATGGAATTAAAAAACATTCTGATGAGAGCTTTGGTAATAAAACATTCTGATGAGTGCTTTGGTAATTTGCTGTATGTGTTTATTTTCACATCTATGCTAGCTATTGATCACAATTTCCAAGCCATTTAGAGGGAGAAATGCCCTCAGGCCGCTCTTCTGTGTGGCCTACTGCAGACAGCCAAATTACCCCACTGACAGGCCCCTTCCTGCACCCACCCCCACCCACCCAATACCTTATTCTTCACACAGAATGCGACAAGGGCCAAAGGAGAGGGGGACTGGAACATAGGAGTGTGACTAGTACATAGTAGTAGCTCGATAACTGTTGTTGAATTAATGAATTAACAAATGAACAAATTATGTTTCTAGTACACTATGACTGCTAGTAAGGTCAGAGCTCAATTTGCTATTCCATTGCATCAGCTAGGATAGTGTCTGATATACCTTATCTCTATTCCTACTTGTTTTTGAATTTTTATTATCCTGCTTATGGATGCTTTAATATCATAAGCTCCTTCCCATGTTTGGACTGTGAAACTTAAGAAAGATGTTTCAAGTTCTTGGTACACAAGAAAGGAGAGCTCCTCTCGGGACCATAGGCCAGTTCCAAATGCGCCTTCTTCTAATCATAGCCCACAGAACTTACTTCTCTTTCCCTTCTTGGGTAGGAGCACTGGAAAGGACATCTTCAATCACTATGGATGTTGACTTATTCTGACAGTGCAGAGCAGTGTGCCGTAAAATCTGGGGCAGACATTTCCCCCAACTTCCAATATAGAAGAGAAAAAATTACTAAGAAAATCCTGGCCAGGAATGGTGGCTCACACCTGTAATCACAGCACTTTGGAAGGCTGAGGTGGGCAGATCGCTTGAGCCCAGGAGTTCAAGACCAGCCTGGGCAACATGATGAAACCCCGTCTCTACAAAAAAATGTAAAACTTAGCCAGGCATGGTAGTGCATGCCTGTAGTTTCAGCTATTTGGGAGTCTGAGGTGGGAGAATCACCTGGGTTCGGGAGGTGGAGTTTGCAATGAGTTGAGATTGCGCCACTACACTCTAGCCTGGGTGACAGAGCGAGACCCTGTCTCAAAAAAAAAAAAAAAAGAAAATCCTTCAGTGCTTAGAGAAATCAGAGGGTGAATGGTTATATAGAAGCCAGCAGGAAAAGCATCATTAGAGGAGGTGAAGAATCTGAATTAATTGTCCGGGGCTAGGACCTATATCCAAGAAGGGCAAATGTGTTTAGGAGTAACATAAAACTTAATGTTTATGCCAGATGATGTAGGAAAAATAACTTCTGCCAGACCTTGGTGACTGACTAGATAGAGAGGCTGATAAAGAGGTGAGCCTATTGAATGAAGCATTTTTAGTATGGCATGATATAGGTGGCCCAGAGTGTCTCGAGTTTGCCCAAGCTTTTTCCTCTCTAAGAACTAACCAAGCCTAGTGCTTCTTTGCTCTGAGAGCAGGCGGACATTGGTTTATGGTGGCTAGTTTGTACTAGGTAGAAAGGCAAAAGAGGGAATGCTACATGGATTAATCAAGGATGTCCAATTCTAAAACAAAGGATGCTGAGATGACAAGAAAGGCCAAGGAAGAACTATTGAGATTGTAAATGCCCTGAGAGCAGGGACCTTTTCTGTCTTGTTCACTGCTCTGTTTCCAGCTCCTAGACTAGGGCCTGACACATGGCAGATAGAGTAAGTAAGTTTGAATGACTACATTAATAGGAGAAACTTTTGAAAGATAAAATGCAAGGTCAATTATATGCAACGGTTGTTGCTATAGCAATGATATTCGTGCCTAGATTCTTCCCCATATCCTTCCTGAATATTTTAAGATAAGTATATATAAAAGGAATATGATGGATACTCATAAATCATAGGATATGGCTGCTATGACTTATGGGATGGGACAGATGAGAACTTGGTATATTTACGAGAAAGGGAACTGCATAGCCTCTGAGAAGTTGGGTAGTCCTGTGTAGACCACTCACTTATTTCTACCAGGCCAAGAGGCAAATAAAGCTGACCTGATATACTTTTGTGTCTTAATCTCTATGTTTTAACTCTAAGGGGTGGGAGAAGCCAGTGGCTAGGGAAAGACAGAGGTTTTAGGATTAACATCACAATATTAGCTACAGAGATTTTACCTAGAAGTAACTGGAGCCTCATTTGTGTTTTGAATTTCCATAAGGGAGGGTTTGATATACTGCCAGATCAGTACTGGCTTTGGTGTCTGAAAGCTTTTTGGGAGAGTGGCTCTGGTCACTAGTAGAGGCTTTTCAGTGGGACTGGGAGGAGTTAGGTAGAACTTTGGATTTGGGTATAAAGGGACTTGTAAAACTCAGTCAAAATGCTTACAATCTGGCAAAGGTAGCTCTTCAGGCTCTGGTAAGGGATATCTATAATCTCTGTGGAATATCTTAGAACACATGGGATTAGGGGAGTTACATGATCAATGGAATAGGCAATTCATTCACCTGTCAGTCACAGAGATCTTACTTCTAGGGAAAATCTGAAATTGGAGGACTTACTCTGTTACATGAATCAAAGATATGACCTTGAAAAATGGGAGTAACCATGGCACCAGTGAGTGAGTCAGTGATTTGGGAGGGGAAACTGGTTTGGGAAGAAGGATTATCATTTCGGTTTTAGAAATTCTGAGTTTAAAGCTACAGCACATGTTGAAATTTGTAGTAGACAGCTGGGAGGAACTAATGGAAGCTTAGGTGAGAAGACAAGTTAGGGGTTGTTAGCTCTGTCTTCTTCTTTGTCCAACTCCTCTGAGAAAGCAGAAAGTAAAGATGCCAGCTTTAGTCTGTGGCTACTTAGTTTTTAGGCCCTTTACCTATTTTTAGTCTAAGACATTGCTGGGATACATCAAATGGGGAGAGCACAAGCAGTTGCATCTATTTATGAGAAAGAACAAGTCTAAAGAATGAGAGTCACGGAGAAGCAATTTTCTTTGCATTTTATTTTTATTTTTATTTTTTGAGAACTTCTCATTATTACCAAGCTTCTGTCAGGAAATATGTACTAGAAGCCAAACAAAATTATTTCATTGCTTACGGTGAAATGTACCAGGGGTGCTGATGGGCAAAAAAGAGCGCCTCATATGAAACACCAAATGTTCCAGTAATCCTGTTCCAAACCATGCCCGTTTACTTAAAATTTCTTTCACAGTTCACGTTAGACTCATGCAGTAAATAAATTAAGTACCTTTCCCACTGCGAGTTTTTTAGAAACACTTAATGAAGTAAATGCCACAGTGTTAGGCCAGGGGGAAGCCATGCAGTTAAATTATTTTTAGCATGCATTTTCTAGTTTAATTTTTGTTGGTTTCTTTTGATCTGGGCTTGAGTCTTAGCCAGATAGTGTGATTCAGGGGACAGAGGACATGGATGAAAGAGAGGTTTGTCTTTACTGCCTAGTGAATATAACTAAGGGAAGCTTCTTTTTTTTCCCAAATGTTAAAAAATTTTGTCCCTCTCTAAATATATTTAGGATTGCCTCTCTAAATATCAAAATAATTCTATTTGGGATAGCTATAAAGAGATATACTATTAACTCATTACCCTTGAATATTTAGAAAAGCTCTGTATGTTTAATTTTAATTATATGGCCTTTCAATAAAAGTATTATATATGCTATTTTTAAAATACTTAAAAACATAAGATTATTTTAAATATAGTTTAATCTTTCTAATTAAGGATGTTTCTTGAGATTTTTTTTTTTTTTTTTTTTGAGACGGAGTCTCACTCTGTCACCCAGGTTGGAGTACAATGGCACAATCTCAGCTCATTGCAACACCCGCCTCCTGGTTTCAAGCGATTCTCCTGCCTCAGCCTCCCGAGTAGCAGGGATTACAGGCATGTGCCACCACGCCCAGCTAATTTTTGTACTTTTAGTGGAGATGGGGTTTCACCATGTTGGTCAGGCTGGATTCAAACTCCTGACCTCAAATGATCCACCTGTCTCAGCCTCCCAAAGTGCTGGGATTACAGGCATGAGCCACCCTGCCCGGCCTTGTGGTTTTGAAGAGCTTGAATCATCATTTTGAGAATTAAATGATTATTATATTATAAATGTGCATAAGTGTTTGTTAATGAAATTTCTGATTAATATTTCCTTTTAAAAAAACAGGAACTATAACCACATTCTTTTAATAGCTAAAAGCATTTGTTAAAGTGACCAAAAATAATTGTTTCAAAAATTTTTTTTTGAATGAAGACAACGCAAAAATGTATCAGAGAAGATACACTGTGTCTGGAAACAATCTGTGTCTAGAAAGAAGTCTTCAATTTTGATTAATATGTTTTATGAGCAACTTAAGAATTAATGCAATATGTTAGGTAAAATACAGCAATAATTTTTCATTGCTAAATTGTTCAGCAGACTCTCCTAATTTTCAAGGGGTGTGCTGTTGTGAGTATGGGATTTTATTCTGAAGGAACAAAAACCAAAGTCAAAAAGATGGTTTCCTTTTTGCACAGAACTCTCTAATACCTCTGTCACTATCTCAACAGGGAGTGGTGCTTCTTATTTTAACTTGAAGAGTATAGTGAGGACTGTCCAGCCTTTCTGCAATCTCCAAGTAATCAGAAAGTATTGAAAGGTGTAATAGGAACAAAGTGGAAAACGGCAGTATCCTCAAGTTACAGGCCAAATTGGTAACCCTAAGAGAAAGATTTTGACAGCCATAAATATTTCATCTCTCAAGGCCCTGATGCTACTGTGTGAGAGCAATTTAGTTAGAAAGATCATCAACAATTAGTTGACATCTCTATCACACCTATTACTGAGTTGAAATTTCACTGACATGAATAATAAGGGGTCTTGTTTGACATTTAGCAGTTTAATTAATTTGTTTCCTAAAGTGAATGATGTTTTACACTGTGATTTTTCAATACCCCGTCTCCATACACTTGAATTTTTTTATTTTGCTTTTCTTGGGGAAACCAGTTAATTTTCCTTTTCACTTAACAAACTACCTACCCATCTTGGCTCTGGTGCCAGCCAGTGTTTTGTGGGGCTTAGGGGGCGGGGATAGTGTGGGGAAATTGAGGAAGTGCTGCAGATCATCCTCTACTATTCAATTTTGGAGGAGAGATAATGTAGGAGTATGGAAAAGGAAAACAAAAACACTTTTTTTTTTCAAGAAAATTTAGTACTTTTTGGCATTATTGTTAGACAAAAATACAAGTCTTGTCTCTCTGGTTATTCTAGTCATCGAGAATCAACAAGGAAGGGGCCGTTATGGGTAGTCATTGCCTGCCATGTGGCATAACTATTTGCATTATTCTTTATATATTACTGGCTTTATTGGTTTCTGTACACCTTCAAGATATGTTGTATATTAATGTGATTTCTGTAATGCTATTTTTGAAAATAAAAAACATAATGTTTGCTAAAGGTCACTTCTAAAACAGCTGATGTGAAAGTAGGAGGAATAATCCAATGTAACAATAGAACACATGAATCTACTGTATATTCTTACAGATAAAAATAGACTTTTGAAAAATTAGTCAACTCAATTAAATTATTTACTCTAATTACCTCTATACAAACCCCTAAATACCTACCTTAAGCTGCTTCCCTTTGCAGAGTTTTTTAAAAACCGAAGATATGTGGAAAAGCTATTTCTCTCCCACTCTAAACTGTAGGTCATGAAGGTAAATGATATTCTGTATTCGCCAGAGTGCAAGTGTCCTTAACTACCTGATGATGATGTATATTTCTGATGGATGGGGCTTAGCTAGGTAGACGTACCCAGATGAAATCAAGTGAGTGCATATTCATGACACATGTGAGTGGGAAGAATGTCTTAGAACATGTCATGCTGAAGAGACAATGCTGAAGTGTTGAAGGTTGAATGTTAAAAGGGGAAGATAGGCTCCAGCTTTTGGAGGAAAGGCAGTCCAGTATATACCTACCATAATGATACTTCTTTCCGTGTTGTCGGTTCTTATTTTATAATGGTGTCTAAAAAATAAACAGGTACCACTACTTTACTAACCTGCTTTTAGACCAAATGTAATGAAAGTGATACGGAACTGATTTTTAACTATTGAACCTCTAGGATAGATGAACTCTTAATGCTATCACAAACCACCATGAGATACTTCAGCATAATAGAGTGCTAGCAAAGTTGAAATTGCTGCTATTGTGTATCTCAGACTTGTTAAAGCTGTTCCAGACTCATGGTGAAATAGATTGCTTTCTTCTACTGGTGGACATTGAACTTTTTCCCTCTATACATGTGTTTATAAACAAACAGTGACATAAACTTTTCCATTGGAACATATTTTGAAGCAGAGATATGTGTTTGTAGAGAGCATTATATATATCATTTAAATGTATTTTTTTTCCAAAACAAGTTTCCAGGTCATAATTTTGAACCTGTATAATTTTCATTATGATTTTCCTGTCTGAACTGAAAGGCCATGCAATAAGTGAAAATATTTTATGTTTATTTTTGTTAAGTACCTCTCCCTCTCTGCCTTAGTACGAGGCATAGCAAGGAAGGATTAAGGATAATTTCATAAAGATAATTAAACATAAGCCTTGAGTGACTTCTTTCTATCAGAAAGACTTCAGAAAGGAAAGAGTTGAATTAGCATGGTATGTTTAAAAACGAAACAAAACAAAAAAGTGTGACTTAGGACACAGGAGATGTACGTTACTAAAAAGTTTTACTATGTGCCGGGCACTGTGCTTCAAACTCAACATGCACTATTTCATTTGGTCCCAACAACCCAGTGAGGTAGTTGTATTATCTTAATTTTGTACATGGTGGCATGATCATAGCTGAGAATTCCTGGGCTCAAGTGATCCTTCTGCCTCAGCCTCCTGAGTAGCTGGGACTACAGGTGCACAGCATCATTTCCAGATAGTTTTTAAATTTTAGTTGAGATGGCCGGGCGCGGTGGCTCATGCCTGTAATCCCAGCACTTTGGGAGGCTGAGGCGGGCGGATCACGAGGTCAGGAGATCGAAACCATCCTGGCTAACACGGTGAAACCCTGTCTCAACTAAAAATACAAAAAAAAAAAAAATTAGCCAGGCGTGGTGGTGGGCACCTGTGGTCCCAGCTATTCGGGAGGCTGAGGCAGGAGAATGGCGTGAACCTGGGAGGCGGAGCTTGCAGTGAGCCAAGATCACGCCACTGCACTCCAGCCTGGGCGACAGAGCGAGACTCTGTCTCAAAAAATAAATACATAAATAAATTTATTTTAGTTGAGATGGGGTCTCGCTATGTTGCCCAGACTATGTTGCCCAGTTCTAGACTAGTCTAGAACTACTACCCTCGAGGGAGATCCTCTTATCTATCTCAGCCTCCCGATCCGCCTGCCGTGGACTCCCAAGTTGCTAGGATTACAGGAGTGAGCCACTGCATCCAGCCCTCAAAGCATTTTAAATTACTATGCAATACTTCTACTCATCAACCCTCTATCATTAAGTGGTTATATCATCATGAGTGAATTACTTAGGCTTTGAGAGAGGTAATTTCTTTCCCTATTAAGTGATGGTCATGGTACCTGCTCCTCTTATTTCAAATGCAACATGATACAATGGAAAAGGCAATGGACTTAGAGTCAGAGAATATGAATTCAAAGACTGACTCTATTAGTTATTAGTTGTATTATCCTGAATTATGCACCTAATCTCTCTGATGTGGTTTGGCTTTGTGTCCCCACTCAAATCTCACCTTGAATTGTAATCCCCATAATCCCCAAGTGTCAAGGTAGGGACAGGTGGAGGTAATTGGATCATGGGGGCAGTTCCCCCATGCTATTCTCGTGATAATGAGTGAGTCTTATGAGATCTGATGGGTTTATACATGTCTGGCATTTCCCTTGCTTGCATTCATTCTTTCTCCTGCCGCTCTGTGAAGAGGTGGCTTCTGTCATGACTGTAAGTTTCCTGAGGTTTCCCCAGCCATGTGGAACTGTGAGCCAATTAAACCTCTTTTCTTTATAAATTACCCAGTCGTGGGCATTTCTTCATAGCAGAGTGAGAACAGACTAATACACTCTGTAAACTTGGTATCTTCAGCATGTACCATGGGAATAATATCAGCACAACCTATCTCCACAAGGTTGATACTGAAGTTGAAAGTGACATAATGTAGGTGAATATGGCTTGTGGTAAATGGTATGGATTTACGTTTATTAGATGCTCTGCTCATGGTAATACTGTTTTCAACAGCATTTTACAATTTATCTCTTTTATTTTGAATGACTTTATGTTGTAGGCACTATTATCCCAATATTTTTTTTTTAATAGACAGAGTCTTGCTCTGTTGCCAGGCTGGAGTGCAGTGGCACAATCTCCACTCACTGCAACCTCTGCCTCCCAGGTTCAAGCGATTCCTGTGCCTCAGCTTCCCGAGTAGCTGGGACTGCAGGTGTGCACCACCACACCTGGCCAATGTTTTGTATTTTTTAGTAGAGATGGGGTTTCACCATGTTGGCCAGGATGGTCTCAATCCCCTGACCTCGTGATTCACCCGCCTTGGCCTCCCAAAGTGCTGGGATTACAGGCCTGAGCCATCACGCCCGTCTAGTATCCCAATTTTATAGTTGAGAACACTGAGGCATAACGAGGTTAGGCAACTTGCCTAGAATTATGTAGCTAATAAGTGGCAGAGCCACTCAGTTTGAATGTAGTAATCTCCCTGCAGATCCCATGCTCTCAGCCTTCCATAAAGACAGGTTATAATGTCAGCTACTGGGCTGACTGAGATGGGAGTATCCCTTGAACTCAGGAATTTGAGGCTGCAGAATTTGAGGGTTGTACCATTGCTCTCCAGCCTGGGCAATAGAGCAAGATTCTGTCTCTAAAAATAAAAATAAAAATAAAATAAGATAGAATTGTGGTAAAATACATGTAACATAAAATTTACTAATGTAACCATTTTTAAGTGTACAGTTCGGTAGTATTATTAAGTACATTCACAGTTATGCAACCTCTGTTTTCTCTTCTTTTCTTTCTTTCTTTTTTTTTTTTTGACAGACTCTCACTCTGTCACCAGGCTGGAGTGCAGTGGCACAATCTCAGCTCACTGCAGCCTGCCCCTCCCAGGTTCAAGCAATTCTCCTGCCTCAGCCTGCCGAGTAGCTGGGACTACAGGCACATGCCACCACTCCTGGCTAATTTTTTGTATTTTTTTAGTAGAGATGGGGTTTCACTGTATTAGCCGGGATGGTCTTGATCTCCTGACCTCGTGATATGCTCGCCTCGGCCTCTCAAATTGCTGGGATTACAGGCATGAGCCACCGAGCCCGGCCCCTCTTTTCATTTCATATTCTATCTGTCTCTTTCTGTCTAAACTGATACAATTCCTTTAAAAATTTTGTAGGTTTACTGTGTATGTTACAATCTATCACATTAGACAAAAGCCACACTCACTAATAAGCACTTCTCTCTCTTGGGCTCCTTGTAAACCTGCTGTGGGGCAATCCCCTTAAGATACTTAGAACCCCTATTGTTATCACAGGAGGTCTTCTACACATAGCCTTAAGATCTTCAGAAGTTCTTTTGTCTGTCTGAAAGGGTTTATAATGCATTACCTTAAATCATTCTGGGGTCATTGAGGGTTTTACAGCCACACTCTGAGATGCTTTCTTGATAGGACCTGGGATTTTATTTTTACCTTGAAGGCATTTCTTAATTTGAGAAGTATTTCCTGTCTGAAGAGTCTGGGAATGAGAAACAAATTTAGTTTTTTAACGCAGCAAGTCCTGGATCCTTTACATTACCTCTAAATTTTGTTTGAGAATGGAATAGTTCATTCTTCAGTTCATCTTTCTCCTCTGACATTTTATTATGGGGAGCAAGAATAAGCCAGGTAGCACTTCCAGTGTTCCACCTGCAGAATTCCTTAGCTAGATCACAAATTTATTAAGTACATTTCCTTTTTTCATACTACCAAATTTCAAGCTGTTACACAAGGATCTTCTTTCTCCTAAGTTCCAGTAACATCTTTGTTACATTTTTTATTTATGCTTCAGTGTTAGCCTCTAGAGTACTGTTCCAAAACTAATGCCATGTGTTTTAGATTTTGTTACAACAGCACCAAACTTTTAGTAATGAAATTTGTTCTGGTTAGCTTTGCTGCATTAAAAAAAAAGCCTACCAATATTAATTGTGTAAAGTCACAACTTTTTAACTTTGCTCATAGATTCTGTAGGTCAAGAATTTGGGATAGTCACAGCAGGCATGTCTCTTCTCTGCTACATGATGTCTTGGGCTTCTGCTGGGGTCAAGGGGACCCACTTTTTTTTTTTTTTTTTGGAGACAGAGTCTCACTCTGTCGCCCAGGGTATAGTGCAATGGTGCAATCTTGGCTCACTGCAATCTCTGCCTCCCAGGTTCAAGCAATTCTCCTGACTCAGCCTCCTGAGTAGCTGGGATTACAGGTGCCTGCCACCACACCCAGCTAATTTTTTGCATTTTTTTGTAGAGAAAGAGTTTCACCATGTTGGCCAGGCTGGTCTTGAACTCCTGACCGCAGGTGATCCACCCACCTCGGCCTCCCAAAGTGTTGGCATTACAGGCATGAGTCACCACACCTGTCCAAGGGGACCCACTTATAAGATGATTTCTTTGCTCACATGTCTGGTAACTGAGCTAGGATGACCTAAAGGCTTAACTGGGACCATAGACTATAGAGTACCTGTATATGACCTCTATGGGGCTTGGACTTCTTGCATGATTGTGCTGGGTTCAGAGAAGAGCCTCCAGAGAGCGAGCATTTTTTTTTTTTTTTTTTTTTTTTTGAGATGGAGTCTCGCCCTGTCACCCAGGCTGGAGTGCAGTGGCGTGATCTCGGCTCACTGCAACCTTTGCCTCCCCGGTTCAAGTGATTCTCCTGCCTCAGCCTCTTGAGTAGCTGGAATTACAGGCATGCACCACCATGCCCAGCTAATTTTGTATTTTTAGTAGAGATGGGGTTTCATCATGTTGGCCAGGCTGGTCTCAAACTCCTGACCTCAGGTGATCCGCTCGCCTCGGCCTCCCAAAGTGCTGGGATTACAGGCGTGAGCCACCGTGTCGAACACAGAGAGCAAGTATTCTAAGAAGATCAAGTACAAGTTGTGTAACCTTTTCTGACCTAGCCTCAGAAGTCACAGAGCATCACTTCCACTGAACTCTATTGGTCAAAGCAGTCACAAGTCTGCCTAGATTTAAGGGATGGGGACATAGAATATAAAAAAATTGGGGGCTCATGTTTTAAAACCACCACAGGGGTGGTAAAATTCAAGGATAATACAGTCCATCTTCGTAGCCAGTAACATTACTCCCCAATCCCCCCATCCCATAACCAGGAGTTGCTTTTTTCCAGGACTAACGTTGGATGCTTGGAGATAATTATTTTATTAAGAATGGGAACATTTCTACCCAAAGGTGCATTATTATTATTGTTTTCCATTTTGCTAATGGTCTTCTCCTTTTTATTTTTCTTCTCTTCTTCCTCTTTCTTCTTTTTTCCTTCTCCTCCTCCTTTCTTTTTTTTCTTCCTCCTCTTCTTTCCTTTACCATTCTTCTTCCTTCCTCTTCCCTCATCTTCATCATCAAGCAGTGTACACTGGACATCCCTTAGCATCTGTTTTCATTTAGTTTTGCAGTTAGCTATGCCTTACTTCATGCTCCAGAAATACTTTTTATATCCCTCTGTTAGCCTTTATCTCATTCTGTTGGAATTATTTGTGTATTTACCTGTATGTCACAATAACTGGGACTCCTGATGGGCAAAGGCCATGTCCTGTTCATCATTAATCCACCAGGCCTTGGCACAGTACTTGGAATCCAGCAAATGTTTTTGGAATGGTTAAATCATTGAATGGCTTTTTTCTGCCTATCTTCTATGCAATAGATATTATGCCTCCTAAGATCTTTTGTTTTTACTTTGAGCAGTTTAAGAGCCTCTCCATAAGTGCAAATTTCATAAAAAAAAAAAAAAAACTTAGCTTGTTAATCATCCCTTTTGTATTATTTTCATTAAATATTCATTTAAAGCCTTTTATTTTATATGAGGATAAGTGAGATTAAGATAGCACACGTTAGTAGTTATAGTAGTAGTAATACTGGAAATTTTTCAGGCATTTATATAAATTTTATAGGTTAGATGACACAAAATATATAGTAAATTAGATTATTATTTTAGAACTGTTCATGTTTAGCTTGTTGATGACTGAAATCCAACAGTAACTATTATAAAATTGTCCTAAAATTACTAAAGAGATATTTTTTTTTTGAGATGGAGTCTTGCTCTATTGCCCAGGCTGGAGTGCAGTGGTGTGATCTCAGCTCACTGCAACCTCTGCCTCCCGGATTCAAGCAATTCTCCTGCCTCAGCCTCCGAGTAGCTGGGACTACAGGTGCTTGCCACCATACCCAGATAATTTTTTGTATTTTTAGTAGAGACAGAGTTTCACCATATTAGCCAGGATGGTCTCGATCTCCTGACCTCGTGATCCACCCTCCTCGGCCTCCCAAAGTGCTGGGATTACAGGCGTGAGCCACCATGCTGGGCTGAGATATTCTTTTCTTTTGAAAATATTACTATACATTTTCACAGAATAAATTTTAATTGTTTCTAGTTTTTTGAGTATAAGCTGGTTTATACCATCGTATGTCATGCAGTTCTTTTCATCATCTTATTAGGTGGGAATTAGTGTACTTATTTTATAGATGAGAAACTGAGGCTGGAAGAGGGTAATTCATTTGTATGAGGTCAACAGCTAATAAGTAGCTGAGCTAAGATTCAAATCTGGATCTATCAGACCCAAAAGCCTCTTAAGCAATATGCCTCTTTCCCAAGAATTCTTTTCTTTTCTTTTCTTTTATTATTATTATACTTTAAGTTTTAGGGTACATGTGCACAATGTGCAGGTTAGTTACATATGTATACATGTGCCATGCTGGTGTGCTGCACCCATTAACTCGTCATTTAGCATTAGGTATATCTCCTAATGCTATCCCTCCCCTCTCTGGATTAAGAAAATGTGGCACATATACACCATGGAATACTAGGCAGCCATAAAAAATGATGAGTTCATGTCCTTTGTAGGGACATGGATGAAATTGGAAATCATCATTCTCAGGAAACTATCACAAGGACAAAAAACCTCTTTCCCAAGATTTCTTAAGCAATATGCCTCTTTCCCAAGATTTCAAAGTGAAATTTTGTCCCAATAAATTGAACATAATCTGAATAATTTTATGAAATTAATATTGTCTGCCTAGAAAATGTATAATGCTAAGAGCATTCACTAGTAATTTCCTATTTTTATACATGTAGATATAAAATTTCTATTAGGGTTCTACAGAGAAATAGAACCAGTAGAGTATATATAGATGGATATACAGAGAGAGATTTATTATGAAGACTTGGCTCAGGCAGTTATGCAGGCAGAGAAGGCACAATCGATTGTCTGCAAGCTGGAGGCCCAGAAAAGCTGGTCATATAGTTCCAGTCCAGGCCCTAGGGACCAAGAACCAGGTGGCCAGCAGTGCAAGTCTGTAAGTCCTGGTCTGAGTCCGAAGGTCCAAGAACTGGGAGTCCTGTTTGAGGGCAAGAGGACGGATGCCCCAGCTCAGGTAGAGAGAGAGCAAATTCACCCATCCTTTGTCTTTTCCCTCTGTTTGGGCCCTCAACTGATTGGATGATGCCCACCTACACTGGCAAGGGCGATTTTTTTTACAGTCTACTGATTCAAATGCTAACCTTTTCTGGAGGGTTCCCAGGCACACCCCAAAATAGTATTTTATCAGCTATCTGGGAATCCCTTAGTTTATGCATAAAATTAACTATTACAAAAGCCCCCAAATATTTTCTTTTTTATAAGGACTTCAGTAAGATATAGTTCATACACATACCATACAATTAATCCCTTTAGGGTGTATAATTTAGTGGTTTTTAGTATGTTCCTAAGGTTGTGCAACCAGTTTTAAAACAATTTTACAACCAATTATAGAGCATTTTCATCACCCAAAAAGAAACCCTATACCCATTAGCAGTCACTGCCCATTTCCTCCAGCCCCCTTATTCCTTGACAACCACCCCCAGTTTTTTTTTTTTTTTTCTTTCTAAGACAGGGTCTTGCTCTGTCACCCAAGCTGGAGTGCAGTGGTATGATCACAGCTGACTGCAGCCTTGACCTCCCAGGCTCCAGTGATCCTCCCATCTCAGCCTCCCTAGTAGTAGCTGGGACTACAGGTGAACGCCACCATATCTGGCAATATATATATGTTATATATATTATATATATATAATATACATATATTATTATATATTATACATATATACATATATAATACATATATACATATATAATATATATACGTATATACATACATATAATATATAATATATATGTATATACGTATATATATTATATATATATATATATTTTTTTTTTTGGTAGAGATGAGGTCTCTCTCTGTTGCCCAGGCTGGTCTTGAACTCCTGGGCTCAAGACATCCAGCTTTGGCTTCCCAGTGGGATTATAGACACAAGCTACCACTCTTGTTTAATGTCAAATCTTTAATATCCTACAATATTTTAAAGATTTACTCACTGAGACAATAATAGAGCTTTAAGAAGCAGCAGTGTTCTGATTTTGTGCAACATGTTCATGAGTGTTTTACAGTTCCTTTTTTTCTTTTTAAAATACTTCATTTTTTAGAACAGTGTTAGGTTCACAGGAAAATTAAACACAAAGTACAGAGCATCCTCATGACCCCCTCCTCCCACATGTGTACAGCCCCCCCCCCCATTATCAATATACTCAATGTTTGTTACATTTGTTACAATTGATGAACCTACCTTGACACATTATCACCCAAAGTCTATAGTTTACATTAGGGATTACTCTTCCTCTTTTGACATTCTGAGTTTTGACAAATGTATAAATGACATGTATTTGCCATGACTGTATCATAGAGAATAGTTTCAGTGTCCTAAAAATCTTCTGTGCTTCACCTATTCGTTCCTTGTAGTTCTTTTAAAAACTACAGAATTACAGAAATTCGTCGTGGGAAGGTATTGAGAGATTATTTGGTGCAGCAAACCAGTTGGGAAGGATGTAGTCAAAATTCCCAGTCTCTTCAGCTGAATTTGTCCCTTTCTTTCTTTTGTTGATTGTCATAAATATAAGCATTTTTTTTCTTTTTTTGTAGTTTCCCCTTTCTTACCACAAAGGGTCATTTCCTAACTTAGAATGAGCCAGGCAACAAATTTTAGAATTTAACAAGAAAACAGTTATTTCCTTAGTTCTTGTTTTATGAAAAATAAGTTATTTATATTAGAAAAATTTAAAAATATACAAATAGTAGAGAGCACAAAAATAGTTATCCATTCCCCAGTTACCAACACTTGGCCAATCTCTTTTCATTTGTCCTTCCACTCATTGCCACCCCCTTAACTGCATTATTTCAAAATGATTTATAGATATATCATTTTATTTGTATGTATTTTAAAAGATACACTTTAAGAGAAAAAAATTATCACAACCATTATACTGTAATACTGCTAATTCCTTAATACCACCAGATTGGTAATCATTATTTAAATTCCCCCAATAATTCATAACTTTTTCTTTATTGTCAGTTTGTTTGAATCACATCCAAACAGTATCCACACATTGCATTTGTCTCTTTCAATCTATAGCTTCCCTCCCTTGTTTGCTTCTTCTCCCTTGCTTCTTCTTTGTTGAAGAAACTGGACTATTCATCTTGTTTCTTGCACACAGGATTTGCTTATTGCATCTCTGTGGTATTTAATGCATTTTTCTCCTGTGAACTGGCAGGTTACTTAAGAAGTTTGATCTGATTCCAGGGTGTTTTTTTGTTCTGTTTTGTTTTGGTAAGAATACTTCATTGATGGTACACTGCATTTTAATTTCTACTAAGTTTCTGTTTGTCTATTTTATGATGTTAGTGGCCATTATTTCGTTAGGGGTTTGCAAAGTGGTGATATTCTAATGTGTTTATCTTTCTTCATTTATTAGTTGGACTATTTCTATAAAGAGAAACTTATCAATAACCTGAGGTATAGTTTGTATAGAAAAGGCAGATTAAATGCTTGATTTCTTTCCCTTTAACCGCTAGTTTTCAGAATAATGAATTGGTTCACTAGCATCCTCCAAAGGAGACCAATCAGGTTTTGTTTGGTTTGTTTCTTTAATATCATTATGAACTCCTAGATTTTTTAACCTATTTCATGTGTTTCAATCAAATACAGTTATTATTCTACTGATACTCAAACTTGAAAATCACCATAAAATTTAAAAATTGTATCACTTAAAGGTGGTTTTATTATAAATTATTTCCCCCTAGAATTTATGAAAATGAAAAGCTTCCCTGTGTAGTTACACATGAATGTTCAGGAGTATACCTACCATGTAAAGTGGGTTGAACTTTCACAGGGGTTTATTTATGCATATACACTGAAATAAATGTGTTAGTGTGGTTATCTAAGACAGTCTATGATACTCTAAGGAATGAATACATGTTCACCTTTATACAAGAAATCTGGAGTCATGTACTTTGGGCTAGGGTTGCTTCTGAGGTGGCAGCCATTCTGCAGCAGCCCTTCTGTACCTTAAAAACCAGCACAGTCTCCTTGGAACACATTCTTCAGCTCTGACCACAGGAGACCAGCTGGGCTAACACTCAGTGATTTGTCAGATTTACCTGCATTTTCATAGTATTTCTATCAAAGAAATTTGTCCTAAGTGTCAAATTGCTGATTTTTCCAGTAACTAAAAGGTTTCATGTGGACTTCTGTTGTTATTTACATGTATATGGAGAAAATTGCAATCTGTGAGTAATTTGAGAAATTTCAACACTTTCAGCAGTAGTGATCTAGAAATTAAATGGGTTTCAAATACAATGTTCCAGTGCAGTGCCGCATATATAATGTATGTGCAGCATATGCTGAGGTCTTTTTCAAAACATTTACATTAAACCTGTCAGGTATTTATGAATAGCAAAAATTAATTTCCCCTAGTTCTGTCATCAGTTAGAGAAATGGATTTCAGCATGGAAGACTGTCAATATTTCCTGCATACTAGAACAGCTCACTTCAATGTCATAGTATTACACCAGGTGGCCTTCTAAGAGTCAGCTTAATGTGATTTCAAATGATAGGGTAGTGAATGTGAGGGAAATTAAAATAGTATCATACTTATGATTTAAAAGCAAGTTAATTACAAGGGCTTGTTAATAAACAAAGAAAAATTCTGAATGTATTATCTGTTATATAGCATATCAATAACAAGTGTGATGCTTTGAAAACAAAAAACTCTACCACTATGTGACTTTGAGATGACTTAAAAATATTTAATTAAATTGTTGACAAATGTGTTAATCTACTAATGGCCTTATAGCATTTGAAAGAATTTTTAGATATTCATTTAGCTCTTAAGGCACTTCTAAAAGCATTGTTTAACTGAAAAGATTAGCTACATTGTTGGCATTTTATCTAGAAAATCACTGATGTGTTTGCTGTGAATGATCCTAACAGCACTGTACTTTGTCAATGTTCAGTCAATGCATTTTTCCCAATCGGGTACTTTTAAGGTTCTTATAGGGCCAAAGCATGTGCAATATCACTATTACTAAAATGAGAGACATTTTATTTGATGAATTATTTAGTATTTTTTGATGGTTTTGGGTGATGTGCCTCCACCCTGCCCCTATCTTATATATTAGGGGGAGGAAAAGGGAGGATATCTGATGCATTTTAAGAAATTATTAACGTTCTGATTTTTAAAAATATTGTGAAATTTTAATTTTAGAAGGTATTAAAAATGTCCACTATTTATGAACCTGTGAAAATTTCATAATATTTTTAAATCTAGAGGTTTAGAAACAATTATTATTAATAATTTCATAGTGTGGTAGCCTTAGAAGGAACAAGATATGATGACAAAGATCTTCCCCATTGTGCATATGAACTTGCTGGGAGTCTGATATATATATACATATATGTATTAATAATTAATATGAGGAACACAGGCTGATTTTTTAAATATATGGCTTATGAAAATCTCATTTTCTAGTCACAAGACAAACTGAGGATAATTCTTCCCTTCCTGGATTATACTGTTATGTAGTTAATAAACCTATTCTTTTAAAGATTATTTCAAGGAATTTTAATAGTTTTTGTTCTGCGCGGTTTTTAAGATTAAAAATTAAGCCCAATTCTTAAGAGGTTGCCTTTTAAATAATGGGTCTAATACACCAGGGTCACATAGAGTTCAAATCCTGGAAATATATGGCTCTACTTACACAACGTTTTATGTGGTTTTTCTTTTAAAAATTGTCCTCTTTAATATACTGTGGAATAATGTGAGTCTGTACAATCCCATTTTAAGGACTTCTTTGTAAAATCCAGCTGTTTTAAGGTTCTTTAAATATCCTGGCTGACAACCACAACTGACACTGCTGTGCTGATGTGGATATAAGAAATTTCATTTGAATGAGAAGGACAGCTGACATTATATTCATAGTTTTATCAGCGGCCATAGGGTTATTAGTCATGGGAGCCAATACTTTGTTCTGGTCATGTATCCCTTTTTTCATAGGGCTTTCCACTTTATGATTATTGTTTGTTAACATTTTATCTTTTAAGTAAATAAACAGTGATACTGCAAATCTCTGTGGTACAAATCTGCATCTGTTTTACTTGAGGATTGTCTATGTTATTGCAATTTTGATAAACCTTTGAATCTCATGATATTACACTTGTATTTCCTTGGTTATATACAGATTCCTTTTAAGAAAACTAAGGCAAATATTTTAAAATACATTTAAAAAGAACATAATTTTTGCATGTTTTGTCTTATCACAGTTTTAAAGTGCTATAATTCTGAGGCTTCTTCTAGAGGAGGTTAAGCATTACAAAATAAAAGGCAGGAAAGGACAATTTTAGGAACTGTGCAACTAAGTTAAAACAAATATTATATCCTAGTAATTGAGGATTAGGACTCTTGATTCCATTCCTTGTAGTGCTCTCCTATAGACCTCTGTACAGAATGTGTATATGTAGGTATGTACATGTATTTTCTGAATACGGCTACTTGCTGGTATAGTGTCATTTTAATCAACATTTTAATCTAGTCGTTATTAAAATGCTACTTACAATGTAGAGAGAGGCTGGCTATTTGCTTTTAAAGTGTCAACAAAAATGCTGGAACAGTCACATGTTTTTGTTGATCAAAGAATGTACAAATGTCTAGGAGATCACAATCACTATTACCATATATGGATTATGTTGACAAAATACCTGGGTGTGTGAATTCAAAAGGGAATAAATCTGATGATCTGTTAATTTGCAAACAGAAAATTATTATAAGAACTGTGCAGCTGGAGTGAATTCAAAAGTTAAGGAAAGTTTGAATATCTGCTTGCATGCTATAGCACTTGAAATACATTTAGACCTGTGTCACAGACATTGAGTTCCTACTATAGTCAGCTTCTGTATTTGGTGTATTAGATGAGTATGACAATTTGCCTCCCCTCAAACAGCTTAAACCATACTGGGGAAAAATGGCATGGAAATAAACAGTGACAATGCATAATAGCTGTAATAGGATGCATACTTTCCAATGGGAAAGCAAAAGGGGGCAAATTTATTTTTATGTGGAAGCCAGAAAAGACTTCACCAGTAAGGCACATTTGTAAGGGAGGCACAAAATGGAAATAATGAAGCTGAAAAAATTTATGAGGACTTCATAAGATCATGTTAAACAATTTTACTTTTATCATGAAGGTAACTGTATGCCATTAAAGTTTTTTTTTTTTTTTGAGACAGAGTCTCGCTGTCACCCAGGCTGGAGTACAGTGGTGTGATCACAGCTCACTGCAACCTCCGTCTCCCAGGTTCAAGCGATTCTCCTGCCTCAGCCTCCTGAGTAGCTGGGATTACAGGCATGCACCACCACACCCGGCTAATTTTTGTATTTTTTAGTAGAGACGGGGTTTCGTCATGTTGGCCAGGCTGGCCTCGAACTCCTGACTTCAGGTGATTCACCCACTTCCACCTCCCAAAGTGCTGGGATTACAGGCATGAGCCACCGCTCCTGACCTAAAGATTTTTAAACGGAGTAATAGATCACATATCTGTGTTAGAAATACAACTTTAAGATGGCAGATAACTGCATCTTTTTTCTGAGGGGCAAATCCAGTAATCTCATTAAAAAATAATTAATAACAGATTTTTTTTTTTTTGAGACAGAGTTTCTCTTTTGTCGCCCAGGCTGGAGTGCAATGGTGTGATCTTGGCTCACTGCAACCTCTGCCTCCTTGGTTCAAGCAATTCTCCTGCCTCAGCCTCCTAAGTAGCTGGGATTACAGGTGCCCACCACCACACCCAGCTGATTTTTGTATTTTTAGTAGAGACAGGGTTTCACCATGTTGGCCAGGCTGGTCTTGAACTCCTGACCTCAAATGATCCATCTGCCTTGGCCTCCCAAAGTGTTGGGATTACAGGCATGAGCCACTCCATCCAGCCAAGAATATTATATCTGGCAAAATTATTCTTCATAAATGAAGGAGAAATAAATTCTTTCCCAGGCATGCAAAAGCTGACAGAATTCATTACCACTAGGCCCTAGAAGAAATACTTAAGGGTGTCCTAAACCTGGAAGTGAAAGGTTATCTACCATTGTGAAAACATGTGGAAGTATAAAGCTCACTGGTAAAGCAAACACACAAATGAGGAAGAGGAAGGACTCAAATGTTACCGCTAAAGAAAAACACTAAACCACAATGATAAACAATAAGAGATGAAGAAAGGAACAAAGAATATATAAAACATTCAGAACACAATTAACAGTATAACAGGAGCATATCAATAATACCCTCAAATGTAAGTGGATTAAATTTTCCACTTAAAACATAGAGGCTGGCTGAATGAATTACAAAACATTACCTAACTATATGCTGCCTACAAGAAACTCACTTCACCTGTAAAGACATGTATAGACTGTAAGTAAAGGGATGGAAAAATATATTCCATGCAAACAGAAACCAAAAGCAAGCAAGAATAGCTATACTTACATAAAACAGACTTTAAGTCAAAACAGTAAAAAGACACAAAGAAAAGTTATATAATGACAAAGGAATCACTTCAGCAAGAGGATATAACAATTCTTAATATATATGCACCCAACACTGGAGCACCCAGATTATAAAGCAGATATTACTAGACCTAAATAAAGAGATAGACTTCCTATACAATAATAGTTGGGAA
The DNA here is from genome assembly GCF_000001405.40 of Homo sapiens. Classification (NCBI taxonomy): domain Eukaryota; kingdom Metazoa; phylum Chordata; class Mammalia; order Primates; family Hominidae; genus Homo; species Homo sapiens. The sequence continues at coordinate 44,534,280 of NC_000002.12, forward strand.
TTCAGTATTCCACTCATCGTCTAATGCAACTAGCATTAGACAGATCATCCAAACAGAAAATCAACAACGAGACATTGGGTTTAAACTGGACTTTATACCAAATGGGCTTTATAGACATTTATACAACATTTTACCCAACAGCTCCAGAGTGCACATTCTTCTCATCATTATATTGAACATTCTGCAGGATAGAACATATGTTAGGCCAGAAAACAAATCTCAATAAATTTTTAAGAATAGCAATCCTATCAGTATCTTCTCAGATCACAATTAAACTAGAAATCAATAGAAATCAACAATAATTTGAAAACTATACAAATATATGGAAATTAAACAACGTGCTCCTGAATGACCATTGACTAAATGAAGAAATTAACATGAAAATCAAAAAATATCTTAAATGAAAATGGAAACACAACATAACAAAATCCTCAGGATACAGCAAAAGCAGTGCTAAGAGAAGTTTATAGCATTCAATGCCTACATCAAAAAAGTAGAAAGATTTCAAATAAATAATCTAGCAATGCACCTCAAGGAACTTGAAAAGCAAGAACAAACCGAACCTAAAATTACTAAAAGGAAAGAAACAATAAAGATCAAATCAGAACTAAAGAATATAGAGATTATCAAAGAAAACAATAAAAAGGATCAGTGAAATGAAAAGTTGGCTTTTTTAACATATAAAGTTGATAAATGGCTATAACCAAAAATTGCTATAACCAAAGGGGAGAGGGGGAGAGAGAGAGAGAGAGAGACCCAAATAAAATCAGAAATGAGAAAGGAGATATTACAACTGATACCACAGAAATACAAAAGATATCAGAGGCTATTATGAACAACTGTATTCGAACAAACTTTAAAACCTTAAGGAAATGCATAAATTCTGGGGCATACAACCTACCAAGATTGAATCAGGAAGAAATAGAAAACCTGAATAGACCAATAACAAGTAATGAGATTGAATCAGTAATAAAAAGTCTCCCAACAAAGAAAAGCCCAGGATTAATGGCTTCACTGCCTAATTCTACCAAATGTATAAAGAAGGACTCACTCCTCAAACCATTCCAAAAAATGCAAGAGGAGGGAATACTCCCCGACTTGTTCTATGAGGCCAGCATTACCCTGATAACAAAACCAGTCAAGAACAAAACAACAGCAACAAAAACTACAGGCCAATATTTCTGATGAACATAGGTGCAAAGGTTCTCAACAAAATTCTAACAAACTGAATTCTACAGCACATCAAAATGATAATACACCATGATCAAGTGGGATTTAAAACAGGGATGCAAAGATTGCTCAATATATGCAAATCAACAAACGTGATTCATCACACCAACAGAATGAAGGACAAAAATCATATGACCATTTCAATAGGCACAGAAAAAGCATTAGATAAAATTCAGCACCCATTCATAATAAAAACTCTCAGCAAACTTGCTCTAGAAGCAACATACATCAACATAATAAAGGCCATATATGACAAGCCCATGTAACATCATACTGAGTGGGGGCAAAGCTGAAATCCTTTCCTGTAAGAACTAGAATAAGACAAGGTTGCCTACTTTCACCACTCCTATTCAACATAGGAACAATCAGGCAAGAGGAAGAATTAAAAGCATCCAGATTGGAAAAGAGAAAGTTACATTGTTCTTTGCAGACAAAAATAATTTTATATTTAGAAAAACCAAAAGACTCCACCAAAAAACTCATTAAACTGTTAAATTCAGTAAAGTTGCAGGATACAAAATCAACATACAAAATCAGTAGCATTTCTATACACCAATAATGAACTAGCTGAAAGAGAAATCAAATAAGTAATCTCATTTGCAATAGCTGCAAAGAAAATATCTAGACATAAATTTAACAAAGGAAGTGAAAGACCTGTATTAGAAAAAGTATAAAGTACTGATGAAAGAAATTGAACAGAACACAAACAAATGGAAAGATATTCCATGTTTGTGGGTCAGAAGAATTAATATTGTTAAAATGACCATACTACCCAAAGAAATCTGTAGATTCAATGCAGTCCCTATTAAAATACCAACTTTTTTTTTTTTTTTAAGGTGGAGTCTCACTCTGTTGCCCCGGCTGGAGTGCAGTGGTGTGATCTTGGCTCATTGCAACTTCTGCCTCCTGGGTTCCAGTGATTCTCCTACCTCAGCCTCCCAAGTAGCTGGGATTATAGGTGCCCGCCACCGTGCCCAGCTAATTTTTTTTGTATTTTTAGTAGAGATGGGGTTTCACCATGTTGGCCAGGCTGGTTTCATACTCCTGACCTCAAGTGATCCACCCGCCTCAGCCTCCCAAAGTGCTAGGATTACAGGTGTGAGCCACTACACCTGGCCTCCAACGTTATTTTTCGTAGAAATAGAAAAAATAATCCCCAAATTTGTATGGAACCAAAAAAGAGCCTGAATAGGCAAACCAATCCTGAGCAAAAAGAACAAAGCTGGAGGCATCATACTACCTGACTTTAAAGTATATTACAAGGATATAGTAACCCAAACAGCATGGTATCAGTATAAAAATTGACGTATAGACCAATGGAACAGAATAGAGAACCCAGAAGTAAATGCACATATTTACAGCCAACTGATTTTTGACAAAGGCAACAAGAATATACATTAGTAGGACAGTCTCCTCAATAAATGGTACTGGGAAAGCTGGATATTTATATGCAGAAGAATGAAACTGGACCCATATCTCTCTCCACGTACCAAAAAGCCAACTCCAGATGGATTAAGGACTTAAATATCAGATCCCAAACTATGGAACTATTAGATGAAAACATAGGGGAAACAGTTTAGGACACTGGTCTAGGCAAAGATTTTATAGTTAAGACCTCCAAAGCATAGACAACAAAAACAAAAATGTACAAATGGGACAATATTAAACTAAAAAGCCTCTGCACAGCAAAGGAAACAATCAACAGAATAAAGGCATAACCTTCTGAATAGGAGAAAATATTTGCAAACTATTTATCTGACAAGGGACTAATATCCAGAATATACAAGGAATTCAAACAACTCAACAGTAAAACAAACAAACAAACAGTTCCATTAAAAAGTGAGAAGGGACATGAATATACATTTATCAGTAGAAGACATACAAATGGCCAGTAGGTATATGAACAAATGTTTCACATGACTAATCATCAGGGAAATGCAAATGAAAACCACAATGAGATATTGTTGTATCTTACGTCAGTTAGAATGGCTGTTATTAAAAAGACAAAAAATAACAGATGCTGGTGAGGATGGAGAGAAAAGGGAACTCTTTTTTTTTTCTTTCTTTCTTTCTGAGACAGGATCTCATTTCTGTCACTCAGGCTGAGTGCAATGGTGCAATTATGGCTCACTGCAGCCTCGACCCCAGGGCTCAAGTGATCCTCCCACCTCAGCCTCCCAAGTAGCTGGTACTACGGGCATGTGCCAACACGGTCAGCTAATTTTTTATATTTTGTAGAAACAGAGTCTTGCAATGTTGTCCTGGCTGTTCTTGAACTACTGGACTCCAGTGATTCTCCTGCCTTGGTCTCCCAAAGTGTTGGGATCACAGGCGTGAACCACTGTGCTGTGTAAATTAGTACAACCTCTATGGAAAACAGTATGGAGGTTCCTTAAAGAACTAAAAGTAGATCTACCATTCAATCCAGCAGTCCCACTACTGGGTATCTACCCAACGGAAAAGAAATCATATGAAAAAGGCACATGCACACATGTGTTTATAGCAGCACAGTTCCAAATTGCAAAGATATGGAACCAATCTAAGTGCCCACCAATCAATGAGCAGATAAAGAAAATGTGGCCGGGCGTGGTCGCTCACACCTGTAATCCCAGCACTTTGGGAGACCGAGGCGGGTGGATCACGAGGTCAGGTGTTCAAGACCACCCTGGCCAAGATGGTGAAACCCTGTCTCTACTAAAAATACAAAAATTTAGCCAGGTGTGGTTGTGGGCACCTGTAATCCCAGCTACTCGGGAAGCTGAGGCAGAGAATTGCTTGAACCCGGGAGGTGGAGGTTGCAGTGAGCCAAGATTGTGCCACTGCACTCCAGCCTGGGCGACAGAGCGAGACGCCATCTCAAAAACAAAAAAAAAAAAGAAAAGAAAAGAAAAAAGAAAATGTAGTATATATACACCATGGCATACTACTCAGCCATAAAAAGGAATGAAATAATGTTTTTTGCAGCAACTTGGATTGAGTTGGAGGCCATTTTTTAAGTGAACTAACTCAGGAATGGAAAACCAAATATGGTTTATTCTCACTTATAAGTGGGAACTAAACTATGAGAATGCAAAGATACAGAGTGATATAATGGACTTCAGGGACTCAGGAGGAGAGGTTGGGGTGGGGGTGATAGATAAAAGACTGCATATTGGCCACAATATATACTGCTAGGGTGATGGGTGTGCTAAAATCTCAGAGTTCACCACTGTGGAATTCAACCATGTAACCAAAAACCACTTGTACCCCCAAAGCTATTCAAATAATCATTTAAAAAAAGTTTTTTAGCTTCAAACCCAAGGAAAAGTTGCATACCATTTACTTACACTTGTATGCCCTTTATAATAATACCAATTATTACATCTGTCCCATTTATTATATACCAAATAATTGGTATACCAATTATTTGCATCTACACTTTTCTTTCTCTCTCTTTCTGTGTGTGTGTCTGTGTGTGTGTGTGTGTGTGTGTGTGTGTGTGTGTGTGTGTGTGTATGTATATAATACTTCTCGGCTAGGCGCAGTGGCTCACGCCTGTAATCCTAGCACTTTGGGAGGCCGAGGTGGGTGGATTGCCTGAGCTCAGGAGTTCGAAACCAGCCTGGGCAACATAGTGAAACCCCATCTCTACTGAAAATACAAAAACTTAGCCTGGCATGGTGGCGGATGCCTGTAATCCCAGCTACTCAGGAGGCTGAGGCCAGAGAATCACTTGAACCCAGGAGGTGGAGTTTGCAGTGAGCCAAGATTGTGCCACTGTACTCCAGAAGTCTCAAAAAAAAAAAAAAAAAACCCAAAAAACTTCTCTATATCTCTTTATATCTTTTAAATCTATTTTAATCTGTCTATATTGTTTTTCTGAACCATTTGCAAGTAAGTTGCAGACATGATATCCCTTTACTTAAAAGTATTTCAGTGTGAATTTTCTAAGAACAAGAATTTCCTCTTATGTAACCACAGTACAATTATCAAAATCAGGAAATTTGATGTTGGTGCAAAACTGTGATCTAATCCTTAAACCATATTCAGATTTCATCAATTGCCTCAATGATAGTCTTTATAGCTATTTTTCTTATGCTAGTGTCCAGTTCACAATCATGCCTTTCCTTTGCTTGTTGTGTCTATTTACTCTCTTTTAACTTTGAACAGTTCCTCAGCCTTTCTTTGGTCTCTTTTGCCATTGACAGTTTTGAGGAGGCCAGTTATTTTGTTGAATGTCCTTCATTCTGGGTTTGTCTTCTGTTTTCTCATGACCATATGCGGGTTAGGCACTTTTGGCAAGCATATTACCAGAAATGATGATGCACTTTATTGGCATGTCATATCAGGGAATGACATTGATGTGTCTCATTATTGGTGATCTTGACTGTGATCAATTGGTGATGACAAAGGTGATGGCTTCCAGGTTTTCCAGTGTAAAGTTACTGTTTTTCTTTTTATAACTAATAAGCAATCATGAGGCGATACTTTGAAACTATTGAAACATATTGTTCCTCATTAAACTTTCAGTTTTAGCATACATTGACAAATAATCATGCCCAAATCAATTATTAATATAATTGTTGCCAAATTGTCCCTTCTACATTCATTAATTGGCATTCTGTTATAAGGAGAGGCTTCCCATTTTCCCTCTCTTATATATGTATATACATATATATATATGTACATATGTTTTAGTATGGATTAATTGATTCCTGTGTTATTCAGTGGATTAAAATCTTTGCTTTCATTATTTATTTTGATGTTCAAATTGTCCCAGATTTTGTCTGTGAGAACCCCTTCAAGCTGGTCCCTTTGTCCTTTTATCTTACCATTCTTTGTGTACTTTTTAACTTTCTAATACAACAGTGTGTTCCAGGATCATCTTGTACTTTCTCTGACATAGCCATGGAACCAGTGAGTCCTCCAGGGAACATTGATTCTTTTTAGTGGAAAGTGTTATTTAAAAACTCAGATACGAGGCCAGGCCAGTGGCTCATGCCTGTAATCCCAGCACTTTGGGAGGCCGAGGTGTGCGGATCCCTTGAGTTCAGGCGTTCAAGACCAGCCTGGGCAACATGGCAAAACCTCATCTCTAAACAAAACACAAAAATTAGCCGGACATGGTGGTACATGCCTGTAGTCCCAGCTACTTGGGAGGCTGAGGTGGGAGGAACGCTGGACCCTGGAAGGGCAAGGCTGCAGTGAGCTGTCATTGTGCCACTGCACTCCAGCCTGGGCAACACAGCAAGACCCTATCTCAAAAAAGAAACTCAGATATGGGTTCTAGATATACTCATTGTTACTGAGATGTAATTGCTTTTAGGCCCCCAGAGGGGACAAAGCTAAAAAAATTTATATTTATATATGTGGATCTGTGATCCATTTGAAGTTTATTCTTATGCATGATGTAAGATATGTGTCTAATTACATTTTTTCCAAATGGCTCAGCAATTATCCTAGCATCATTTACCAAAAAGTTCATCTTTGTCTCAATGATTTGACATGTCATTTTATTATATACTAATTTCTATATGTACATGGGTATATTTCTGTACCTTTTGTTCTATTCTATTGGTCAGTCTATTTGTGTGCCAGTATCACAATGTTTTAGTTATAGAAGCTTAATGTTTTAATGACAGTATGGCTAGTCCCATCTCATAGGTTTTCATTATCAGTATTTTCCTGACTAAACTTGCATGTTGTTGTTTCATATGAACTTTAGTACCAACTTAGTTCCATTTTAAAAAAAGTGATATTTTTATTGAGATTGCATTGAATTTATAAATTAGCTTAGAGAGAATAGACATCTTTATGCTGTTGAGTCATTCTGTCTTATAGTAGGAGATGTCTTTCCATTTGTTCAAGTCTACTCTTGGGGCTTTCAGAAGTCTTTAAAAATTTTCCTCACTTAGGTTTTGCCATTTCTTTTTATGTTTATCTATATTTTATTATCTTTGTTGCTATTAAAAGGAAGTTTTCCGGTTATTATGTATGTACAGTATTTGAAGGCTATCAGTTTCTGAATATAATTTTATATCCTGCTACCTCACTGAATTTTTACTGTTGAAGGATACATATATATATGCCTGGGTAACATGGTGAAATCCCATCTTGACAAAAAATACAAAAATTAGCTGCGCATAGTGGTGCATCCTTGTAGTCCCAGCTGCTTGGGAGGCTGAGGTAAGAGGATCACTGGGTCCCAGGAGGTTGAGGCTGCAGTGAGCCATGAGTGTGCCACTGAACACCAGCTTGGGTGGCAGAGTGAAACTCTGTCTCAAAAAAAAAAAAAAAAGGATACATATATATTTTTACTAAGACTATTACTTCAGAAAAGCTGTAAAAACAGCCATATCGGCCGGGCACGATGGCTCACGCCTATAATCTCAGCATTTGGGAGGCTGAGGCAGGCAGATCACCTGCAGTCAGGAGTTTGAGACCAACTTGACCAACATGGAGAAACCCTGTCTCTACTAAAAATACAAATTAAACCGGGCATGGTGGCACGCGCCTGTAAATCCCAGCTACTTGGGAGGCTGAGGCAGGAGAATCGCTTGAAACCGGGAGGCGGAGGTTGCGGTGAGCCGAGATCGTGCCATTGCACTCCAGCCTGGGCAACAAGAGTGAAACTCTGTCTCAAAAAAAAAAAAAAAAGGCCATATCTTTGTCTCTAACAGTATAGTCAGCTCAAATCTAAGTCTTCCCCTGTGAACATAAATTATTTTCAGATACTGTTTGGTGCTTAAGGAGGCACATAATTTCTTTCAAGTCATTTGGAGTTTATGCAGCAAGCATAGAGTTGTCATTGTACAAATAAATGTTTTCCATATAGGGCCCCCAAAAATCAACTGGAAAATTCTCAAACCAGTACTTACTGAGATATTTCCATGCATAAACACTGCTAGGCATTTGGGTGTTGCAACAAAAAAAATAGAAGATGCTGACAGCAAAGACCTCCACTCAAGTTGCTTAGAGTCTAACTCAGGAGGTAAGACACATACACATACACACACACACACACACACACACACACACACACACACACACTCTCTCTCTCTCTCTCTCTTTCTCTCTCCATATATGTATATATTTCTATACATGTGTAAAGAAACTTGGCTGGCAATTCAAGGCATTATATAGAAAGATCTAAATGAGTTAGTTGCAAGATAAGAAGAGGTCAGAGAAAGAAGGAAGAGGGAGAGGGGAGGTTTCCTGGAAGAGGCAGAACCACTGTCAGGCCTAGAAGCAGGGACAGTATTCCGAGAAACTGGGGTCTCAGGATAGCAGTTATGGGGTACTTAAGACAGAGACCAGATAAAAGATCATCCCAGAATGGCTTCATCTGGTGAGCTGTGTGTGGGAGATAAAACTGGAAACCTAGACTAATTTAGGTCAGATGGCGGGAGATCCTGGGTGTCAGGTTAGAGAGCTTAGACTTTACTTCCCTTCATCCTCCATTCCTCACTATTATTAAGCTTTTAACAGTTATACTTACTTATTAAAATAGAGAACCGAGTTTAAGTATCATATAGCTTCTTAGATGCAAATTATCGTTTACTAGTATCTTTAACTAGGGGAATAAAGTAGGAATAACCTGGAAATTATGTTCATTTATATGTGATTTTCCTGCTTTTTAAATTAATGCTTTGAAGCAACTGGGGCACACTTTCTCCCAATTAAAGAGAAATCTCATTACTTACTGAAGACCTTAAGAGAAAAGCTGAGAATCTACAGAAGTGCCTTCTTTTAGTGTAAATAGTGGCTCATTTAGTGCCTTTTAGAGCCTCTATTTCTTCCAGTATGATTTCTGCCGTGTAAGTGTAGCCACCAGCACAAATGAAAAGGATGCAAAGACATTTCCCTGTATTAAAGCAATGAATTAATAAAGAGAGCTCTGTTCTGGATTAGTTATGCTTTTAATTTTAATATAAAATAGTCTCTTTAGAATCAAATGCCCTGTGGGACCTATATCTAGAAGGAGGAAGAATGAGCCCCCAGGATTAAGGCTACAAAGAACTGACTGTGGTGCTGAATGTAAACATCAGCTGAGATTAACTATGCTAGTATTTTTATTAGTATTGTTATTATTTTTCTTTATGTGCCGGGTAGAGTTTTGAGTGGTCCAACCCAACCCTATTTTTCTTATAAGCCATATTATTATTTTTTGGTGCATAATTTTTGAGAATGCAAGGATTTTCAGGAAAGCTAGGTGGTTGGTTTTACAAGATAGAAAATTAGAAAATACCAAATTTTTACACAACATAGTTGATGTAATGTAGTAATCATGTATTTTATTTCTCTGGAAATTGTATCCTCACTTATGAAAGCCAGAATACTATTTTAGTAGCATTTATCTATTTAACTTTCATTGTCTGTTGACAGATGTATTTAGAAAATCAAAGTTAATGTAGGATAACCTGGTCGAGTTAGCATTTATTTTAGTTTCTGTTCAGAAGGTAGCAAATATTGGTTTAACCAAAGCTCAGGGGCTAAGATAGGTCAAATGAAGTTTATGAGATTCCATACACTTTCTGGACAAAAATCTACTATACTACTCTTGGAAAAATAATTTGAAAAAGACGTTTTTGAGTAGGCTTAATGTTCTTAATTTAGTGCTCCCCAAAAGAGGAGTATGAGAAAAACATTTAAATTTTGGTATTATGTTAAATACATCCCATGTTTATACCTAAAATAGTCAATGAAATTCTTTTCCTGTGTCAATGATTATTTCAGTGATTACCTGGACATTTGGGAAAGTTAGCAATTAATGCCAAGGGTTATTTATTTTGTCACTGGTTCAGAAATGCCTGTTTATACAAATCAAGACTTCCAGCAGCTTGAGCCTTCTTTTTCTTTTTGAGCTGGTAGAGTCAATGGTTAAAGGACAAAAATTCTACAATTGATTGAGTTACAAATGAATACAGTGTTAATTAAGCCAGGCCATTGTCTTTAAAGTGGAGTCAGTACATTGGAAGTCAGATTTCTCTTGCTGTTTAGTCAAACTGCCTAAGGCTGCAACTGCTTCCTTATTAGGTTACTAGCTTTGGGGAGATGTCATTGTTTGCTGCTGTAGCTAGGCTTTCTGTTAAAAATCACAGCATGAGGCTTAAACTGCTGCAACCATTATCCAGTGCTAACATGTCACTAAAGGTCTGCTAATAGAACAAGAGGAAAAATATCAATCTTTAATTTTAGATCAGCCAAGTAATCTGTAGCACCTGTTCATTTTCTCTCATCAACCCATTTAAAACAAGACTAGAGTGATTCTTTGATGGGCAGGCTATAAGATTCTAATATTTTTTGCCTTTTCTTATCAGAGGAAAATTTAGACTTTAAGACTAAAGAATAGAAAAAATAAACTGTAAGTACATTTCCTTTAAAAATTTTATTTAAGAGGTAGAATTATCTGATGTAATCCAATGATGACTAGGTTATTATAAATAATTTTTTAAAGAATAATTTTGTTTAATTTTCTGAAATTTACTTTTTAGATAAAAGCTAATCAATGAGGACATAATACACTGGTCCAAACAGCAAATTTTCCATAGAGAGCAGAAACTCTTTCAAGCTTTAGATGACAACCAACTTACATTTACCTATTCAGATATAATAAACAGAATTAGAACTTAGCAGCTGCTAGCTTTCCCTTACATAGACCTCAAGGCTCTGTCACGGTATGGGGCAAAATTAAAGAAAACATTGTGTCCTGCTCTTAGGAGAGGTGAAAGGATTGCTTCTGCAAACCACCATTAGCAATGCGAGTTCCAAAACATTCCCAGTGATGCTAGACCAAGTACTACACTTAGCAAATAAACATATAATAAGAGAAACATAAAACTTAGTAAACCTTTACAGTCCCCAAGTATATCCATCTTTTATTTAAATTAAAAAATCAGTTACTACTCTGAGCCTGTCTCTTTACTAGGCATTGAGAACATCAAAATGAGTCATAATACATGTACCCTGCTCTTCCTCGTGGAACTTATGGTCTATTATTGATCCTCTGTATAAAACCTTTCTCAGAGCTAGTACACATGCAGTTTTTGTTTTGTTTTGTTTTGTTTTTGTTTTTGTTTTTTTTGCTGGTGAGGAAGTTGAGATACAGGGAGGTTGTGACTTGTCTATGGTCACAAGATAAGTGGCAGAGTAAGGATTAGAAGAATCCGGTGTTCTAACTTCTAGACTCGGTCTTTTTTTTTTTTTTTTTAACTATATCAAGATGAAGATACCGGAGGGGAGAAGGGGATTATGAAGGCACAGTTTTAATGGACACCTTGTAGAATAATACAAGAGTGGAGTGACAGTATGGGAGCCTTTGATTAAAAAATTAATTCTAATGATGAAAATCTAGAAGCCAGATATAATTTAAGTATCTTCAAAAGGAGGGATCATCAACTCATTTAAAACAAGTCTACAGTGATCCTTTGATGAACAAGCTATAAGATTCTAATATTTTTTGCCTTCTCTTATCAGAGGAAAATTTAGACTTTAAGTAAGACTAAAGAATAGAAAAAATAAACTGTAAGTAAATTTCTCTTAAAAATTTTATGTAAGAGGTAAGATTAGCAAATTGCATCTTTTATATAGAGAGTTATCTTTTGTCTATAACATTCATCAGTATCTGATCATATTCTTTTGGATCTGGCTATCTTAGACTGCTAGGACACACACACACACACACACACACACACACACACACACACACACACACATACATGCACATACCCCTATACCTATGACCAATTTCACATCTAAGTTCTGACATTTAGCCCTAAAATCTCCTTCTTAGCCCAAAGCCGCTGTTGGCCTTGTCCTGGAAATTCCAACTTTTAGCATTTTCTTCAGTGGTCACTTGTGTGATGCATCTCTCCTGAGGTCTACATCAGAGCAGGCTCAGCCTCATTCTGCCACGACCATTTCCATCATCACAAGTACTTGATCTGTTTCACGTTTTATGGAATCGATAAATCTCATCCCTAAAGAGTCCAGCAGGCCTTTGATTCCTGACCTGACATTTGCTAATGCTATTCCTGATGACCTGCCACTACGGATCTGCAGCACTGCACTCTTGTGTTTGACAACACTCATAATATGAATCAATATTCAGCATTCAGTAAGTGAGCTGGGGAGTCATTTCACTGCTGCAAAAGGCTGCGTTGCCCCTGGGCAGCTGTCAGAAATGGGTAGTTATTAATAGCCCTCTCTTTTCACTTAGCATAGTCAGTAGGGGTCAGGCATGAAATGATTTAATCAGTTTATGATATCTGTGACAGAGAGCACTTAAAATGTAATCACAAAATTTAGGTAGAAGTGTCCCTGGGCTGTTGTAATGTTTTTCTCACTTAATTTTCCCTAATGCTGATACAGTGTAGTGCACACTGAGAGACTGACCATACAACAAAATGACATATGAGTTGGTGTTGGTTTCATTTCTCTCTCAGTAAAGTTGCCTTTTTAGTGGGGGTTTTTACTTCACAACATAGACCACAAATCCTAAGGGTAAGTGAGTATAAATCCCTTGGGTTGGCTTGCTTGGCTCTGCAAAATGTGTCCAAAATGTGTTGAGGGGTCCTGAGGGTGGGGAAGAACTTGATTGAGCAGAAAAATATCAAGCTTAGGTTTTTTGTTATTGTTATTTTCTGTATCCTCAAAGAAAATGTTAATGTGCTAGGATTCAGAGGACATTTTCCAGGTACACAAACCTAGTTGAACAATATCAGTAGTCTTATTGGGTCCTCTAGCAGTCACTTGGAAATAAGCTCAGCAGAAGTAAAAGTAAAAACTGTTCTATGCTGATAGTTGGAAAGACAGTACCTCAGCAGGGATTGGTCAAGCTGGGAATTCAGGGTTCAAGTAAGAAGAGTGGCTCTAAAAAATGTTAGATGATGCTGACGTGGTGGTGCATGCCTGTGGGGCTACTCCGAAGGCCGAGGCAGGAGGATCACCTGAGACCGGGAACTTGAGGCTGTAGTGCACCATGATCATGTCTGTGAATAGTCACTGCACTCCAGCCTGGGCAACATAGTAAGACCTCATCTCTAAAAAACAAGAAAGATATGATAGGTGAAAGATGACCCTAAACTTAAAAGGCAGTGAAAAAAATCATCACAGGTGTAAAAGTTAGCAATGCATGGAACAAGATTAGTACAATGTTTAGGTCTTGGGGTCTGGAATACCCAGGTTCAAATGCCATCTCTGTACTATCATTTCCTCATTTGAAATAATACCCATTTCATAGGGTTACTATGAGAATTAAATACGAGCTTATGTAATATATCTGACACATAGGAGAAGTTCAAATAACATTACTTCTCTCTTTCCTTATCTCTAACGGCCTAAATTTGGTTAATTATAATGCAAAAGGGAGGGCAAGTTTTGAGCTGAAGCTGCAGTGGAAAGGGATCATCAAGACAGCTGTCCTTGAGTGTCCCTCCTGCAGTACTGTCTCTCATTGGCTGCTTGCCCATCAGAGGCACACTGATCACTCTAAATATCCTGGTAGAGAGTGGGGAAAAACTTGGCCCTGGACATCTTCCTGCAGATTTAGGGAGACAGAAGAAAGAAAAAAGCACAGAATATGCTGAGTTCAGATTTGTGATTCTAATGTTAATTAATGCTTGCCTTCAAATGGGCTTAGTTCTTTTATTCAACAAGTATTTACTTAGCATCCTACTATGTGCTTTCTATGTGCTGGCAAAATTTATGGGAACAACCAGCTCGAAGTCCCCTCCTGCCTCATTCCTGACTCTGTTGGGTATCATAGGATGAACATTAGACAAAGACATACGCCTTCTGTGTTTCTCTGTGAATCCAGAGCCTTAAAAGCTCTGGCATTGTCTAAGACCCACTTATCTCTAAGTGCTTTGGTTTGTACTGGTTCTTTATCTTTCTAAGCTAGAAAGCCATGGTCTCACATGAAACCACAAGCCCTGATAACAGGTGTCTCCTGTGGTAGGCAGAATTCTAAAATGGCCCCCAAGATTCCCGGCCCTGCTGTACACACACCCTCTCCCAGGTATTTAGCCATACGTTATCTAGATACTGCTGTGGAAGGATTTTGCAGATGTAGTTAAGGTCCCAAATCAGTTGACCATAAAGCAGTGACATTATCTGAGTGGATCTGACCTAATGACATAACCCCTTTAAATCTGGGTCTAGAGGTCAGAGACGGGAAGTCAGAGACGAAGCAGGAGAAGGATTTGCTGGCTTGAAGATGGAGGCAGCTACGTAGCAAGGAATTTTTTTAGCTGAGAGTGGCCCTTGTTTGCCAGCCAGAGAGGAAATGGGGACCTCAATTCTACAGCTACAAGGAGCTGAATTTTGCCAGGAAGAATGAGGTTGGAAGCAGAACTTTTTTAGAGCCTCCAGATGAGAACTCAATCTGGTTGCCACTGTTATTTCAGCCTTGTGATTCCCTGAGCAGAAAACTCAACCATGCCATACCAGACTTCTGACCTAAAGAGTTGTGAACTGATAAATGAGTGATGGTTTAAGCTGCTAAATTTCTGGTGATTTGTTATGCACCGATAAAAAACTAATACATCTTGTTTACATCTTGCCTGTTCCACATTTGTTTCCTCCGAGATCAGATGGAAACATGATCCCCTTTTTCTGTTTTCAAATCTTATGTCTCTTTCTGGTACATCGGCTAAGCTCTTCTTTCTGTTGGAGAAAAATGTTCTATATTCATTTGCCAAAAGAGATGATTGCAATCTTCTGAATCTGGTGAATGCCTGAGGCTCTCTCACCAGTTTACCAGCTCTGTCCACTTCTTTGGGCTCTCTTTGGTGACTAATCACTCAAGCATCCTCCTTCCCAACCCCTATGGGAATTCTCTGCCAGATTACTATGATTATAGTTTTATAATCCTAAAAAAAAAGACCTGAAAATGTACAGAGTGACAAACATAATTCACCCCAAGGGAAGAGAAGAACCTCTCTCACACAGCAGGAAGACTCAGTTTTTCCTGTCCAGTCACTTGCCACAATGTCTTGAACTGAAAACCACAATTACTTTTGCACCAACCTAAAATGTATATATAATTTTTTTTCTTTTTTTCTTAGACACAGGGTCTCACTCTGTTGCCCAGGCTGGAGTGCAGTGGTGATCATAACTCAGTGCAGCCTCAAACTCCTGAACTGCTCATATATTTAAGAAACACTTCGTGGCAGAAGATTATGATACTCTTGCTTATTTATTGGCTTAAGGATTAAGGATCCCCAAAGTCTCAGACTTCAGTAAGTAAGCCTATGTCCTACATGATGTCTGTAAACTCCACTCCCTCTTAGACTTACATCCTAGAACAAAGACATAGGGGGCTTCTTCAACTGTGGCCATACATTTTTGTCCCAGACCCAGCTTCATTGTGTTAAAAGTCTTGGTGTTATGTGAAGAGTGTCTTTATCCATCCTTCCGTCATTCAGTGTAGAGTTCTAGGATTTTTGAAATAGGATAGATTCATTCTGACCTGCCTGAATTGAAAGTCATATTAAAATGTGGGCAGGGAATCGGGAAGGGAAATGTGGAGAAAAGGAATGTGTGTGTAGTCATATTCACAAAAATACCTTGATAAAGAGCCAATACCAGCACAAAGAACATCAGCATATATGTTTTTAAGACTGACAGCCACTGGGCGTGGTGATTCACATTTATAATCCCATCACTCTGGGAGGCTGAGGTGGGTGGATTGCTTGAGCCCAGGAGTTTGAGACCAACCAGGGCAACATAGGGAGACCCCGTTTCTACAAATCATTAAAAAAATTAGGCAGGTCTGGTGACACATGACTGTAGTCCCAGCTACTCTAGAGGCTGAGGCTTAAGCCTGAGAGGTTGAGGATTCAGTGACCTATGGTAGTGCCACTGCACTCCAGCCTGGGTGACAGAGTGAGACTCTGTCTCAAAAAAAGAAAAAAAAAAAGAAAGAAAAAAGACTGACAGTCATGTAAGATCACATTTACATATAAAATGCATATATGTAACATTTCTTATATGAAGATGAATAGTAAAGGAATTAAATCAATTTAATTTCTACTAGTATAGAATTAAATGTCTACTATAAAGTTATCACTAAGCTGAGCTCTTAGGGAGACACTGAACCCAAGGAATTTATAGGCTCCGTCTATCTTTTTTCTATTCCATGTGGTGTGAGAGAAGTCAGTTACCAAGATCTATTGACCATCTATCCACTCTTTTCTGAACCAAAGGCATACTCTAAAAGCTTGCAGTGACTGGATGAGTCAAATTCTGTCACTTCCTCTTTACAAGTTGTTTTGTAATGATTAAACCAGTGATACATTGTATCATACATTGATTGAGGAGGCATTTAATACTTAAAGTGAGAACTGTTGCAAGTTATCAAAGGAACTGTGGGTGTTCTGTATATTCTCTGTATATCTTCATAGAGACTGCCGAGAATGGGGCTTGAGACTAAAGTTTTAAACAACTCATTCATGAATGTCCATCTACCTAAACTTCTGTACACAATATATGACAACTTGCAAGACCTGGAAACCAGATGTTTTTAAAATTGTTTTCTTCAGTGTTTTATTGTAAAAAGTCTCATCTATTCTACCTAGCCACATAATTCCAGGTGGTGTTCTAGGGTTCAGGGTAGAGTACGTGGCAGTAATGTAGTCACAAGATTATGTAGTCCTGTTTAATGGGGCAGAAACCCACATCTGCAAGATCTTTATTCTCTCAGATTGCTGAGACAAAGAACTGGATACGGGGCTTTACACAGTGTCATGCAGTGCGTGGGCATGCCTTCTATGTCACATTAATTGTATTTATAAATTTACTCCAGAAACCTGAGCATGAAGACTCTAAATTCTCACTGTTCAGGTGACTCTAAGCAGATGGCTTATGCATAAGATTGGAAGGATTGGAAGTTCTAAAGGGAATTGTGCGTGTTGCCCTTTGTGTTCCATAGGCCATTACCACTGGGCCTTGAAACTCCCTGGAGTTTTATGCATAAGAAAGAAAGATGTCAAATTTGCCTTCTTGAGTAGTTTTATCAAGGTCACCTATGATCTGTATTTAACATTTGGTTGCAAGGGAGAGTTCCCAACAAAAAGATGCTGGAACACAGCCAGTCCATTAGCATTGAGGCCATGCTTTCTTCAAAACATCCTGGGCTCTATACCAAAGTATGCTTTTTAAATGGCAGCAGTGGAAAAGATTTGTCGAAAACTCATGTCACTGTAGATGAATTTGCTCTGAAGAATAGAGATCATTATCAGCCCAGTAAATTTTGAGACATCAGAGTGAAGCACTGTACTAAGTGCTTTTGTACATGTCACTTCACTTCATCTTCATAATAGTCCTGAGAATCACATAATTATTATTCTCATTTTACAGAAGAGAAAACTGAGTCCTATATATGACATACCTTGTATACCTATGGAGAGCTTTCCTTTGTTGGCAATATTATACCAGAAACAGTTTAGCTTACTCAGGGCGAAGTGTAATATGGGTTTCTAACATATAGATTTTTTTTTAGTTTTCATTTTTTAATAGATTTAGAGGGGGACAAGTGCAGTTTTGTTACATGGACATATTGTGTAGTAGTGAAATCTGGGCGTTGAATGTAAGCATCACTTGAATAGTGTACATTGTTTTACCCATTAGGTGATTTCTCATCTCTCATCCTCCCCTCCGAGTCTCCAGTGTCTATTATTCCACTCTATGCCCATAGGTATGCATTATTTAGCTCCCGTTTGTGAGTGAGAACACTAACCTACAGTTTGAATGTATGTTCACAGTGATACACAATGATATTTCGATTGTACTCATTATTACTTTTGAGTCTTTTAAATAAAATTCAGAAGAGAATTTTATTTAAAAGACTGTGGCTTTCTCATTAACAAGACAGGCAAACTGAACCAATTCATTTACCTATCTAGTGCTTGACATGGAGGATTTAAGAAATCCTAGAAAAGATTTCTAAAATGGAAGATTTTACTTGGTGATCTTTACAGTCAATAACAACTCCAAAATCCTGGAATCTTATGCAGATAGAGTCCTTTCATACAAAATACTGTGGCAGTGCTCAGAATCTGGTGTGAGGTCTGAGGCAACCACTCACCTCCATATTTTCCATTTATTGAGCACTTACGTTTCAGGAACCATGCTAAGCGATTTACATACATCATCTCATTTAATTCTTACAACTGTTCTGCTAATATTATTTCCATTTTACATATGAGGAAACTGAGATACAGAGAGGCTTAAGTAATTTGTCCAAAGTCATATGGTATGTGATGGTAGAGCTGAGATGTGAAAACCAGCCTGTTTGACCATCAAGCTAGCCTCTTACCATTGGGCTATTTACTTTATTTATTTATTCAGCCTTAGGGACAGGATAAGTTTATGTCATTTAGTCAGGACCCTTTCCCCTGATAATCTTTGGACAAATCAGCAATAATTTTAAAAGAAAGAGACAAATATTTTAGAGGAAGGGAATAGGATAATTGGAAAGAAACTAAGAGGGTGCTGTGAAAGTATACATAAGGCGAAAGGAGGCTTAGCCAAAGAGTTCAAAGTCAGAATGCTCCCTTGTCACAGAAATTAAGTACTAGATGTGTGCTATGATTTAAATTTTCATGGCACATTAAAGTCTTTTGTTGAAAAACCTGTAACATCTTCAGCAAGTAGTAGACACTATTTAAGTACCTGTAATTGACCAATACGATACTATACTACTGGTGTTCTGTTCACTGTTGACCCAGAAGGCCACATGTGTAGATAGCATATGAACCGTCTTCATTTTATACTCTGTTCTCTCATACAAGTGCTCTAAAGTGACTTTTAATCTCTGTTATATATAGTTTTATCCATTAAGAGGATATGACATCTTTTCATTCAGAGTGAGACACTTTTTTTTTTTTTTTTGGGACAGTCTCGCTCTGTCACCCAGGCTGGAGTGCAGTAGCGCAATCTTGGCTTACTGTAACCTCCACCTCCTGGGTTCAGGTGATTCTTGTGTCTAAGACTCCTGAGTAGCTGCGACTATAGGCATGGGCCACCACACCCCACTAATTTTTGTGCTTTTAATAGAGATGGGGTTTTGCCATATTGGCCAGGCTGATCTCGAATTCCTGGCCTCAAGCCATCTACCCAACTCAGCTTCCCAAAGTGCTAGAATTACAGTTGTGAGACACCGTACTTGGCCACGTTTTTGTTGTTGTTGTTAGAAATGTGCTCTGAGACTGGCATTTCCTCTCTGTGACTAATCAGCATTAGATGGGAAGATAGTCAACTGTTGCATTCTTTTTCTATTCTAATTATTGTCATGGCTCTGGTAGTATTTCTAACTATAATTTTACACTAAAATAAAAAGAATAATTTATCAAATGAAGCTATTTTAGTGAATTTAAAATGTATGACATCCCTCTCATAAGGTAGCTTTGCTTGGTTACTTTTATTGTTTTGTTGAGTATTCTGATTCTATAAAACATAACATTTAAAAAAGAGGTTGTAGGCATTAATATAATATTAAGTGACTTGCAAATAAAGAAGTATGGAGACTCTTAGGAGGTGGGTGCCTATTTATCTCTTTAAAGAACACAGTTTTAGAAATGTTTGCTTTATCCATTATGACCTTTTGCTAACTCATTCATTCATTCAGTAGACATTTAGTGTCTGTATGTTCAGTCGGAGTTCCTGGGGTAAGAATTAGACATTCAAAGACAACTAAGATAGAGTTTATACCTTTGAGAAGCTGACTGTTTTGTGAGGGAGATAGACAAGGGAGGAGGAAAATCCAGTAGTTAGTTAAACATTATGATAGAGGTATGCACTGGATGGTGTGTGAGCACAGAAATCTTCCTAGTAACCCAGATTGCCTAGGTTCAAATCCTGGCTTTGCCACTTGTTGACTATGGGTCTTGGACAAGTTACTTGACCTTTCTGTGCCTCATTTTTCATACAGCCCTTAGAACAGTACTTGATACACAATAAATATTCGCCGGGCACAGTGGCTCATGCCTGTAATCCTGACAGTTCAGGAGGCCAAGACAGAAGGATTGTGTGAAACCTGGAGTTCAAGACCAGCCTGGGCAGCATAGTGAGACCCTGTTCCTACAAAAATTTAAAAAATTACTTGAGCATAGTAGTACATGCCTATAGTCCCAGTTACTTGGGAGTCTGAGGTGGGAGGATCACTTGAGCCCAGGAAGTCAAGATCAGCCTTGGCAACATAGTTAGACCTTGTCTCTATAAAATAAAAAATAAAAAAATTACCCAGGTGTGGTGGCATATGTCTGTAGGCCCAGCTATTTGGGAGGCTGAGGTGGGAGAATCGCTTGAGCCCAGGAGGTCAAGGCTGCAGTGAACCATGATCATACCCTGCACTCCGGCCCGAGTGACAGAGTGAGACTGTCCTCAAAATAAAATGAAATGAAAACACAATAAATACTGCATTAGGATCTGTTAAATAAGATATTTAAAGCAGAATGGATGAATAGGAATTAACCAGATGAAGGGCGTTCTGGTTGGGGTGGGAGTAGGGAAGATAGGATGGTTTTGAGGAAACTGCATATATGGAAGGCCTTGGCAAGAGGGATCTCGGAACTGTTGAAAAGGGTGGAAAGGGGGCAGCAGCAAAAGAATAAACTGGAGAAGTAAGCAGAAACCATATTACACAGTCGTGTCTGAAAACATGGCAATAATTTACATTATTCATTCAGGTTCATATTTTTACCATATTTTCATGGAGGATGGATTGGAGTAGGGAAACCAGTCAGAGGCTGTTGACATGGTTCAGATAAAAACTGATTGAGACCTTAAACTAGGGGTATTGGTGGTAGGGATAGAGAAGAAGTGAATTGATTAGAAAGCTGTTGAAAGTGTGGGATAAGGGACAAGGGACAGGTGGGAGTCAGACACATCTGACGGTTTCTGGCTTGTTTGACATATTGCTGAAGCAGGGACTACAGGAAGAACAGATTAGGGTGAGGATGGGGAGGGAGGATGGGTTCCATTTTAGATATTTTTGAGTGAGTGGAGCCTGTGGGACAGTTAGAAGAGCTTTCCCAATAGGCCTTTGGCTGTTGAGAAGGTCTAGGCATCAGGAGAGTGGTCTCATCTGTAGAAATTGATTTGGGAGTCATCTTCAAATGAATGTGGGTTGAAGCCGTGAGAGTGGGTGAGATTAAGAAAAGGAATAAAGAAAGAATATAATAGAATTTAGGATAGATTCCTGGTGATCACTAATTTGAGGACTGGGTATATAGACTGAAACAGACTGAAAGGTAATGCCCAAAGAGGAGGAAAACCAGGAGTTGTCATAGAAACCAAGGGAGGAGAAACTTTCAAGGGCAAGAGAGTGGCCAACCATGTCAAATCCTGCAGAGCTTTTGGTTAGGATGGGGACAGAAAAGTGTCCATTGAATTTAGCAACAAAGAGGTCATTATTGATTTTGGCCAGAGAGGCTTCCAGCAGGGAAGAAGGAGTGGCAGCCAGATTGCAGTGGGCTAAGGGGTGAGTGAATGGGAGGAGCAGAAGTATAGCTTGTCTAAAGGAAAATCAAGACATGGGGCAGCAGAAAGGGGAATGCAGGGTTATACCTGTCTGTGTTATAGGTAGCATCTTCATTGCAAAGTGAAAGGCTATTTAAAAATACCTACAATTTTTTTTATTTTTTATTTTTATTTATTTACTTATTTTGAGATGGAGTCTTGCTCTGTCACCCAGGCTGGAGTGCAGTGGCGCCATCTCAGCTCACTGCAACTTCCGCCTCCCAGGTTCAAGTGATTCTCCTGCCTCAGCCTCCCAAGCAGCTGGGATTACAGGTGGCTGCCACCACACCTGGCTAATTTTTGTATTTTTAGTAGAGACAGGGTTTCACCATGTTGTCCAGGCTGTTCTTGAACTCCTGACCTCTGGTGATCCACCTGCCTCGGCCTCTCAAAGTGCTGGGATTACAGGCATGAGCCACCGTGTCCAGCCAATTTTTCTTTCTTTTTTTTTTTTTTTTTTTTTTTTTTTTTTGAGACGGAGTCTCGCTCTGTCGCCCAGGTCGGACTGCGGACTGCAGTGGCGCAATCTCGGCTCACTGCAAGCTCCGCTTCCCGGGTTCACGCCATTCTCCTGCCTCAGCCTCCCGAGTAGCTGGGACTACAGGCGCCCGCCACCGCGCCCGGCTAATTTTTTGTATTTTTAGTAGAGACGGGGTTTCACCTTGTTAGCCAGGATGGTCTTGATCTCCTGACCTCATGATCCACCCGCCTCGGCCTCCCAAAGTGCTGGGATTACAGGCGTGAGCCACCGCGCCCGGCCCTCTTTTTTTTTTTTAAAGGATTAATCCGCTAGGCACAGTGGCTCACGCCTGTAATCCTAGCACTTTGGGAGGCCGAAGCAGGAGGATCCCTTGAACCCAGAAATTTGAGACCAGCCTGGCAAGATAATGAGACCCCGTCTCTACAAAAAAAATTTACAAAATGATACAAGTGAGGATGATGTAAGTTTATTTCAGGGAGAAAATGCACAGGAACTACCCACTCCCTGCTGGAATGCAACAGCATGCAAAAGTTTTATCTTTTTTACTTTCACCTATGTGGTTTGCTTTAACTCTTTTCACTGAGGAAATGCCTTGTTTATTAACTTTTCTAGACATAGGATTCATTCATCATTAATGATAATGTGGTTTCCAAGTATTATTTGTCAGAGAAATGTCCACTAGAAATGATAATGGTACTAACTGTGTCCTCTTTCTGCCATCACTTTAATCTTACTCATATCTCTGTGGGAGGATGGAGCTGAAAGATAAACCTTTGGTACATTTTCTAGTTTTGTTTCTGGCTTTTTTTTTTCCTATTTAAAAGTGTTAGTACATTCTCTTATTTGAGGAAATAAAACTAACACATGAAACAAATAGGAAGCAAAAATAAACGGTGCTTAAGAAGGTAGTTAATTTTATGGTACAATAAGGGCAGGCCATTGGTTGGTTTCTTTGTTTAGAGGGCAGTCCTTTTTTGAGGAAGGGGAATATTAGTGGAATGGTCTGGTGATGTTGCTCCTCATCTTGACCTGAGGGAATGTCTTGAACAAGTCAATTAACTTATTTCTTCCTTCTTTCCTCCCTCCTTCCCTTCTTTCCTTCCTCCCTTCTTCTATGTGTAAAATAGAAACAGTAACAACAGTAATAATCTCTTTAGAGAAGCTTGAGAAAAAAAGGTTTCTAAATAAATAGAAGAATGGTTAGCACCATATTTCTGAGTCCTTGTCCATTTTCTTGTTACCGGGAGGTGATCACTTTTTGTGGAGAAAGTATTTTTAAGTCACTTTTTTTTATTTTCTACATTTTTCTAATTTCATGTTGCTGTTTTTAAAATATAAGGAATAGACAAAGAAGGAAGTTTAAGATTAACCATTGCTCTCTGCTCTGTATCAATTTAGGTTGGTCTCCACTCCCCACTGCGCATGTCAGTCAGTTTAAAATATCTGTTATCAGGACCCTGATTGGCATTAAAGGAAAACTTACATAATGAGTTTCACCCAGGGATGATCAACTGCAATACTATTGTGAGTTTTATTTATTTATTTATTCATTCATTCATTCATTCATTCATTCATTCATTCATTCGATGAGATCTTGCTCTGTCATCCAGGCTGGAGTGCAGTGATGTCAATATAGCTCACTGCAGCCTCGAACTCCTGGGCTCAAGTGATCCTTCTGCCTCAGCCTCCTGAGTACCCACCACCACACTCAGCTAATTTTTTAAATTTTTTGTAGAGATGGCATCTTGCAATGTTGCCCAGGCTGATCTTGAACTCCTGAGCTCAAGTGAGCCTCCTGCCTTGGCCTCCCAAAGTTGTAAGATTACGAGAGTGAGCCACTGTGCCTGGATAATTGTCGGTTTTCTAAGAGCTCTATTGCATTGCCCCAGTTTCCTTGGTACTTGCTAAGTTTAGACCTCGGGTGGACCAATTTACATATATGGGAATATGCAGGAAATGCTTTTATCATCTGTTGTATCCTCAAAAGATAGTTCCTAAGGCAGAAGTCTATCTTCAATAGATAGAGTTCAGAGAGACAAATTAATTAATTCTCAGAGGTGGATTGGATAAGGAAATTGTGGTACATATGCCCCATGGACTACTACACAGGCATAAAAAAGAAGGAAATCATGTCCTTTACAGCAACATGGATGCAGTGGGAGGCCATTATCCTAAGCAAATTAATGCCAGAACAGAAAATCAAATGTCACATGTTCTCACGTATAACTGGGAGCTAAACGTTGAGTACACACAGACTCAAAGATGAGAACAATAGACACTTGGGACTCCTGGGGTGGGATGTGGAAGAGAGGTGAGGGTTCAAAAACTAACTATTGGGTATTATGTTCACTACCTTGGTGATGGGATTATTCGTACACCAAACCTTAGTGACACTTGAATTACTCATGTAACAAACTTGAATACATACCCCCTGAACCTAAAATAAAAGTCTGGAAAATGTGTCTCTGTGTGTGTGTGTGTGTATGTATGTATGGATAGATAGATAGATAGATAGATAAACAGACAGACATTATCTGTCTATCTAACTATCTATCTATCATCTATCTAGAATCCAAAATAAAATTAATTCTCAGTTTCTACAACAGATGGTTCTTCAAAGGCTTAGATCCACTAAAGCTATCCAACTTGAACACTTTTGGATTAGGGATGCAACTTAGTGGTGGTGCTGTTTTAATTAGGACACACTATTTGCAGAATCATGAAATGATGGTGTTGGAAGGGACTGTATAGTCCTCTATTGCAGCTTCCCCTTCAGTTGAGGAACTCCTCCGAGAGCATCTGTCACAGACTTGTGAGCATCTTCACTAATAGGAAGTGCATTCCTTTTGAGGTGGTACACAGTTAAACTGTTGCAGGTGTGAAGAAATGTTCTTCATCAAGAGCCTATGTGTTCCTCTCTGTGATAATGTACATTCTTTGCTCTGCTCTCTAGAGCACCACCTTATTTTCATGACAGTCCTTCAAGTATTTCATGACAACTCTCATGGCTTTTGTAAACCTTTATTTCTTCAAACTAAGAATTTCTATTTTACATAACCACTTTTTTTTTAATGTGGTCTTCAGATTTTTCACCCTCTTCTCTACCAAATCTGTTATCCCTTTGAAAGATGTGTCTTACACAGGGTCTAGTTGAGCAGACTAGTATGTCTGTAGAGCTGAACCCTCTATCTACTTACTGGAGGATAATTATGGAGGAGGGGAAAGAGTCTAGCTCAATGCCTGAAACAGTTATTGATTTAAATTTACATAAATGGTTCATGATAAAGCATTTTATGACTATTCAGAATCAAGT
Organism: Homo sapiens; assembly: GCF_000001405.40. Lineage (NCBI taxonomy): Eukaryota > Metazoa > Chordata > Mammalia > Primates > Hominidae > Homo > Homo sapiens. Next base: position 44,559,803 of record NC_000002.12, read on the forward strand.
TTTTTATTTGAACTGCTAGCAAACTAGGTCTTGTCCAATTTGTACATGGGACCTAATTTTTTGTTTAAGATAAAAAAGCTTCTCTATGTTTTTGCCTGCAAAATTTCATTTGACTTTGAATAATATTGGTTTTTAAACTCATTTTTATATTGACTTTGAATAATATTGGTTTTTAAACTCATTTTATGCCAATCAAAGTCAATTCAAGTTTTTATTCATCATCTGTATTATTAACTAGCCCTCTTGCTTTGGCTATTGGGAAATGTGTAAGTTTGCCTTTGAAGTCGCTTTTCAAGTTGTCAGTAAAATATTTGAATAGGCTAGAGCTAAACACAACACACTGGGAGTTTCTGTTAGGAAAAATTGACATCCATCAACTGACTTGGCCAGTTTTTCTTAGTCTTGTCCATAAGAATCTATCTGAGGCTTAGTTAAATGTCTTCTTGGAACTAAGAGATACTCTAACATACTTGTTTTTTAAAATTTATTTTCTTTTAGAGATAAGGTCTCACTCTGTTGCTCAGGCTGGAGTGCAGTGGCATGATCATAGCTCACTCCTGGGCTCAAGCGATCCTCCCACTCAGCCACCTAAGTAGCTAGGACTACAGGAGCATACCACTATGCCCAGCTAATTTTTTAATTTTTTTTTTCTGGAGACAGTGTCTTGCTATATTGCCCAGGCAGGTCTCGAACTTCTGGCCTCAAACAATCTTCCTGCCTTGGCCTTCCAAAGTGCTGGGATTATAGGCGTGAGCCACGGTGCCCAGCAGGTGGCATCCTTCTAATGATAGACTGATTGACCAGTCTAAAAAGAAAAAAGCATGCTCTCATTTATTAATATCTAATATTATATAGTTTGAGGTGGTATATTTAAGCTCTTTGGACAATAGTTAACCTAATCTAATTTTATCCTTCAAAATCATCTGAACAAAGCCTACCTATGCCCATCTCCATTTCCCTGGCAGCTCCCCCATTCTTTGGGATGTCTCAAAGTTACTAATATTGATTTTGCACACTTGCCCTCAAGTTGTTTCAGAACCCTGGAGTGTAATTTGTCTAAGCTTGAAAAGTTGAATTCACTTGAAGTGACTTCATGCTGTTTTCCTACTATCTTACACCTTAGATGGGGGCTTTGAGTCTTTCTTTTTGATTCTTGTTCTACCATTTTCAGAGAGAAAATTAAATCTAAGCAAAACAGGAATTGATAAGTATAGCTGCCTTCCTGTCACCCTTTATTATTATGTCATATGGCCTGACCACTGGTTTTGTAACATTCTTGTTTGTCTTCTTATTCCAAACAACCTTCTTATAATCTTTATCATTTTTTTTTCTTTCTTCTTGCATGCCTCAGCATTCTGGAATTTAGCCTTTCTGATACTGTGTTTTGTAAGTTCCTACCAACTTGGCAGCATACTCCTGGTGAGGTGAAGCTCCTCAACATTACTACGTCTTACCAAAATCATGGTTTTGTATCTAGACTTAGAAATAGATTATCTGAATTCTCCATCTAGCTGGTGGTTTATAGTATGTGTACTTCCACAAGACTACCATTACTGTTTTCCTTTCTTAATCTCCACTTTTTCTTTCCTTCTTTGTGTTTGATTTTTACATAGATAAATATATTCTGAACATACAGTTTACTTATTATTCATCACTATGAATTGATAAATAAGCATGTGACTTTCTTTTCCTCGTTGCTTTCACTTGGGATAACCTGGTGACATTTCCCAATATAATTCTTCTAAGTCATACCTGTAGGCCTTTTTATTAATATTCCCATTTACTCTCAATCAATTCAGCTAGTTTTTTGTCAAACATGTTCTGCTCCCTTTTCAGGAGGTGAATGATATCTCTTATTAGGAGTTTTTCAATCTGCCAGCTTAAGCTATAGATAGACAACAATATTATGGGGTTTAGAGCAAGTTGCACTTAAGACATTGATGAGGGACCTTAAGATCTGGTCACATTGGATCCCCTCACTCATTTCTGATAAAGAAAATAAAGTAGATCTGATACTGCTAAATGAACAAGGAAGTGGAATTGTCTGTAAGAGTCTTTGAGGACATGGATGGGTCAGGAAAAGTCAAGGAAATCACTAGGCGATGGCCAGGTAGGGAAGTGAGCCATGGACAGGGCTGGAGAATATAAGAGGGAGAAAAAAGTGAGCCTCCATTCCAAGTGATGGTGATGGTGTGAAGCAGTTGTGGTGGTGGACTTGCTTGTGACAGGTGGTGAACTTGTGTGAAATGAAAATAGAAGATCAAGCTGATGCTTGGAAACTGGGTAGGAGGTTTATTGGGGTATTCTGCCAAGGGCTTTGTAACTTGCCACCCAGCTGCTGTCTTTGAGTAGAAAGTCCTCTAGTGGTGAGCCAGTGAGAGGGGCTAAGAGCCATGTCCCCCTTCCCATTCCACTCTGTGTTCTACATCAGAATTTCAGGTCCAGAGCAGTTTTTACAACAAACGAATTCTATTTTTCTTGGCACTATCCACAGTCTCTGTTTACCCTTCTTTCTTTTCTAATCCATTTGCTTATTATAATTATTATTACAACAGAAGCATAACCATTAACAACAATAATAGCTAGCACTTTATGAGCTTTCATTATATGCCGAATATAAGTATTAACTCATTTAATTCACACAACATCCCTGGGAGGTGAGTATTATTATTTCTATTTCACAAATGATGAAACCAAGGCTTAGAGAGGTTGGGTAACTTGCCTAAGGTCACACAGCTAGTAAGCCGTGACTTCAAAGCCATGCTCTCTTTTTTTTGAGACAGAATCTCACTCTGTCACCTAGGCTGGAGTGCAATGACACAATCTCAGTTCACTGCAACATCCATCTCCTGGGTTCAAGCAATTCTTCTGCCTCAGCCTCCCGAGTAGCTAGGATTACAGATGCCTGCCACCACACCCAGCTAATTCTTGTATTTTTAGTAGAGACGGGGTTTCAACATGTTGGCCAGGCTGGTCTCAAACTCCTGACCTCAAGTAATCTGCCCGCCTGGGTCTTCCAAGGTGCTGGGATTACAGGCGTGAGCCACAGTGCCCGGCCCAAAGCAGTGCTCCTAATATCATATTCCCATCTGCCTCCCCTGCTCAAGAGGACCTTACTCTCTCAGTACTGGTGGTATTTGTGGTAAGATATGGAGAAAATGATAACTAAGTATGTATTTCACAATATGTAAAGGTTTTTTCTTTTTTAACAGACATTACATTATTTGATCTAACCAACTCCTATGCCATAACTAGTGTTATTCCTATTTTATGGAAGAGAAAAATAAGGCCGAGAGATTAAATTAAAACTTACAAGGTTTACTTTTATTGAATTAATTTTTAAATTATTGTTATAAAAATAATCCTACAATCCCACAACTTAGAGGTATCTACTCTTATCTCTTCGGGATGTATTTCCCATAGGTGTATATACAAATTTTTGTTTCTTTCTTAAAAAAAGGATTATACTACCTGTACTGTTTTATAACCTGACTTTTTTTACTTCAAAATGTACTATGAATATTTTCAGTGTGATTAAATTTTCTTCTACAATATTATTTTAATAGTATTATTGTTTTGCCTTATGTAGATATTACCATTTGTGCTCCTGACACAGTAAAACAGTAAAGATGATAATATCAAGGGAGAGTATAGTCATTAGTTTCTTTTTTTTTATTATTATCCCCCATACTTTAAGTTCTAGGGTACATGTGCACAACGTGCAGGTTTGTTACATATGTATACATGTGCCATGTTGGTTTGCTGCACCCATTAACTCATCATTTACGTTAGGTATATCTCCTAATGCTATCCCTCCCCCTTCCCCCCACCCCATGACAGGCCCTGGTGTGTGATGTTCCCCACCCTGTGTCCAAGTGTTCTCATTGTTCAGTTCCCACCTATGAGTGAGAACATGCGGTGTTTGGTTTTCTGTCTTTGGCGATAGTTTGCTCAGAATGATGGTTTCCAGCTTCATCCATGTCCCTACAAAGGACACGAACTCATCCTTTTTTTATGGCTGCATAGTATTCCGTGGTGTATATGTGCCACATTTTCTTAATCCAGTCTGTCATTGATGGACATTTGGGTTGGTTCCAAGTCTTTGCTATTGTGAATAGTGCCGCAATGAACATACATGTGCATATGTCTTTATAGCCGCATGATTTATAATCCTTTGGGTATATACCCAGTAATGGGATGGCTGGGTCAAATGGTATTTCTAGTTCTAGATCCTTGAGGAATCGCCAAACTGTCTTCCACAATGATTGAACTAGTTTACAGTCCCACCAATAGTGTAAAAGTGTTCCTATTTAGAGTCATTAGTTTCATATTATTTATACAGTTGGGGTTCAAAGCATACTAGTTGATCAGAACTTTTTTTTTTTTTTTTTGAGACGGAATCTCACTCTCTTGCCCAGGCTGGAGTGCAGTGGCTCAATTTCATTTCACTGTAACCTCCGCCTTCCGGGTTCAAGCGATTCTCCTGCCTCAGCCTCCCAAGTAGCTGGATTACAGGAGCGCGCCACTATGCCCGGCTAATTTTTGTATTTTTAATAGAAACGGGGTTTCACCACCTTGGCCAGGTTAGTCTCAAACTCCTGACCTCAACTGATCCACCTGCCTCGGCCTCCCAAAGTGCTGTTATTACAGGCGTGAGCCACCACACATGGCCTAGAACTTTTCTCAGAGTGAATAAAGGCCTGCATTGCTATTATTTGCCAAGCTGATAACACATTTTGTTTGTTTGTTTGTTTGTTTTTAGGCAGAGTTTTGCTCTTGTCACCCAGGAAGCTGGAGTGCAGTGTGGCACGATCTCAGCTCAGTCTCCCAGGTTCAAGCGATTCTCTCCTGCCTCAGCCTCCCGAGTAGCTGAGATTACAAGCATGTGCCACCATGCCCAGCTAATTTTATATTTTTAATAGAGATGGGGTTTTACCATGTTGGCCAGGCTGGTCTTGAACTTCTGACCTCAGGTGATCCACCTGCTTTGGCCCCCCAAAGAACTGGGATTACAGGCGTGAGCTACCACACCCGGCCCAAGCTGATAACACTTTAAACCTTGGTTGGACTTGGTAGTGTCATTACATATATGCAGGTATCCACTCTTGTCTGTAAGTGAATTTCATGAACTAAGCCACCCTGTTAGGGTTGTGCAAGATGAAACCATAGTCCAAAGAGATTTCCAGGGCTATCCACTGTTTCCTCACTTGGTCTGCCTGGCGTTGCTGTCATGTGTATTCGTGTCCTAATTTTTTTCTACTGGGTTGAGGGTTCTTCGGAGAAGGCATCTTTCTCATCTTTGTCTCTCACATTTCCTAGCATAGTGCTGGCCAAAGGGACCCCCCAAGTGGTTTAACTTTATATTCACTTAACTATGGCAAGGGTGGCTTGATGGCAACACCTTCAAACATTTTTATCCATATACATTTGATCTATAAATTGGATCAAGAATGCTCAGAAAAAGAAATAAACATTAAAAAAATAATAAAGTAGGCAATGTGGTGTCCTGGAAAGAACACTGAATTGCAGCAAGAAGATGTAGCTGTAAAGCTTTGGCACTAACTTCTGGAGAGAACTTGGTAAAGTCACTTGACTTCTCTGGTTCTCCATCTCTCCTTTTGAAAAATGAAGGAGAGATGAGATACTTTTTTAGATCCTTCCCATTAGTGATGTGTGAGGATTACGTAATTTAATATTGCCAGAGTTTGTGCTTACTTTACAAAAAGCAAGAAAAAACTTCAGGAATAAACAGATTCTAAAGCAGTTCTTCTAAAATTTGGCTACACATTGGAAGCACATAGTGAGCTACAAAACAAAACAAAACAAAAAAACGATGCCTGGATCCTACTCAGAGAATCGGATCTAAGTAACCTGGAGAGTGGTCTGAGTCTGGAATTAAAAAAACAAAAAAAAAAACAAAACTCCCCAGGTGATTTTATGTGGAGCCAAAACCACTGTTTTAAAAGTTTTCCCCATTGTCTTATTCACAAGTGATCAATTACTGGGCAGGGCACAGGTATTACTATTTTGACCCTAAAAATAAATAGGAAGGCTGACTGTTCTAAAGTTGATGATGCTATTTCAGATCTTTTCACACAGATGTCACTTGCCCTACAATATTGTTTTGTCATGCCACAACATGTGTTTGTGTAACCGCACATGCATGTGTACGTGGCTTGTAAATCTGTGGGGTAAATTAGATGGCGCTAAAAAGTAATTGAGGATTACAAATTATCTCTACCGGCTGTTGAATATTTTATGTCAATTAAACATTTGTAAAAACCAAGTATAGTATTATGATCTACTCATAACTATTAGAAGACTGGCACATCTCCATACAGCAAGAGCCATTGCTAAGGCTACTGTACTACTCTGGCATGAATCATAATAAATTGGGATCCCCCTGGACATAATGAACAGTAATATAATTTTGTAGTTATCCTCCTAGCATGATGAAGCAGCAAGCCAAATTGAGTTTCTAGATAAATTTTGACATATGGGTCTTATTCCTAAAGAAAAAGAGCTATTGTTGCTTTGGCTTTGTTCCAGAATTCTGCAGAAATCCACATGGTAGCTTATTGTTGTATTACAAAAAGGTACTACAAGTATTTTTTTATGAAAAAGAATAAATTGCTAAGTTCAATTAGTCCTTTGGGGCAGAATTTGGAATTTCTTTTCAGTCAGGCTGCTGGGTCGTATGTGAACTATTGTTTGACTCACACAGGGGCTGTCCTAAAGGCCTGTGAGCCATAAGGCCACCGTGGGGGCTTCTAGTTGATGGTGGAAGGATCAAGCAGCCCTCTTTGCCACAGCAGCAAAAAATGATGTTGACATCATTTAAAAAAAAAATTAGCCATAGGAAGGAGGTTAAGAAGTTGTGGCAGAATTGAAACAAATCTAGGCCTCTCAACTGACAAGCTGAGAACCCTGCTTGACATTTATGAGTGGATGCGTTTGAGGAATTATGTAAGAATAGTAAGTTAAAGGATGCTTTTAATTTAAAAAATTAAGATAACCTGAAAACATACCTGTAAAAACATTTCAGTTGACACAGTCTCTTATGCTTATAACAAGGATTACTGTTAATGTGTTTTTGCGGAGTTGGGCTCTGATCTGTAAATATTTCTCAGGGAGATAAGAGTCTATGGTTAAACAGTCGTAGTAGTAGTAGCAGAATTTGGGTGTCATTGTATAGCCAAATTCAGAAGCTTGGGGGAAAAGAATAGCTACCATAGGAACCAGTATTTCAGAAGCAAGTTCTGCTTGTGAGAGTTATCAGTTGACCAAGGGATTCCTGTGTAGGTTTGTAAAGAGTGTCAGATCTGGCATTCTCAGTATGGAATTACTGGCATGATGCAATGGAGGAACAGGAATTTTTCTGCAGCTCTTTCAGTAGTATTGGTTTGGTGTTGGGTTATCCAAATAATGCTCAGATTGTCCTAATTAACATTAATTCATCCCCTCTGTTGGGCTCATGTGACATATGCAACCCGACCATCAGTCAGTGGCGTATTAAAATGCTCTCCACAGGACCACAGAGCAGTGGGTGATCTCTGCATGGACGTGATCTTTGTTGAGCAGGAATACTCATATTTCTGCCCTAAGCACAGAGCAACCGGCTATCAACTGGGATAGAAAAATTATGTTCATTCAGGAGACTACTGAAACATCTTGCTTCTCTCCCATGTCAATCCTTTGTAATAGAGTAAGGGAAAAGTACATACACTTTTGAGTAACAGTTTCCATACAAATGCTCTGATGAAAGTAGGGTCCCATTTGGAGGAAGCTCAGTTCAGGGCTCAGCTTGTTTTCTGGAAGCAAAAGACTGCTATTAGACAGAGACAGACATGGGAAGGATGAGAATTGAAATAAGATAAAAAGAGAGGATTTTCCTTGTCAGGTTTCTTCTGCAGTTATGTCTTGTCCTGTCACGTCCTGCTAGCACAACTTTTGGCAGAATCCAAAATTTGGGAGCCAAACTAGACATTAACAATGTTTCTTCAACAGCTCAGCCATAGAAGCTGATTTCAAAGTTAACAGTAACTGCTCTCTTTGGATCGAGAGTCATTCATTCATTCAGCAGTTATTTATCGAGTGCTTACTTAGCACTGGGGAAACTGGTGAATGAGGTAAAATGCTACTCCTGTTCTTATTTACAAGTAAGTACTGGGGACCAAGGTTAATTGTTTACTTGCAGTTATGATAAGGGTCGCTCTTAGAGCTTATAATAAGGAGCTCTAACTTTGCCAGGGGCCAGGGTGGGGGTGGGTGATCAAAGCATGCAACCTTGAGGAAGTAACAGTTGAGCATAAATCTGAAGGATGCACTGGAGAGCGAGATGAAGGAGTAGGGCAAAGTGTTCTAAACAATGGGAAGAGCATAGGCAAAGTCCTGAAATGAGCAAAACGAGCAAAACAAGCTGAGCCTGAATTGAGCTTCCTCCAAATGGGACCCTACTTTCATCAGTGCATTTGCTTGGAAACTGTTACTCAAAAGTTTATGTGTGTTGTGTCTTTTGCCTTAGTCTATTACAAGAACTTACATAGGAGAGAAGCAAGATGTTTCCAGACCCTCCTGAATGAACATAATTTTTCAATCACAGTTGGTAGCTGTTGCTCTGAGCTTAGGGCAGAAATATGAGTATTCCTGCTCAGCAAACATCATGTCCATGCAGAGGTCACCCACAGCTCTGTGGTCCTGTGGAGAGCATTTTAATATGCCACTGACTGATGGCTGGACTGGATATGTCACATAAGCCTGACAGGTAGCAAGGAGATTGGTTTTAGAGGAACTGAAGGTCTAAAAAGGCCACCCTGGCTGAAGCAGGTCAGCATAACAGGAGAGGAAGGAGAAGGGGCCAGACTGTGGGTCCATGAGGGCACCTCATGGACATGGCAGGGGTTTTTGCCTTTATCCTAAAACCAATAGGAAGACATTGAAAGTACAAAGCTGGGGAAGTGACATGTGCAGCCCCTGCTTACAGAGGGCACAAAAGACTAAGGTTAGAATAGGGTGTGGGTTCTGAGAGGCCCTGTGGAGGCTAGTGCGGAAGCCCAGACCACAGAACAGGAACGAGGGAGATGGCAGTGGAAGAGAAGTGGAAGCATGCAAGCTACATTTCCAAGTTACAAGGGTCAAGTCTTGGCTTAGAAGCAATGGTGGTGGTTGAAATGTCAGTCTCTAGGGCAGTGTCAGAATTCCACCTGATGGCTCTGGCCATCACATCTCAGTTTCTGGATTGTTCGGGTTAATGCTAGACAGGTAGAGCCCCAAACTAAGTATGTGCTCTGAGAGACTCTGCCTCATGAATAAAAATCATGCTGTCCTGTGATTTTTATTCATGGAACAATTGTACCTAGAGACAACTCAATAGGAAAACTATTAATAACTGGTGATAATATCATCTCACTTCTTCAAAATAAATGTTTTTCATTTTCAAAAGTTCTAAGTTCAGTTACTTGCAATATTTCTGCTTACATGGTAAAGGTCTATAAATCAAGATGCAAATATCATCGGCTTCTTACAGGGTATTATACGAATGGCGATTTTCTAGGAGTTATTTCACTAAATTTGCATATGTAATCCAATGGAATATATTCATTGCAAATGATTCTGAAAATCATTTTCTTTTTTTATTTTAAAAATGAGTTTTTGTTTAATAACCTTACATTCCCAATCTGTGTACTGTTACTATTGTCATTCTCCTTCAGTAGTGCTGTGAAATCTCTTCCAACTCTCAGATTCCATGATTTTCCTTTGTCCCTGCCTCTCTTATTATCTTTCATTGCATCTCTTCTCTCAGTGTCCTGTCTTTCTCTCTTTGTGGAGGTAGTAGCTGGCATGATAGATGGAAGTTAGAATGCTGAGGAAGGGTAGTTATCAAGGGAAGCTTGGGCCCTAGTCATCGCCAATCCTCTTTCCTCTATTTCCTCTGTGCATTAGCTTCAAGTGCAGTCATTACTCATTTAGTCCTCAAATAAAATGCTCTTTGTTGCAATGACAATTTTTTTCTAGTATAAGGCAAAATGGCATATCAGTCTGATGATGTGGATTTTATAGCAACCGGCAGATTTTATTTGTGTAAGGAGTTTTTATAGTTGTTGGTTACCTTTTTTTTAAGTTGCCATTTGGATCAAGGAGGATTTTATTTCTTAACTAGGATTATTCCTTTATCGGATATTAACTTAGCCTTTTTTCTCTAAATACCAAATTCATAGAGATGCTACATAGTTAATTTTTTTCTTTGTAACTAGATTATCCCCATATCAGGTATTTCATAAAGCCAGGATAAATGTATTTAACAGAAAATATCCATCTTATAAGTAATGTTTCCCCCAAATACAATGAGGTCCATTTAAATGAATGTCTGAAATAAAAATAATCCTAATGATAGATCTAATGCACTTTGTATCAGACCCATTGAGTTTCTTTAAACTCTATTCAATAAATGCCTGATTAATAAATAATCCTGTTAAATGAATAAAACCCCAGTGTGCCAAACGGAGACATACAAAGCAATCATGATCAGACTTGTTATGGGAGAATGATAGATGAATAAATCTACTGTGCAATTAATTTATGACTGAACTATGATGAAATCCCAGTGGCAATACTAAATCTGTTAGAGGAATAGATTTATCATCTTCTTTCAAACAATTACATTCCAGGAACTTTACAAAAATACTATTATCTGAATCTTATCATAATAGAGATATCTGTTCATTTACATGGGGAAGAATTCCTTCTGTGCCGTCAGAGCTAAATTAGTGTTTATTATTTTTGATGCTAACCAAAACAGAAACAATATAGGACAGAAACTACTAATGTGGTTAGCTATTCTTATCTGCTTCTGTTTCTTCAAACTTGATTAAAATTGCCTAATTTTTAGACAGTTTTTTTGTTTGAATAATTTTACTTTTTAAAAGATGAAAAGCAAACGAATAAAAAACAGGTTATAGGCTATTTTGAAAGCAATCTGTGTTACTTCATAATGTGGTTACATGTAGGTTATGAAGGCACAAATTTGGGGACCATGTTTTAAGAAGATCATTGGGGATTGGTAGTATTTCAGGTTATTGTTACATATTTTAGCTTCAAAAGACAGTCGACTGTATTTTAGTGCTGTCGTTCTTTTAGACAGGCACTTATTGATACCAAAAAACACCACGAAAAGTAAAAAGGAAAACCCAAACCACAAGAAACATTTTGATTTAAAGGTTAGATAGTCTGAATTCATGAGAACTTAGATTCAGAGCATGGCAAGGTTAAAAGAAATTTTATTAGGATCAAGACACAAACCATGTTTAATGCAGTCTTTTTGTTTTGGGGGAACTAGAGCTGATATTTTAAATCTAGTCGTTTTTACCAATGTAAGGGAATTTAAGAGATAAAATTTGAATAGAAAGGTAAGATTTGTATAGTGATTACAAAGATGTGACCTTTAACAGAGGGTTTTGTTGTGTTTGTTTTCCACATAAAAGAATGAAGAATTTGTGAGGGTGAGGTAAAAGAGAAGGGGTCTCCTTAAAACTTGAGAGAAGGAAAGAATTTGTCCCATTGTAGCAATATTTGAAAACAGGTTTTATTAAGGTTTTAATATGTGTTGAAGTAAATAATTATGCAAATTGAACTAGAAACTTCTTAGTTTAAATCTAGTCTGCTATTTACAGTGTTAGTAGCTGGACATCATACTTTTTTAAATTAATGTAATATTGATAAATAGCAATCCTGTGTATTCTCTTATTTCTCAGACTTAATAACAAAGACTTTATAAATCCACATATGTAGTGGGTTTCAGTTGTTTGCACGTTATTCATGACCAATATTATGTACATAGCATTGTTCTAAGGCCTTCTTTGATCTGATCTTGGGTATAAAGAAACAAAAACAAGCCGGGTGAGGTGGCCTATGTTTGTAGTCCCGGGTGCCCTGGAGACTGAGGCAGGAGGATTGCATGAACTAGGGAGTTCGAGACCAGCCTGGTGGCAACACAGTGAGACCCTGTCTCTAAAAAATAAAAATTAAAAACTAAAAAAGAGACAAAACAAATAACAGTTATTACTTGCAGAGCTTATACTTGAGATGATATTAACATATGAAATAACAAATTCGAACACTGACACATCACTCATTTGTGAACTACCTTCATGAATTATTACCAAAAATCCTATTTTAAAATATTTTTTATCATGGTAAAACATATATAATCTTTTACGTATCTTAAGTATACAATTCAGTGGCACTAAGTATATTTATGTTGTTGTGCAACCATCACCACCATCCATCTCTAGAACTTTTTCATCTCCCCAGACTGAGACTGTACCCATTAAGCAGTAATTCTACAATCTCCCCTTCTCCCAGTCCCTGGCAGCCACCATTCTACTTTTGTCTCTGTGAATTTCTTTTTTAAAAAATTTAATTCTTTTGTAGAGACAGGTTCTCCCTGTGTTGCCCAGGCTGGTCTTAAACTCCTGGGCTCAAGCAATCTTCCCATCATGGCCTCCCAAAGTGCTGGGATTACAGGCGTGAGCTGCCATGCCTAGGCTCTATGAATTTCATATAAGACGAATCATACAGGGTTTGTCCTTTAGTGAATGACTTAATTCACTTGAGATAATGGCATCAAGATTCATCTGTGTTGTAACGTGTCAGAATTTCATTCCTTTTTGAGGCTGAATATTATTCTATTGCATGTATATATTAATACTATATTTTGTCAGTCCATTTATTCATTGATGGACATTTAGGTTATTTCCGTCTGTTGGCTGTTACGAGTAATGCTGCTGTGGACACAGGTGTACACATGTCTGTTGGAGTCCCTGCTTTAATTTTTTGGGGTCTATCTCTGGAAGTGGAATTGGCTGTTATGAGTAATGCTGCTATGTTGGCTCTTATGAGTAATGCTGCTGTGTTGGCTGTTATGAGTAACGCTGCTATGGACACAGGTGTACACATGTCTACTGGAGTCCCTGCTTTAATTTTTTGGGGTCTATCTCTGGAAGTGGAATTGCTGGATCATATGGTAATTTTATGTTTCATTATTTTTAGGAACCACCATAGTGTTTTCCACGGTGGCTACATCGTTTTACATTCCCACCAGCAGAGCACAAGGGTTCCAATTGTATCTCTTGTGGTTTTTGATTTGCATTTCCCTAATGATTAGGAATGTTAATCTTTTCATGTGCTGTTTGGCCGTCTATATCTTAGTAATAGTAATCTTTTCGTGTGCTGCTATTACTGTTAGTAATAGTAATCTTTTCATGTGCTGCTATTAGTAAAAGTAATCTTTTCATGTGCTGTTTGGCCGTCTATATCTTAGTAATAGTAATCTTTTCATGTGCTGCTATTACTGTTAGTAATAGTAATCTTTTCATATGCTGCTATTAGTAATAGTAATCTTTTCATGTGCTGTTTGGCCATCTGTATATTTTCTTTGGAGATATGTCTATCCAAGTTCTTTGTCCAGTTTTCAATCAGGTTTTTTGTTGTTGAGTTGTAGGAGTTCTTTATAATATTATGAGTAGTAATGTCTTGTTAGATATATGATTTGCAAATATTTTCTCCCTTCCTATAGGTTGCTTTTTCACTCTGTTTTTTTTTAGTGTATATTATCTTTTATTTACCTATGTAGTGACTTTAATCAGTGCTCATTATTTCTTTGTGTGGATTCCATTCATTCTGTTGATAATGTCTTCTGATGGACAAAAGTTTTTAATTTTGATGAAGTTTGATTTTTTAATTTTCTTACTGCCTGTGCTTTTGGTGTCATATATAGTTTTCATTTTGTAGTTTCCTTTAAGTCTTCTGGCTTTTGTGTTTTGTTAGGGAGGCCATCTACATCATAAGATTATAAAAATATTCTCTGAAATTTTCTTCAAATACTATTGTAATTTTTTTAAACATTTGGTTCTATAATCTCATCTGGAATTTAGTTTTGTGTATGATGTGAGGTAAAATTCCAAATTTATTTTTTCTATGTGGATATTCATTTGTTCAAACCAAATGTATTAGTTTATTTTTTCTTCACTGTTCTGAAATACAACCTCTACCATATACTGTATCCACATATGTAAGTATGTCTATTTCTGAATACTCTATTATGTCTCACTGATTTGTGAGTTTCTGCTTTAATTATTTTATAGTTATGTTTTGATTTCTGATAGGGCAGGTCCCTTCTGATTATTCTCTGTAAATTTTTTCTTGAGTGTTTTTATTTATTCTTCCAGATGAACGTTTGAATCTACATATTGGATTTTTAGAAATACAGTAGTATATTACAGTTTACCCAGGATTTGTTTTAATCAGGTTTGGTAAGACATGCAGACGTGGACATAATTATCATGAAGGAAATGTTTAGACTTATATATCCCTAGAAACGGCTATTATACAATGCCACTCAGAGCCACATGGGGAAGACCAAGATTGGGCAAGAGGCAGAACCAGGGAGCATGGCCCAGTGCCTTTATTGGGGTTTTCACAGGATCGAATGGGTGAGGTAGGGTAGGTATGTTGAATAAGTTTAGGATTGGAGAGTTTGAGTAATTTTGGTGGGCTCTGGGTTATAGCTGCGGCCCCTAATTATCTGATATCTAGCCCTAGGCAGATTTAGGCTGGCAGGAATATTGGCTTGGTGTGTGAGAGTTAGTTACAGGAGATGGTTGGGGATGTGTGGTCTGGATTGGTTGACTTAAATATCAAAGGTGCACTTGCAAAGAAATCCTTTGTCTTCTCTAGGAATTAGCTAGCCCTGAGAGGGGCAATCTAAGATGAAGACTCCAAAATGCCAGAGTATCAAGAATACAGGGGGAAAAAAAAGTCAAAACAAGCTATGATTTTTTTTTTTTGACTGAGGTTGCGTTGACTTATAGAGTAATTTGATAATGAAATGACATCATTACTACAGAGTGCTCCCATCTAGGAAAATGATATGTCTTATTAATTAATTAATTAATTAATTGAGATGGAGTCTAGCTCTGTCTGCCAGGCTAGAGTGCAGTGGCGCGGTCTCGGCTCACAGCAACCTCCATCTCCCAGGTTCAAGCAATTCTCCTGCCTCAGCCTTCCAAGTAGCTGGGACTACAGGCATGAGCCACCACGCCCAGCTAACTGGCTATTTTTTCGTTTTTGTATTTTTAGTAGAGACCAGGTTTTACCCTGTTGGCCACACTGGTCTCGAACTCCTGACCTCAAATGATCCACCCACCTTAGCCTCCCAAAGTGCTGGGATTACATTGTGAGCCACCATGCCTGGCCATGTTTCTCCTTTTATTTATTTTTTATTTTATTTTATTTTTTGAGACAGAGTCTCACTCTGTCACCCAGGCTGGGGTGCAGTGGCGCAATCTCGGCTCACTGCAACCTCCGTCTCCCGGTTTCAAGTGATTCTCCTGCCTCGGTCTCCTGAGTAGCTGGAATTACAGGCACATACCACCACTCTCGGCTAATTTTTGTATTTTTAGTAGAGATGGGGTTTTGTCATGTTGGCCAGGCTGATCTTGAACTCCCGACCTCAAGTCATCCTCCCACCTCGGTATCCCAAAATGCTGAGATTACAGGCATGAGCCACCACGCCCAGCCCTTCTCCATTTATTTAGATATTCTTTTATATTTTCAGTAACATTGCATATTTTTCTTCACATAGGTCTTGCCCATTGTTGTTATTCTTATAAATATTCCTAAGATTTTTATCGCTATTCTTTTTTTCTGTATGGCTTTACCAAACATGACACCCTTACAGATCTTGTTCAATATTCAATCATTCATTTATTTTCCCAGAAAATATTTGTTGCCAGGTGCATTGGCTCACGCCTGTAATCTCAGCACTATGGGAGACTGAGGTAGGTGGATCTCTTGAGCTCAGGAGTTTGATACCAGCCTTGGCAACATGGCGAAACCCCATCTCTCTACTAATAATGCAAAAATTAGCTTGGCATTAGTACCAGCTATTCAGGAGGCTGAGGTGGGAGGATTGCTTGAGCTTCGGAGGTCAAGACTGCAGTCAGCCATGTAACTGCACCACTACACTCCAGTCTCGGTGACGGTGAGACCCTGTCTCAAAAAAATTTAAAAAATTGTTAAGTGCTTGTAAAGTATGAGTGAGACTCTAAGGTAGCCACTAGGCAGTCCCCTTCCTAGTGACTTATTATATCCTGATCTGGGAAATGTTGAACATAGAGAGGGCACAGGTGGTGAAACTGGTCTCAGAGAAGTTGAGAAAACATGGGTTCAAGAACGCAGGTGGGAGGCTGGGTGCAGTGGCTCACGCCTGCAATCCCAGCACTTTGGGAGGCCGAGGTGGGCAGATCACCTGAGGTCAGGAGTTCGAGACCAGCCTGGCTAACATGGTGAAACCCCATTTCTATTAAAAATACAATAAATTAGCCAGGCGTGGTGGCACATGCCTGTAATCCCAGCTACTCAGGAGGCTGAGGCAGGAGAATTGCTTGAACCCAGGAAGCAGAGGTTGCAGTGAGCCGAGATTGCGTCATTGCACTCCAGCTTGGGCAACAAGAGTGAAACTCTGTCTAAAAAAAAAAAAAAAAAAAGAAAAGAAAAAGAAAGAACACAGGTGGGAGAAAGGAGAAACAGAAGCAAAGGAAGACACAGGGAATCTGAAGTAGAGTATAGAAGTTGTGAGACATAGTGTTCAGTAGCCTCAATATATTTCAATAACTTGGGAAGCAGTCATCTGCTAAAAATGAGAGGGCAGGGACAAGTCTTCCTGGTGGAGAATAATTTGTTGTAATAAAAGCAGCTTGTTAGATTACATGAGGGTCCAGCGTGAATGTGATCAGTGGTCAAAGTCAATGTGATTTTGTGACTTACACTGATAGCATTCAGCAACCACAGGAGTAGGTGAGGACAGTGTGGTTGGTGAGATTATTCAGGTCTGAGGAGTGGCATGTTAGGATTAGTGAGAGAAAGGTCAAAAATAAAAGTAAGTGTGCTGTGGAGGCTAGAGTGCTACCATTTGCTCAGAAATAGCCTCACTTGCACAGTTTTAAAAATGCAACTCAAAAGATAATTATTGACAATTAAATAGCCCCATGGCTTCAACACTAATCATAACAAAACAAAAATACTGCAAGGAATGTTCATTCATTCCATTTTTGTGGAAAGAATACCTGTGTTAGATGCTGGAACTGTTTTCAAGGAGCTCATTTCTAAAAAATTTACTTTCTTGGACCATTTATCCAAAGAAGAAATGCCGTTTCTTCAAAGATGTGTGTTTTTCAAATCTGCACTATCTTCTGTAAGCATTCTGGTTAAATAATTCCCCAGGATAGGAAAGTCACTTTGATGCTGGTTGTACAAGGGAAATGCCATGAATTCCCAGATGCTTTTAAAATACAGGTGGGTTATAAAGACAAAGGTGATGCAACTTGTTGAATGTCTCATTTTTAAATTATAACTTTCAAAGGAGTGAAGGACTTGCCATCCCAAAATATGTCAAACTGGCATATTAATTATTTTGAAAACATTGGAGAAATTGTAGTTTCAGAAAGGGGTAGCTGACCTGCATGCAGCAAGCCATAAAGCTTCTTCTGTGGCTCATGCCTGTAATCTCAGCACTTCGGGAGGCCAAGGCAGGAAGATCGTTTAAGTTTAGGCATTAGAGACCAGCCTAGGCAACATGATGAGACCCCATCTCTACAAAAAATATGGAAATTAGCCAGGTGTGGTAGTACATGCCTATAGTGGCAGCTACCTGGGAGGCTGAGATGGGAGGATCATCTGAGTCTGAGAGGTCCAGGCTGCAGTGATCTATGATCACACCACTGCACTCCAGCCTGAGAGACAGAGTGAGACCCTGTCTCAAAAAAAATGAAAGAAAGAAAGGACGGGGAGGGGGAGAGAGAGGGAGAGGGAGAGGGAGACAGAGAGGGAGAGGGAGACGGAGAGGGAGAGGGAGATGGAGAGGGAGAATATTCCTTTGGACGAGATCCTCCCTTTACTAGAGCCAGGAAATAGCTCTTATCAACCAGAGGCTGGGAACAGGGGGCTGCAGTGGACCCAATTAAATATATTTTCCAAAGTAACCCTTATCTTCTACTAGTTTTACACCCCGCTTGTATCTCCTAGTGACTCCCCTAGGAATTTATTGCCCGTAGACAGATCGCCTTTGTCCTATCATTTCTTCTTAAGTTTATTATTCTTCATCCAAAAAGTATAAAAGCATCTTGCTTTGGCCACTTCTTCAGACTTCACTCTCTTGTGAAGATCCCCATGTACATGTAAAACTAATAAAATGTGTATGCTTTTCTCTTGTAAATCTGCCTTGTGTCAATTTGGTTTCTAGATCCAGCTGAAGGGCCCACATGAGAGCTCAGGCGGGTTGGAGGTGATCTCTCATTACCTACACGTTATATAAATTCAGCATAGGAATAATGGTTGAGGGTAAATTAACATTGTTAAAAAGAATACACCGTAACATAAAGTACTTTAACATTTATAATATGAGACCATTTATTAAAGAAAATACCATTATATAATAATGAGGCTAATAATTTCATATGGAAATAATACTGTATTAATTCGATGTATTCATACTAACAGTGAACATGATATTTTAAATTTTGCTGTCACATAATTATGCTGCTGCTTTATGAAATGTTATACTGTCACCTAGAAAAACCCTTATTTGAGTGTAGATCTGCGATCTTCAGCCTCATATGGCAGGTTGTAATGTGTTACTGAGGTATTTTTAAGTGAAGAGGTGGGAAAAACTCCTGGCTGAGTCATAAAACTGAGGATTCTTTCTTTCCTAATCTGCCTGGAGCAAAGCTGTCTAGGCTAACACTGGCCTTTAGCAAAGAACTGAAACACTTTCCTAGTTCTACAAGGCAAATTGGGTAATGGGATGTGGTATTGGGTAATGGGATGTGGTGTTAAGTTTGGAATGAGGAGATATCTTAGGGTTGTGAGTCATGGTCCGTATTATTTTTAAGTTGTTGCTTAAAAATAAAAAAGCAACAAAAAGCAATCAAAGGGAAAGTGAGAGTTAGAAGAAGTTGAAGACCAAATAATTTTGTACTAGTCAGTAAATAGTAGTATTGTGACTACAAATGACTATTTGGTACAGGCATCTTAACTCCTCAGCTCTGTTAGCACTGATTAAAAGTGAAAAAGTTGATTCATTGTGTATTGGAATAAATAATGTCTCAAAGTTTACGCAGTGGTGGAAGTGAAACCAAAATACAAAGCTCCATTTGTGACTGAAGTTTGCTAACATTTCAAGAAGTAGGTTGAAGTGACAGTGGGTAATAGGAAAAGCAGACATATTTCTTTGCCATGAGATTTTATAGCTGTCATTGGCAGTGTGTTTTCTTAAACTGATATCAGCTACCATTTATACACTTAACAATTTCTGGTCAGATTAGGGCAGAAGGTTGTGGTACCCACATATATAAAATAGTATAATAATGTTCTATTTTTTTTTTGGAACAAATTTGTTACATGAAATGTCAGATGAGTCATTTTGCTCATGTCAGGTATTTAAAAGTAATGGAAAGATGCCAACATGGAAGCCCAGTAATTCATGCGCTGGTGTAATGGAGCAAATGAAATGCAAAGCTCTTGTACAGGTCCAATTTCAGCACCAAACGCTTACCTGTCAGTCAGCAAAATTGTCCCTGAATAAAAATGAACCCCATCTGAGAGGCAAAGCATTTTAATGTACATCACATTCTTTGACTCTATTGCGAGGTAGAAGCTGCATGGAAAGAAAGAGAATGCTGTTGAAAAAGACATTTAACAGCAACCTCTGAGCATGCTGAAAATCTCACTCGCATTACTGCCCACAAAAGGTTTTTGGTTTGCCCTTTCTCTCCTGAGCTATTGACAAACTCTTGAGCATTGCTGCCCTCCCCGGCTCTGTGTCTCTTATCTACATGGAAAGGCAGCTGATTTACTCCAGACAGTGAGAGATTTGGCCACTCAGGGATGTGGAGACCAAGTTTTAGACAGGTAACTTTATTGCTGCCTGGGTGCAGCTGGGGGATGTATTTATGGACGTGACAATTAAAAGTGTGTGTTGCACAAATCGAAAGTCAGACATACCCTTGTATAAATGATTATTGTGGTCCAAAGTGACTGCCATTTCTTTTGGAAAGCCTTTCATTTGGAATCAGTTCCCAGTTTTCTATATGAGCAAGCATCTTACAGAAATGAGGTGTCCTAGTTTTTTTTAGACCCAATTCCTGTGGTTTTTAAAAAGCAAATGGGAAAGTTAAGAATTTGTGTGCTTCAGTGCCCACGCACCCAGGGATTCTTGTACCCTACCTCTAGGAGTCATGATTTGTTCTACCTTTGAAATGTCTGTTTTCCATTTCTGTGTTTTAAGACTCTAAGTGCTTATAGGAACCCAAGCAGCTATTGAAAACCAGTAATGACTAGTTCTTCTAAATGCTAATGATTGAGAATGAACTAGCAATCAGGGCTCAAAAATAAAATAAAATAAAATAAAGTAAAATAAAATAAAGTGTGCTGAATTAGAAACGATAATAATTAAATCAAGCCAAGGTGCCCTATACTTATGACTGCACTAATGCTTGAAAAATTATGAGTACAGAGAAAATTTACATAAATCCTCTTTAAATGATGTATGTGAAAAAAAAGAAAGAAGGAAAAACCATGGTCACAGGACTGAATTTATTTTAATCCCCTGGTTCAAGTGGTCCTAGAAATAATCATACTTGTATCAATCTATATTGCATGACTTTTGTAAGATGTGAAAATAGTGTTTTTCACTAAATTGTCACTTATTATTGTTCATTTAGGGCCACTAACATAGAAAAATTTCTCAGCTACAGTGTCAAAAGAATAGGGACAATTTGATGTTTTCTTTTGATGCTGTTTGTTGATATCTAGACCACTGTAGCTTGATTGCCTAACATTAAACCTATAATAACAGTGCAATCATAGCAGTATCATCATGAATGTTGTTACAATAGAAACAACATTTACACGGCTTCAGAATGGTAATTATCAAACTTTTTGTCATGAAGCGCTTATTTGCTAGCATTGATCTGCCCCGGTCAGTTGTTAGCTCTTCTCATCTGAGGTGTATTGATTGTATAATCAGTAGATAGAGGCTGTGGGCAGATGAAATTCAGTGTTGTTGGGCAAATTATCGGCTGCTTGCCTGTTGACCTGGACCCTGCTGGTTGTACCTTAGATGCTGGTGGGATTATTACTCATTTCAGTGACCCTACTTTATGACAGAGCACTCTGTATTATTATAAAAGATAAATGCCATCCTGCTTGCTGTGGTTGTGGTTGACTACACAAATGTCAGAATATAGCTAGTCTGCAAACTAGGCAGTGCAAGTATGTTTCCGATGAGATCAAAAGGAGAAATTTTCAAAGATTACCTTTTCTGAATTTGTCTCTTTGTAAGAATGTAATAACAAAAAGCCTATGTGTATCTAGCTGATGATAATAATGAAACCTTTATGTATATAGCTGTTTATCATGTGCTAAGGATTATGACAAATCACTTAATATTTTGTTTTACCAGCAAGAACACTGAAGCCGACATTAAGCTAAGCAAATGGGCTAAGATCACATGTCAATGAGCAGTAGAGCTTGGAATTAAATCTGTTTCTTCTGAATACAAGTCAAGTTTGTTATATTCTACTGCTCTGTCTTATTAGGTTATCCAGGCTGACCATTAAATATGTGTATACTGACAGATCTAAGGTTTCATCCAACTGGATTAAAAAATAAAGACCTCAATGTTACTTAAATAAATTATTGCATTGGGTAATTTTTGAGACTATTTGAGCTATTAAATAATTATAACATTCCAAAGCCCAAGGTCTAACATGGGATTACTTTTATAGACAAAATCATTTTATATAAAGAGCACTGTAAATTTTATAGCTGGTGGCTGTTTTTAAAAAATCTAGATGGTTTTTGCCGGGCGTGGTGGCTCACGCCTGTAATCCCAGCACTTTGGGAGGCTGAGGCGGGTGGATCACAAAGTCAGGAGTTCGAGACCAGCCTGGCCAATATGGTGAAACCCCATCTCTACTAAAAGTACACATATTAGCCAGGCGTGGTGCCGCGCGCCTGTAGTCCCAGCTATTTGGGAGGCTGAGGCAGATGAATCGCTTGAACCATGGAGGCAGAGGTTGCAGTGAGCCAAGATCGTGCCGCTGCACTCCAGGCTGGGCAACAAAGCGAGACTCCGTCTCAAAAACAAAAACAAAAACTAGATGGTTTTAACAGAATGTTTTGTTTATATGAAAAAATTCTCAAACGTTATTTATGTTACCATGTCCTATTTTCCTTGTACTTTAGGATCATTCTATCCATCGTAGGTAAGTACAGGATGGCATCACATCCTAATACCTAAACCGGGCCTTTCTGAAACTACATGGAAGAACAGAAAGAATGTCTTTAGTCTATTTTGACATTTAGATTGCTTCACAAATACATATATGTGAACTTGACAGTGTTCACAGTGTCATTTTTGCTCTTTCTCTCTGAAAAGAAAAGAGCATAAAAAGGATGTACCTCACTAACAGTGCAATGCCATAAAAATATTAATGTTTTGGTGCTGATCATTCAAATTCCCAAATAGTAAAATAGATGAAGCGATACTTAAACATAATTCTCCATTTCTAAATGCACTCAGTTGTGCCTGGTAAGCTGTCTCATTCTTTCTGCCAACTTCTGGGCCATTGTTTTATAAAGGTCAGTGGTTACCTGCTCATTGTATTTTAAAGGCACACTCACAGCACATAGTCCAATAAGCAAGTCCAGCAATACCACATTCCTCTTTGGTCTTAAATTCTGCAGCTGTTGAATCATGATTGGGCAATGATTTTTTTTCCTCCTAGTTAACTACTTTATGTTCTTACTTTTAAAAGACTAAGTGACTGATCTCTTACCCAAAATGTTGGAGGAGATAATGGGTGGAGTACATGAAAGTTACATGCAGAGGTGGCTTAGAGTTGAGATATTTAGTAGTTTCCCTCTCTGTGAATACCAGAAAACACAGCTGTTTGAGTACTCCCTTAACATTGCTTACCTAAGCAGGGGAAATAACTAAGAAAGTGACTCCCAGTTTCTAGCATTGTAAGCTTTTCGAGAGAAGCCTAAATTTGTGTGTATATTCCTTTCCTTTATCTTTTGGCTGCTGAAATACATACTATCAGCATAGTATTTCAACAAAAATGATGATCTTTTTTGGAAATTCGAATTGTTCTGATACTCCCCACAAAAAACCCTTAAAATACATATAATACATAATAGTCATTATTTGGGTATTGATCCTATTATACTGTTAGCTCTTCACATCTGACCTATTTTAGTATTTCCTGCATTGCTCACTACTATGCTTTGTGTATAGAAGGAGCTTTATTGATTAAAATGGACTGGATATTCATTCAACAAGTATCTATTGGATGCCTACTAGCTATGAGGCATGGTGGGAGCCATCAGATACAGTAATCAATGAGCAAGACACACACA
Source organism: Homo sapiens (assembly GCF_000001405.40). Classification (NCBI taxonomy): domain Eukaryota; kingdom Metazoa; phylum Chordata; class Mammalia; order Primates; family Hominidae; genus Homo; species Homo sapiens. The sequence continues at coordinate 44,583,281 of NC_000002.12, forward strand.
CAGTCCCTGCTCTCAAAGAGCTCATGATGAGAAAGATGTAAGACAGGCATTAAGTGACCAGTTACATAATTTTTAATGCAAGTTTTACCTTAATATTATATGCTTAAATAAAATTCAGGATGTTAGAGGATTCTTCAATAAGAAATCAGATCAAGTTTATGCTTCTCCAGGACAGGGACCTTTAAAAATCAACACTTAAAACTCAATTTTTTGCACTTAAAAATAAAATGAGGCTGAGGACCATGGCTCACCCTATAATCCCAGCACTTTGGGAGGCTGAGACAAGAAGGTTTCTTAAGACCAGGAGTTTGAGACCAGCTTAGGCTGGTCTCATAGGGAGATTCTGTCTCTACAAAAAATAAAAAAATAGCTGGGCATGGTGGCACACGCCTGTAGTCCTAGCTACTTGGGAGGGTGAGGGGGAAGGATGGCTTGAGCCCAGAAGTTCAAGGCTGCAGTGAGCTATGTTTGAGCCACAGCACCGCATCCTGGGCAACAGATCAAGACCCTGTCTCTGAAAAGAAGAAAGAAAGAAAAAAGAAGGAAGGAAGGAGACAAAAAATAAAATGCACACATTGCAAGTGTACATTTCAATGAATTTAGACAAGTGTATACAAATATCCATATGTGAGTGAATAGGTAGAGATGAGTATATATGTATGTATAAGCATATACATATATAACTGTATACATACCCACACATCCCCTCATTCAACATACAGGATATTTACATGACCCAGAAAGCTTCCTTTGTGCTCTTTCCTTGAGTACAACTCATCATTTTCCCCAGGCTCCTGGATTGTTTTTCGAGTTTCAGATAAATGAAATCACATAGTATGTACTCTGTGTCTGACTTCTTTTGCTCAGCCTGATGTTTCTGAGATCCATCCATGTTCTTATGTGTATCACTGGTGTTTTCCTTATTATTACTGATTAGCATTTTATTTTATAGATACACCACAATTTATTTATTCATTTATCCACTGACTGACAAAAATAAACCTTAATTTATTGCTCATAAGGTAAGATGAAAGAAGTGGTACATTTTTATTTATGAGCTGTGAAAATGTACTAGAGGACCTGGGATATTACCTTATATTCACCACATATGAATAGTGTTGGCCCACACTGAAGTAATTTTTATCCCCAAATGAGCTATAAAGACATGTCCCACCTGAAAAAACAGTTTCATTGATAATTTATGGATAATATAAAATGCTTCCTAAGTTGTTGAGTAGAATGCTGAACTAACAGGTAAAACACTAAAATTAATCTGATTCTGTGTATTGTGGGCTACTTACAGAATGCAACAATTATTTTTGGAATTCAAATTCAAGTCAAAAAATATTTATGAATGTCTGCTATACATAAAGCATGGTATTCAGTTCTATAAGGCAATAGAAGATAAGCAAGATGGAGTTCCTTCCTTGGAGGTCTAGTGGCCTAAAGTGGGAAATTGGGTGTCTGCATGAAATAATTAAAAAAAATAGTAGGCCGGGTGCGGTGGCTCACACCTGTAATCCCAGCACTTTGGGAGGCTGAAGCGGGTGGATCACGAGGTCAGGAGATCAAGACTATCCTGGCTAACGTGGTGAAACCCTGTCTCTACTAAAAATACAAAAAAATTATCCGGGCGTGGTGGTGGGCGCCTGTAGTCCCAGCTACTTGGGAGGCTGAGGCAGGAGAATGACATGAACCCACGAGGCGGAGGTTGCAGTGAGCCGAGATCGCACCACTGCACTCCAGCCTGGGTGACAGAGCGAGACTCCGTCTGAAAAAAAAAAAAATGTAAAAAGGCTTGTTGATTAAACCAAAGTAGTTTTAGTGCCCAGCTTTTTAAAAGGGGAGTAAATTATACCTCCTATAAGCCAGTCAAGTTAATTTTGATACCTTTAAAGATTCTGCACTAGATGAAATCATTGAACAATCAATTAGTCACCACATAGGAGAGCATGAAGCACTGGGTAGTCACTGTCTTGGCTTTGCAAAGAGCAAATTGTACCAGATCGATTTAATTTCCTTCATGAAGAGATTGACAGTTTATACATACATTTAGGAAGCAATTCAGCTGAACTTCAGAAAGGATTTTGATTCAGCCACACATGACATTTTAGCACTAACTCAAAGGATGTGGTGTAGGCCAGACCATATTCCTGTAGGAAGTGGCCTGCTTCTCTGGGGGGTTATATTTGAAAAGTGTTATGAAGGGCTTAGTGTCAACCATGAATCTTGTTTTATAAATACATATCCAAATGCTGGAGTTATTCTGAATTTCTGTGTCATGCATAAATAATTGAAAATAAACTCATATGTTGGCAAAGGAAAACCTTGATATGAGTACTCTGGAAGATTGTTATAGATTAAATGAAATGATCTTAAACCATAAAAGTGACAATTGTGTACTTTATGAAGGGCTGTAAGATCAAGTTCAAGTAACATGCTATGGTGATCCTACGCTTTACCAAAGATAGATGGAAGATGGGAACAGCTAGGCCATAAATAAGACAAGAGACTTAGGAGTCATAGTGGAATTCAATCCATATATTGCTGATCAATTCTGTGTTATTATTTATAAACAATGCATAATTTTAGAGTGTGTAAAGGGGAATATGATTTGCAAGCATATGGAGCCCAAAGGTCGTTACTCTGCAATAGTCAATTTTAATCACAACTCTCAGACTGTTCTAATTTTACACTACAGGGAAGCTAGAGGGTCCAGAGAAAAACATTCTAAATATACAAGAAGATAAATAAATGTTTCTTTAAAGTTCAGACTAGAGAAGAGAGACCACTCTTCAAATCGTACAGAGGTATGTACAGAGGTACGATTTGCCTATTCTGTTTGGAAACAGAATAGGCAGCCTTCTGCCCAAGGTGGCATAGGTGTTAAAGGCTTGGTTTAGTTTAAGGGTTCCAAAATCTGATAGGGTTTCAGGATCACTTGGATAGAATTTTTTGAAACACAGCTTTATTGAAGTATAATTGATTTGCTATACATTGCACGTATCTCAAGTGTACAATTTGATAAGTTTTAACATATGTATATATATATATATGTTAAAAGGATTCCCTATTTAATGAAACTATTACCACAATCAAAATAATGAACATATTTATCACCCCCAAAAGTTTTCCCCTGCTCTTTTGTAGTCCTTCCTACCCTTCCCTAGGCAAATATTATCTGCTTTCTCTCACTATAGATTCATTTTCATTTTCTAGCATTTATGTAAATAGAAGCAAACAAATTGTATTCTTTTTCATCAGGCTTCTTTCACTCAGCATAACTATTTTGAGCATGCTTTCACTCAGCATAATTATTTATATTTAATTCTTGCATATTGTAGTGTGTTTGAGTCTTCCATTCCTTTTTTATTGCTGAGTAGTATTCTGTTGTGTGCAGTTATATGCAGTATATTTATCCATTTATCCATTGATGGACATTTGGGTTGTTTCCAGCTTTGGGTTATTATATATAAAGCTGTTGTGACATTTATGTAGAATCTTTTATTTAGACATATGCTCTTATTTTTCTAGAGTAAATACATAGGAGTAGAAATGCTTAGATCATGTGGTAGGTATATGTTTAACTTTTAAAGAAACTGCCAAACTGTTTTCCAGAGGGGTGGTTCTATTTTACATTGCCAGCAGCAGCATGGGAAAGGTCTGTCAACACTTGGTTGGTGAGTCCTTTCCATTTTAGTCATTCTAGTAGATGTATTAGAATCTCATTGTGGTTTTAATTTAAACTTCTCAAATGATCATCTTTTCATTGCTTATTTGTCATCTATGTATCTTCTTTGGTTGAGTGTGTATTCAGGATTTTTTTTGCCCACTGTTAAATTTGATAATTTGTTTTCTTGTTATTGAATTTTGAGAATTCTTTATTCTGAATACAAGTCCTTTAGCAGATTCTGATGAGAACTGCATTGAATCAATAGCTTAATTTGGGAAGAAGTGACTTCTTAACAATACTGAGTCTTCTAATCAATGGACATGGCAGATTTTGCTGTTATTTTAAATTTTAAACTTCTTTCAGCAATATTTTGCAATTTTCAAAGTACAGGTTTTACATATCTTTTGTCAGATTTACCCCTAAGAATTGTATATTTTTTAATGCTATTGTAAATTTTATTTAAAAAATTTTTAGCTCTCCCTCTCCCTCCCCCTCCCCCTCCCCCTGTCCCTCTCCCTCTCCGTCTCCCTCTCTCTCCACGGTCTCCTTCCACGGTCTCCCTCTGATGCCGAGCCAAAGCTGGACGGTACTGCTGCCATCTCGGCTCACTGCAACCTCCCTGCCTGATTCTCCTGCCTCAGCCTGCCGAGTGCCTGCGATTGCAGGCGCGCGCCGCCACGCCTGACTGGTTTTCCTTTTTTTTTTTTGGTGGAGACGGGGTTTTGCTGTGTTGGCCGGGCTGGTCTCAGCTCCTGACCGCGAGTGATCCGCCAGCCTCGGCCTCCCGAGGTGCTGGGATTGCAGACGGAGTCTCGTTCACTCAGTGCTCAATGGTGCCCAGGCTGGAGTGCAGTGGCGTGATCTCGGCTCGCTACAACCTCCACCTCCCAGCCGCCTGCCTTGGCCCCCCAAAGTGCCGAGATTGCAGCCTCTGCCCGGCCGCCACCCCGTCTGGGAAGTGAGGAGCGTCTCTGCCTGGTCCCCCATCGTCTGGGATATGAGGAGCCTCTCTGCCTGGCTGCCCAGTCTGGAAAGTGAGGAGCGTCTCTGCCCGGCCGCCATCCCATCTAGGAAGCGAGGAGCGCCTCTTCCCCGCCGCCCATCGTCTGAGATGTGGGGAGCGCCTCTGCCCCGCCGCCCTGTCTGGGATGTGAGGAGCACCTCTGCTGGGCCGCAACCCTGTCTGGGATGTGAGGAGCGCCTCTGCCCGGCCGCCCCGTCTGAGAAGTGAGGAAACCCTCTGCCTGGCAACCGCCCCGTCTGAGAAGTGAGGAGCCCCTCCGTCCGGCAGCCACCCCGTCTGGGAAGTGAGGAGCGTCTCCGCCCGGCAGCCACCCCGTCCGGGAGGGAGGGGGGGGGTCAGCCCCCCGCCCGGCCAGCCGCCCCGTCCGGGAGGGGAGGGGCTCCTCTGCCCGGCCGCGCCTACTGGGAAGTGAGGAGCCCCTCTGCCCGGCCAGCCGCCCCGTCCGGGAGGGGGGGGTCAGGCCCCTGCCCGGCCAGCCGCCCCGTCCGGAGGGAGGTGGGGGGGTCAGACTCCCTCCCGGCCGGCCGCCCCGTCCGGGAGGTGAGGGGCGCCTCTGCCCGGCCGCCCCTACCGGGAAGTGAGGACCCCTCTGCCCGGCCAGCCGCCCCGTCCAGGAGGGAGGTGGGGGGTCAGCCCCCCGCCCGGCCAGCCGCCCAGTCCGGGAGGGAGGTGGGGGGTCAGCCCCCCGCCCGGCCAGCCGCCCAGTCCGGGAGGGAGGTGGGGGGATCAGCCCCCCGCCTGGCCAGCCGCCCCGTCCGGGAGGTGAGGGGCGCCTCTGCCCGGCTGCCCCTACTGGGAAGTGAGGACCCCACTGCCCGGCCAGCCGCCCCGTCCGGGAGGGAGGTGGGGGGGGTCAGCCCCCCGCCCGGCCAGCCGCCCAGTCCGGGAGGGAGGTGGGGGGTCAGCCCCCGACCCGGCCATCCGCCCCGTCCGGGAGGGAGGTGGGGGGATCAGCCCCCCGCCTGGCCAGCCGCCCCGTCCGGGAGGTGAGGGGCGCCTCTGCCCGGCTGCCCATTCTGGGAGGGAGGTGGGGGGGTCAGCCCCCCGCCCGGCCGGCCGCCCCATCCGGGAGGTGAGGGGCGCCTCTGCCCGGCCGCCCCTACTGGGAAGTGAGGAGCCCCTCTGCCTGGCGAGCCGCCCCGTCTGGGAGGGTGGTGGGGGGGTCAGCCCCCCGCCTGGCCAGCCGCCCTATCCAGGAGGTGAGGGGCGCCTCTGCCCGGCCGCCCCTACTGGGAAGTGAGGAGCCCCTCTGCCTGGCCAGCCGCCCCGTCCGGGAGGGTGGTGGGGGGGTCAGCCCCCCGCCTGGCCAGCCGCCCCATCCGGGAGGTGAGGGGCGCTTCTGCCCGGCCGCCCCTACTGGGAAGTGAGGAGCCCCTCTGCCCGGCCACGACCCCGTCTGGGAGGTGTGCCCAGCGGCTCATTGGGGATGGGCCATGATGACAATGGCGGTTTTGTGGAATAGAAAGGCGGGAAGGGTGGGGAAAAAATTGAGAAATCGGATGGTTGCCGGGTCTGTGTGGATAGAAGTAGACATGGGAGACTTTTCATTTTGTTCTGTACTAAGAAAAATTCTTCTGCCTTGGGATCCTGTTGATCTGTGACCTTATCCCCAACCCTGTGCTCTCTGAAACATGTGCTGTGTCCACTCAGGGTTACATGGATTAAAGGCGGTGCAAGATGTGCTTTGTTAAACAGATGCTTGAAGTCAGCATGCTCGTTAAGAGTCGTGTCACCACTCCCTAATCTCAAGTACCCAGGGACACAAACACTGCGGAAGGCCGCAGGGTCCTCTGCCTAGGAAAACCAGAGACCTTTGTTCACTTGTTTATCTGCTGACCTTCCCTCCACTATTGTCCTATGACCCTGCCAAATCCCCCTCTGCGAGAAACACCCAAGAATGATCAATAAAAAAAAAAAAGAAAAAAAAAAAAGAACGAAAAAAAAAAAATTTTAATTTCCAATAGTTTGTTGCTGGTATATAGAAATACAACTGTTATTTGTGTATTGACCTTGTGTCCTGCAACCTCACTCAACATACTTGTTAGTTCTAGTCAGTTTTCTGTACATTCCATCAAATTTTCCACATGGACGGTCATGTTGTCTGCTAATATTGACATTCCTTTCCCATCTAGATGCCTTTTATTTCTTTTCTTCCCATACTGCATTGGCTAGAACCTCTAGTATAGTGTTTAATAGAAGCAGCAACAGAGAATATCTATGTCTATGGGGGATATTGGTCTGTAGTCTTCTCTTTGTCTTTGTCTGGTTTTTGTATTGGAGTAATGCTTTCTTCATTAAGTAAGTCAGAAAATATTCTTCCTTTTCAGTTTTCTCAAAGAGTTTGAGAAAGAATTGGTGTTATTTCTCCTTCAATATTTGGTAGAATTCACCAGTAAGCCAGCTAGGCCTAGAATTTTCTTTGTGGGAAAGTTTTTAAACTACAAATTTCTGACTTTTTAATGATTGCCATTCTATCTGGCGTGAGATGGTATCTCATTGTGGTTTTGATTTGCATTTCTCTGATGGCCAGTGATGGTGAGCATTTTTTCATGTGTTTTTTGGCTGCATAAATGTCTTCCTTTGAGAAGTGTCTGTTCATGTCCTTCACCCACTTTTTGATGGGGTTGTTTGTTTTTTTCTTGCAAATTTGAGTTCATTGTATATTCTGGATATTAGCCCTTTGTCAGATGAGTAGGTTGTGAAAATTTTCTCCCATTTTATGGGTTGCCTGTTCACTCTGATGGTAGTTTCTTTTGCTGTGCAGAAGCTCTTTAGTTTAATGAGATCCCATTTGTCAATTTTGGCTTTTGTTGCCATTGCTTTTGGTGTTTTAGACATGAAGTCCTTGCCCATGCCTATGTCCTGAATGGTAATGCCTAGGTTTTCTTCTAGGGTTTTTATGGTTTTAGGTCTAACGTTTAAGTCTTTAATCCATCTTGAATTAATTTTTGTATAAGGTGTAAGGAAGGGATCCAGTTTCAGCTTTCTACATATGGCTAGCCAGTTTTCCCAGCACCATTTATTAAATAGGGAGTCCTTTCCCCATTGCTTATTTTTCTCAGGTTTGTCAAAGATCAGATAGTTGTAGATATGTGGCGTTATTTCTGAGGGCTGTGTCCTGTTCCATTGATCTATATCTCTGTTTTGGTACCAGTACCGTGCTGTTTTGGTTACTGTAGCCTTGTAGTATAGTTTGAAGTCAGGTAGTGTGATGCCTCCAGCTTTGTTCTTTTGGCTTAGGATTGACTTGGCAATGTGGGCTCTTTTTTGGTTCCATATGAACTTTAAAGTAGTTTTTTCCAATTCTGTGAAGAAAGTCATTGGTAGCTTGATGGGGTTGGCATTGAATCTATAAATTACCTTGGGCAGTATGACCATTTTCACGATATTGATTCTTCCTACCCATGAGCATGGAATGTTCTTCCATTTGTTTGTATCCTCTTTTATTTCATTGAGCAGTGGTTTGTAGTTCTCCTTGAAGAGGTCCTTCACGTCCCTTGTAAGTTGGATTCCTAGGTATTTTATTCTCTTTGAAGCAATTGTGAATGGGAGTTCACTCATGATTTGGCTCTCTGTTTGTCTGTTATTGGTGCTGGAGAGGATGTGGAGAAATAGGAACACTTTTACACTGTTGGTGGGACTGTAAACTAGTTCAACCATTGTGGAAGTCAGTGTGGCGATTCCTCAGGGATCTAGAACTAGAAATACCATTTGACCCAGCCATCCCATTACTGGGTATATACCCAAAGGACTATAAATCATGCTGCTATAAAGACACATGCACACGTATGTTTATTGCGGCACTATTCACAATAGTAAAGACTTGGAACCAACCCAAATGTCCAACAGTGATAGACTGGATTAAGAAAATGTGGCACATATACACCATGGAATACTATGCAGCCATAAAAAATGATGAGTTCATGTCCTTTGTAGGAACATGGATGAAATTGGAAATCATCATTCTCAGTAAAGTATCACAAGAACAAAAAACCAAACACCGCATATTCTCACTCATAGGTGGGAATTGAGCAATGAGAACACATGGACACAGGAAGGGGAACATCACACTCTGGGGACTGTTGTGGGGTGGGGGGAAGGGGGAGGGATAGCATTAGGAGATACACCTAATGCTAAATGACGAGTTAATGGGTGCAGCACACCAGCATGGCACATGTATACATATGTAACTAACCTGAATATTGTGCACATGTACCCTAAAACTTAAAGTATAATAATAATAATAAATAAATAAATAAACTACGAATTCATTTTTTTTATGGGTACTGCAATATTCAGGTTATTTCTTCTTGAATAATCTTTGATAGTTGGTGTCTTTCAAAGAACTTGTGCCTTCCATTTCATCTAAGTTGTCAAACTTACTGGCATAATGTTATTTATAATTTTCCTTTATTATCTTTTTACCATCTATAGAATCTATAGTGATGCCATCTTTCTTATTTCTTACATTGGTCATTTTTGTCTTTTCTATAGCTGTCTTGGTTATCAGATTAATGGTCCTCAGTGCTTGGGTTCAAGTAACCCTTATTTTACTTAATAATGGCCCCAAAGTGCAAGACCAACGATGCTGGCATATTGTTATAATTGTTCTGTTTTATTATGTTATTATTGTTAATCTCTTATACTATGCCTAATTTTTAAAGTAAACTTTATCATAGGTATGTAAGTATAGGAAAAAACATAGTATATACAGGGTTCAGTCCTATCTGCGATTTCAGGCATCCACTAGGACCTTGGCTTGTATCCCCCAAGGATAAGGGAGGACTACTGTACTTTGTGATCAGAGAACATATTTTGCATGGCTTAAATCTTTTTAAGTGTATTGTTTTGTGGCCTAGAATATGGTCTAGCTTGGTAAAGCTTCAACTGGCATTTCAGAATACTGTATTCAGCTCTATTGGGTGGTGTGTTCTATAAATGTCAATTAAGTTGGTTGGTAATGTTATTCAAGCCTTCTATGTCCTTACTGGTTTCTGTATACTTGTTATATCAATTATAACATGTTAAAATCTCTGACTATAATGATAAGTATTTATAATAAATATTCTTGAGTTTTGTTTTGTGAAGCAGATGTGTTACTGGGAAACAGCTTGATCCTTTCAGATCTTGCTTTTAAGATTTGTTAGGTGGGACCAGCAATATTTATGTAGGGCAAATTTTTCCACACCACTGAGGCAAAACTCTTTTGTGTACTCAACTCAATGTTCAATGCATTAAGAAGTTTTTCTTGTCAGACTGGCAGAAACATGCACAATTTCCAGTTCTTTGTGAACACTGGATACTATTTCCTTTAATCCTTTCTGATAGGTCTTTCCCTGGCCTCCTGTAGTTTTCTCAGATACATGTGCTTATCAATACTCTGATGAATACTCAAAGGGAGGCATTTTTCAGATATGCTGGGTTCTAACTCTTTGCAGCTCTGTACTCTCTGATACTCTGTCCTTTGAACTCTAGCCACATTGTTTTTTCCAGACTTTCAACTCTGGTACTCTGCAGGGCTCCATTTGGGTTCCCTGTCCCAATGCCACAGCCCGGAATCTCTCTTAAACTTGAGATAATTGTTGGACTCACTCACCTCATTTGTATTCTGTCTCCCAGGGATAACTGTCCTTCCTGCCTCCTGCCCACTGTCTTGAATACCATAGTTTCATTTATTATATTTGATTTGTAGTTGTTTTAGGTGAGGGAGTAAATCTAGTCACTGTTGCTCCAACTTGAATAAAAGCAGAAGTCTCCCTGGGGAATTTTTGAAAAAGACAACTTCCTTTTTTTTTTTTTTTTTGAGGCGGAATTTTGATCTTTTTGCCCAGGCTGGAGTGCAATGGCGTGATCTCAGCTCACCACAACCTCTGCCTCCCGGGTTCAAGCGATTCTCCTGCCTCAGCCTCCCAAGTAGCTGGGACTACAGGCATGTACCACCACGCCTGGCTAATTTGGTATTTTTAGTAGGGATGGGGTTTCTCTGTGTTGGTCAGGCTGGTCTCGAACTCCCCACCTCAGGTGATCTGCCCACCTCAGCCTCCAAAAGTGCTGGGATTACAGGCGTGAGCCACCATGCCTGGCAATTGCTACAAAGAGAATAAAATACCTAGGAATACAACTTACAAGGGTTGTGAAGGACCTCTGCAAGGAGAACTACAAATCACTGCTCAAGGAAATGAGAGGACACAAACAAATGGAAAAACATTCCATGCTCATGGATAGGAAGAGTCAATATTGTGAAAATGGCCATACTGCCCGAAGTAATTTATAAATTCAATGCTATCCCCATCAAGCTACCATTGACTTTCTTCACAGAATTGGAAAAAACTACTTTAAATTTCATATGGAACCAAAAAAGAGCCCGTATAGCCAAGACAATCCTAAGCAAAAAGAACAAAGCTGGAAGCATCACGCTACCTGACTTCAAACTACGCTACAAGGCTGCAGTAACCAAAACAGCATGGTACTGGTACCAAAACAGATATATAGACCAATGGAACAAAACAGAGGCCTCAGAAATAACACCACACATCTAAAACCATCTGATCTTTGACAAACCTGACAGAAACAAGCAATGGGGAAAGGATTCCCTATTTAATAAATGGTGCTGGGAAAACTGGCTAGCCATATGCAGGAAGCTGAAACTGGATCCCTTCCTTACACCTTAGACAAAAATTAACTCAAGATGGATTAAAGACTTAAATGTAAGACCTAAAACCATAAAAACCCTAGAAGAAAACCTAGGCAATGCCATTCAGGACATAGGCATGGGCAAAGACTTTATGACTAAAACACCAAAAGCAATGGCAACAAAATCCAAAATTGACAAGTGGGATCTAATTAAATGAAAGAGCTTCTGCACAGCAAAAGAAACTATCATCAGAGTGAACAGGCAACCTACAAAATGGGAGAAAACTTTTGCAATCTATCCATCTGACAAAGGGGTGATATCCAGAATCTACAAAGAACTTAAATTTACAAGAAAAAAACAACCCCATCAAAAAGTGGGTGAAGGATATGAACGGACGCCTGTCAAAAGAAGACGTTTATGCAGCCAGCAAACATGAAAAAAGCTCATCATCACTGTTCATTAGAGAAATGCAAATCAAAACCGCAATGAGATACCATCTCATGCCAGTTAGAATGGTGATCATTAAAAAGTCAGGAAACAACAGATGCTGGAGAGGATGTGGAGAAATAGGAACACTTTTACACTGTTGGTGGGAGGGTAAATTAGTTCAACCATTGTGGAAGACAGTGTGGCAATTCACCAAGGATCTGGTACTAGAAATACCATTTGACCCAGCAATCCCGTTACTGGGTATATACCCAAAGGATTATAAATGAACTCCCGACCGCAGGTGATCTGCCCGCCTCAGCGTCCAAAGTGCTGGGATTACAGGCGTGAGCCACCATGCCTGGCAATTGCTACAAAGAGAATAAAATACCTAGGAATACAACTTATAAGGACCTCTTCAAGGAGAGCTACAAACCACTGCTCAAGGAAATAAAAGAGGACACAAACAAATGGAAAAACATTGCATGCTCATGGATAGGAAGAATCAATATTGTGAAAATGACCATACTGCCCAAAGTAATTTATAGATTCAGTGCTATCCCCATGAAGCTACCATTGACTTTCTTCACAGAATTGGAAAAAGCTACTTTAAAGTTTAAAAAACTACTATAAAGACACATGCACATGTATGTTTATTGCGGCACTGTTCACAATAGCAAAGACTTGGAACCAACCTAAATGCCCATGAATCATAGACTGGATAAATGAAATGTGGCACATATACACCATGGAATAGTATGCAGCTGTAAAAAAGGATGAATTCATGTCCTTTGCAGGGACATGGATGAAGCTGGAAACCATCATTCTCAGCAAACTAACACAAGAAGAGAAAACCAAACACTGCATGTTCTCACTCGTAAGTGGGAGCTGAACAATGAGAACACATGAACATGGGGCTGGGGGGGCATCACACACTGGGGCCTGATGGGAGGTGGGGGACTGGGGGAGGAGTAGCATTAGGAGAAATACCTAATGTAGATGATGGGTTGATGGGTGCAGCAAACCACCATGGCACGTATATACCTATGTAACAAACCTGCATGTTCTGCACATGTACCCCAGAACTTATAATTTAAAAAAAAAAAAAGAAAGAAAAAGACGAATTCTTGGCTGGACACAGTGGCTCACACCTGTAATCCAAGCACTTTGGGAGGACGAGGTAGGTGGATCACTTCAGGTCAGGAGTTCGAGACCAGCCTGGCCAACATGGTGAAACCCTGTCTCTACCAAAAAATACAAAAATTAGCTGGCGTGGTGGTATGTGCCTGTAGTCCCAGCTACTTGGGAGGCTGAGATGGGAGAATTGCTTAAACCCTGGAGGCGGAGGTTGCAATGAACTAAACATGTGCCACTGCACTCCAGGCTGGGTAACAGAGCGAGACTCTGTCTCAAAAAAAGAAAAAAGAAAAAAAAGAAAAGAAAGAAAAAGACAAATTCTTACATCCATCACAGACCTACTGAAACCCAGTCTGTGGATGAATCCAGAAATCTCTAACAAGCCCCCCATCTGATTCTGTAGTACACACATTTTAGAACCACTGATTTGATCAAATGTAATCTCTTAAAGTCCAGTCCAATTCATCAAGCAGCCAAGGCAGTGGCATCTCTCAAGAGACAATGAGGTCATGATCAGTTTCTCAGTTTCAACTTTGAATTGTGCTTGCATCATCACAGACCTACACCAGTGAACCGTGGAAATCTCACCCCGAGAAAATCCCAGGCAAAAAACTCTGTCAGGAGACTACTGGTTATAAAAATTCTAAGGTTTACTCAGTCATTAAAATTATGCATATATAATAGATTCCTTTCTATTTTCATTGCCAACAGAAAATTGAACATTTGCTTCAACCTTCATGAAATCAAAACTTAGAGAAAAACGATCTTTTTATAAGGAAAATGAGTTATTCCATGTTACTAATTAGATCTTAGCTGTTAAATTTTGGAATGATTAAAATCCTTTTCAATAATTGCAAAATTTGCTTTGATAAAGTCACCCTAGAAGTTGATTATGCAGTGTAGTTTCAAGTTCGTCATGTTGTCTTCTTGGGGACAGCTTTCTGTCTGGGGGTGTCAGTAGTGGCAATCCCCTAAGTGCATGATGGTTGTTGGGTTGATGTAGCCACAAAAGATTTGATAAACTGTGATATGACTGCTTTTATACAGGTCCAACTTCCACATAGACTAGTTAACTCTCTATATAACTAAGTTCCGTCCTTGGCAGATGGATTAATTTGTGAATAATGAATTTCCCTTAGCTACCTCCATACTTCCATTTTGGTTTACTAAATATAGAATCATTTAAGAAATCTGTCCATAATTATTTCCAGTGAATCCACAATTAATAATAACATCAGCCAGTGATATACCAACTTACACAGGGAGCATGTCACATTCTGAACTCTTTGTCAATCCTAATTTACATTCCAGTGAAAATGTGGTAGATGGTGTGTAAGTATGCATATTATAATCCCTTTAGCTCAGAGGTTCTTAACCCTTGCTGTGTCATGAGCCCCTTTGGTATCTTGTGATTCTGCTTATGGATCCCTTCTCAAAATAATGTTACAAGTGTGTTAAATAAAATCCAAAAAGCAATTACATTGAAATACAGTTATCAAAATATGTTTAAAATACAATTGTGGTATAGTAACATATATGCTTCCTTATTATTTTTTGTTTGTTTGTTTGTTTGTCTGTTTTGAGATGGAGTCTTGCTCTTCACCTGGGCTGGAGTGCAGTGGTGCGATCTCAGCTCACTGCAACCTTCACCTCCCTGGTTCAAGCGATTCTCCTGCCTCAGCCTCCTGAGTAGCTGGGATTACAGGCATGCACCACCACCCTGGGCTAATTTTTGTGTTTTTAGTAGAGACGGGGTTTCACCATGTTGGTCAGGCTGGTCTCGAACTCCTGACCTTTTGATCCACCTGCCTCGGCCTCCCAAATTGCTGGGATTACAGGTGTGAGCCACCGCACCCAGCCTATGCTTCCTTATTAATGCCATAAAATAATAAGATCTAGTTGTAGCTCTAATAATGATTATAATTTTTCATTAAGAATGAGCTACTAAATATCATTTCCAAACAAACAATGACAAAAATTATAATGTTAGATGAAAATATTACTGTTCATAGCCTACACTTGTAATATAAGGAAATGCTAAATTTGGTTAGTTTAGTAAAAATAAGAATATTTTTTCCTTGCAAGTTCATGGACCCCCTGAATTCTTTCTATGAATCCTAAGAACCTCTGCCTTCCTTCTGTTAATTTTTAATGAAAATTTAGATTTTAGTCACAAAAACCAAGTTATGCAAAAATAGATTATGAAGGAATATGGGAGAAAAGAAATGAAGTTCCAGTTTTCTCGTGGAATTGGTTGAAAGGCTTTATTCAACATTAAGATATATACACTGTGCATTTTTTTTACTTTCCATTACTTCCTGCTGGAATTAGCATTGTCCTCTTCAATGAGTCACTAATGAACAGCCTGACAAGTATGACTTAATCATACAGCACTTTTAGTCTATGAAACCTACTTAGAATGTTAGCACAAAGTAGAAATACAATGATTAAAGGAGAAACTTATATACTATAATGAAATCTTAGCTCAGAAGAACCTAATTTGCAGCAAGCTTAGGACCTTTAAAATCAGAAGTCCTTTGGGTCTTGTCTTAGCAACTTACTTGTTAAAGGCTCTGGGTGGGGAGGTGGTTGTGAGGCGATATAAGAAAATGAAAAGAAGGAATAAATAAAGTCATGGTTTCACAATGTGAAGTTCAAAAAGGCTATATACCATCACAGGTGTTCAGTACATATACCAAACCTCATATTTACAAGTTGCTAACTGGAATTGCATGATTAGATTGAGTAATCACACGTGTCGGTAAAAAGCTGTAATTACCTAAGAAAAGCATAGCATTTTTGTCTGTGCAGGGCTCACCTATTTCGTATGTCTTTAAAACTTTGACCAATTATAAATCTTTTAGCAAGGTAGAGAGTAAAATCCTATATTTTCTGTGGATGTTGACACATGTAAGTTCCTGATCATTATTTATTAAACAATTAGCTTTAACATGTAAGATGGAATGGGAAAAACATTTAAACCTAATGTGAATTGCCTAGGTATGAGAAGCCTTAGAACTTTGTTAGAAATTTCTGTTTTCCATTTCTCAAATACTGTGACCATAACTCATAGTTTATTTATAAATAGAAAGTGACACTTCATAATACCTGGCAGCTTTCAAAACTAGATTATATCTGTCTTTGCCTGAAGGGCTCCAGTAACACTATTGTACAATATTTTCTTCTGACCATCTGGCAGTTCTTAGGAACCAACCTCTGTCAACATTTTATAGCTACTGCACTGGTTACAGCTAATCCTTTCAATGAATGAGCTGGAAAAAATGTAGATACATCAATATCGTTTTCCTTTAGAGCCCATTTAATACATGCCCTGTTATTATTTTGTTTGATAGGGCCATTATCTTCTGTGAGAATGAAAAGTAATTTGTCAGAAGCATTTTTTTAAATTTAAAGATCAATCTATGTAAATTTTTCTTAAATAAAAGAAACCACAGCTTTTTAAAAAAAGAACCTCAAACATAATCATTAAGAGTCTCAGAAATGGGAACTTAGGGCTTAGATTCCACAAACATTTTTAGCTATTATTTTCTAATCTGGGTTCTAACATGTTTAGTCTAATAACCAAGCCTGGATTGGGCTATTTCTGAGAGGATTTTATGTTAACAGTGGAGTTGACACCTTGGCAAGGTTTAAAAAAAAAAAAAAAGTGTATGTTTCTCTTGTTGTTTGCTTTAAGAAACTAGGAAGCAATTCATTCCAATGTGGGAATTTTTATGAATTTTTCTTCAAAACGATTTGGTACTCTATGGACTTTGAATAACTAATGATTTTAAAGTACTTTATTTTGCAGTTTATGAATAAAAGTTGTGGAAACTTTCCAATGTTCTCATTCTAACCTATCTTTACTTCATAAAAACCCATGTTGGTTGAATAATTTTCTTAGAAAGGCTGTTAGTTATTTCTGTATTCTGAAATTTACATTTATCATTGAATTGAAATGGGAAAAGATATTGATCTTTTTTTCAGATTCAGAGTTTAAAACTCTGCTCATAATAACAGATGATAAAAGAGATTCTCCTCAGCTTCACCATTCCATTACATACCACCACTATCATGAGACCAAGATTTTTTTTTTTATTTTTGATTTTTGTGACAGAGTGTCGCTCTGTTGCCCAGTCTGGAGTCCAGTGGCACCATCATAGCTCACTACACCCTCAAACTCCTGGGCTCAGGTGATCCTCCCACCTCAGCCTTCCGAGTAGCTGGGACTACAGGTGCACACCAGCACACCCAGCTAATTTTTGTATTTTTGGTAGAGAGACAGGGTTTTGCCATGTTGCTAAGGCTGGTTTCAAACTCCTGGGCTCAAGCCATCCTTCGACCTCAGCCTCCCAAGCACTGGGATTACAGATGTAAGCCATGGTGCCTGGCCAAGATCAAGTTTTTGACAGAAACCTTTTCTCTGTAAATGTTTTGCACTTTCATATTTAGGTACCTCAACTTGGGCAAGGTTGTTCAGTTAACATATACAGATACAGACACACACGCATATGTGTCTGTGCACACAAACTGTTCCTAGGTTGTTAGATGAAATTGGTTTGTTATTCCTATAGTTTTTTGGTATCAAAATTAATGTTTAAAATTTCTTTAGAGAGTTTTATGGTGACTTTTAGAAAATGTTTTCCCTTTCTTTTCTATCAGATGGAGATTAAAACTACTACAATTATAGTACAATGTTGAGTAGACTCGGGAATTTATGTAAGATGTGGCTAACAATTTTGATAACTGTACATTAGAGTGTGTCAAGACAATGAGGCTTCTTTGATATTGTCTTTTCTTCTTCTAATTACCAGGTTTCTGTCATATCCTAAATTTAGGGAGGGAATAATATTCATCTCCAAATTAAGTATAACATCTAGCTATATTTTGATACTTTTTAGTTGATACATATAATATAACCAATATCAGTTAAAAAGTACCAAAATATAGCCAGATGTTTTACTTAATATATATAAAGGTATGCCATTACTCTTTTAGAAAAAGTCATATGGTGGCTCACGCCTGTAATCCCAGCACTTTGGGAGGCCAAGATGGGCAGATCACCTGAGGTGAGGAGTTTGAGACCAGCCTGACCAACATGGAGAAACCCCATCTCTACTAAAAATACAAAATTAGCCAGGCATGGTGGTACATGCCTCTAATTCCAGCTACTCGGGAGGCTGAGGCAGGAGAATTGCTTGAACCCTGGAGGCGGAGGTTGCGGTGAGCCAAGATTGCGCCATTGCACTCCAGCCTGGGCAACAAGAGTGAAACTCTGTCTCAAAAAAATAATGATAATTAATAAATAAATAATAAATAACAAAATTTTAAAAAATCATAAAATTGGAAGAAACCTAAAGAGGTCGCTAGTATAATTTATTTTCTTGGAGATACTATGTTTCTGGTAAGAGGAAAGCTATAGCCTCTGTTCTCACATGTAGTGACTTTTGTTATCAAATAATTCCATATAGGTAAATAAACTCTTTCTTACTATTCTCTAAATTCCATTCATTATTTTATTTTTTTCTTGCTCTAAGACATTGAATACCTTTGTTTTTTTAAGTTATTTTTAAAACCAGAAGATTTAAACTTAATATTAAACATTTCCTCTCAATTCTCTTAATTACTTTTTAATTTTTCCTACTAAGAAGGACAGTTTGGAAAACACAAAGCTAAAAGGAAAAGTAATCATGATTCCATGTCTAGAGGTAATAGCTTAACATATGTCCTTTGATTGTTTTTTCTCTATATCTGTACTTTTTAAGTTGTGTTTTACAAAAATGATACCATATTGCATATGCTATATTGTAGTCTGCTTTTTAAAAATATATTTATTTATTTATTTATTTGAGACAGGGTCTCACTCTGTCACCCAGGCTGGAGTGTAGTGGTGCCATCTCAGTTCACTGCAACCTCCACCTTTCAGGCTCAAGCGATCCTCCCACCTCAGCCTCTCTAGTAGCTGGGACTACAGGTGCACACCCCCACACCTGGCTGATTTTTGTGTTTTTTGTAGAGATGGGGTTTCACCATGTTGCCCAGTCTCGAACTCCTGAGCTCTAGCTCCCAAAGTGCTGGTATTAGAAGCATGAGCCACCATGCCTGGCCCTGCTTTTAGAAAATTTATTAGCCAATTTTGATAATAAACATTCCTCCACCTATTATTTTTAATGACTACCTAGTATTCTATAGTGTGAATGCACCATAATTTACTCAACCTGTTTTCCAACATTTTTATTAAGAGAACAACAAAAATGTTAAAATAATTTTATAGTAAACACACATATATCCACCATTTAGATTTTACAACTAACATCTTATTATACTTGCTATTAGTCTGTTCTCACACTGCTCTAAAGAACTACCTGAGACTGGGTAATTTATGAAGAAAAGAGATTTAATTGACTCACAGTTCCACAAGCTTAACAGGAAGTATGACTGGGAGGCTTCAGGAAACTTACAATCATGGCGGAAAGTGAAGGGGAAGCAAGCACGTCTTACTACGGCAGAGCTGGAGAGAGAGAGAACAAGGGAGGAAGTGCCACACTTTAAACTATCAGATCTCATGAGAACTCCCTCACAAACATGAGAATAGCATGAGGAAAATTCGCATCCACGATCCAGTGACCTCCCACCAGGTCCCTCCCCTGACACCTGGGGATTACAATTCGACATGAGATTTGGGTGGGGACACAGAGACAAATCGTATCACCTGTTTTATCACATACCAGTCAAACTAGCTATCTCTCCATTATTTTTTGTGTATTGCCAAGTAAGTGGTAGTCATTAGTATATTCCTCTCACCCAAGTATTTAAGCATCATTAACCAGAGTTCAGTATGTGCTTATGTACCCAACCTATATATACACACACACACACATATATAGATACACACACATATATATATGTGTTTATATATATCTTTGTTTTTTGAGACAGAGACTTGCTTTGTCACCCAGGCTGGAGTGCAGCAGCATGATCTTGGCTCACTGCAGCCTCTGCCTCCTGGCTTCAAGCAATTCTCGTGCCTCAGCCTCCTGAGTAGCTGGGATTACGACATGTGCCACCACACCTGGCTAATATTTTGTATTTTTTTAGTAGAGACAGGGTTTCACCATGTTGGCCAGGCTGGTCTTGAACTCCTGGCCTCAAGTGATCCACCCACCTTGGCCTCCCAAAGTGCTGAGATTACAGGCATGAGCCACCAACTGGACCCCCAACCTATATTTTAAAGGATTCTTTTACATTTATTAATTATACATATTTATTAATATAACTGGATCAGCTATATATTGCCACACAACAAAATACCCCAAAATTTAGTGGCTGAAAACAAACAAATACTTTATTTGCTTTTGATTCTGTGGGTCAGCAACATAGGCTAAGGTCAGCTGAGTGATTTTTCTGCTTACTTCACTAGAGTTTTTCATGCAATAATAGTCATCTGGCCATTCCACCAAGGCTGGATGGAGAAAGATGGTCTCACTTGATAAATTCCTGGAATTGGAGTTACTTAATAAAAAGGTATACATACACATAGTCAAATTGCCCTCTTTAATTATTTAAAATGTATTCCCCTGCCCCAGATTCTATTTGCATTCTTTCAATTCAAAGTCAGTAATTTTTTGAGATGCTGGCTGGATTCATTTTAATGAATATATTGAGTATCTCTTGGCTAGGTATTGAGAAGGATACAAGAGAAAGAAATACAAGATATTGACTGTTCTTCAGGAATTTATAATCTAGTTGTGTAGATAACACCAACACTAATAAGATGGTCAAACTGAATTATAAGACCTGGTACAGTTGTCAAATTGCTTACCTCTTTCTCCTCTTCTCACAGGACAGGCTATGTTAATTACTTGACATCTAATAAGTATTCAGTAAATAATTGTTTAGTGTTTATCACTGAATTTAAGAGAAGCTCTGAGTTAAAGTCCTCTAGATGAGGGGTTTTGTTAAAGAGGTGGGCCTTGATATGGCCCTTGAATTAGAGGTACAATTTAGAATTAGATCAAGGAAAGGAATACAGATTTAGTAATCATTTTCTTAAAATCTGTTTTATTTTGTATGTATGGCTAGAAATTACTTTTCTTGTTTGTTTACTATAAACACAAGACTATCTGCTAAATATTTCCCTACTGAGTTCATAACTAAGATTGCCAAAGTGCTTGTTTCACTACCATATTTTAATTTCTGACCATCCTTTATCATACAAGGTGTGACTAGAAGGGAAACAACCAATTTTCTCAAACAAATTCAGAAACCCTTATCTGAAAACCCCATGTAGTAGGGTAATTCAGAGTCGGAAGATTTTCAACATATTGGAGGAAATAGTTAAGGGAGGGTTGTGGGTATAAGCAAACCTATGAAAGCCAATCTGGTTTTTTTTTTTTTTTTAACATTTTTAAAGTAAAATATCAATTTGGGCACCCTAAATACACATAGTAAAATAGTTACAATGAGATTCTGAACCATTAATATACATTTACTATTTTTTCACTGTAAACTTTCAGGATCTCCATCTTCCTTGATTTCCACTCTATGCTTAGAAGTTCAGGTTGCCTTGTTGCTGAGGGTGCTTATACTAAAGGTTTTTGCTTTTTTCCTGAATGTAATTGTCAGTCCTCCAGGAAATTTTATGACACAGAGTTGTTGACTTCCATTATCTGATTCCCACTATGGTCTCAGAGTCAAAGAAAACTGAACAAATAGGCTGTTTGTGGCTCACTTTCGTTAACCAACCTGAACAAGTATTTCTTTCTGCCTATTTCAACGTGTTATTTTCCCTTAGTTCCAAATGGAGTGCCATCAGTCCCTGATGAACTGAGATAAAAAGTTGAGGACATGCAATTACAAGGCCCTCATATACTTTTTCTCACCTTCTGTCTGTCTTCCAAAAATTCATGGTAATAATTCTGTTCTCTTCTCCTTTATTTCCCTGCTCTTTTTCTTAATTATTTGTGTAATAGGGAGACAAAAACTCTTGAGGATGAAGAAGCCGTAAATAAAAGTGAATTTCACTTAAGGGGAAATCAAGGTTGAGAAATTATTATTATATAGTGGCACTTATCCATACAGATGAGTGTTGCCCTCTTCACATTTTTTATCTTAGCTCAACTGTGCTGCTGTTGCTCAAAGTATGTTTTTGTTATGGCCTTTACAAACTGTAGCACATTTTTTTGAACATACTTGGTGGTGGCATGTCTTTCTTGAGGGTGAGTTTTGTTTTGTAAACAAGTTATCTACAATCAAAATTGGTGATTTTGGCAGATGGAATCACACTGCATAATATGTCTACCCATATACACGTTCATATACACACAGGTATATCATCACACATACATAAAGTAATGAGAATAACTCAGAGTTTGTATATCATTGAAAAAGTGTAGTTTCCTAAGTGTTTGGGGACAACATTTTTTATTTTTAAGAATCAAAAAGAACTGAAAGAGCCTTGGAGGTCATTTATTTCAATACCTCAAGGAAACTAAGACACAGAACAAGAAAATGACTTGTCAAAGTCTCATGGGCAGTGATTGCGAACTCCTTAGATTTCAGTTTCTTTGTTGATGATCACATATCTTGCTTGTCCTAATTCCTTTGAGAGTGAGTGCTGAGGGAATACAGATTAGAGTCTTGCATGTAGAGATTCCTAAGAAATTATTATGTTGGCATAGAAGGAAAAAAACCACTCATACATAGAGCTTCTTTAAAATATTTTAAAAGCTCCAAATTCTATTGATAGAATTATAATAATCTATAGGCAAAATTTCCTTTCAATCAGAAAAATACTAAAGAAAGTAAGAATTCTATATAGTTCATGAACCATTTGAATAATTTGAGCCTGCACCTAATAATTCCTGAGTATTGTTCAAAATGAACTACTCCAGGAACGTCAGTTAAATGTTTTTGTGTTTTGTGAGTGTTTGTGGCTATGTTTTCAAGCATGTTTCTTTTACAAAATCAGCTGTCTACTACTTTCCCCAATCTGGACTTCTAAAATAGCCACTAAAGTATTAGCCAAAAGTGATCCCCATTGCTGTCATAAACTATGTATCTGAAATACCTATTTTGTTTGGAAAAGAAAACAGCTCATGAGGAAATTAAGTGATAATATATGATCATTCAGAGAAATGGATTGGCTGAAACGATTACCTCTCAAAATGACAAATATCTTTTTCCATTTAAATAACCTAGTCAATCTAACATTTAGAGAGTCAAAGGTCTTTTAGACCTTATGATTCCCACTCAATGTTGGAAGAGGCTGGAGTGATGGCATTCAAACACCAGATCCACAGACTGGTACTAGCCTATGACAAGGAGTCTGTGACAGCATTTTAGCCTATCAGTAGTGAAATGAGGAAAAAGAAGATGATATGGTGAGCTTATTAGAAAACTAAATATATCCAGCTTTTTATTATTTAAATATCATTTTTGAAATGGTAGTGATAATAGATATTTTTTGTTGTTTGTTTTTATCATGTTCTTACCTTAGCAAAGGTGAATCCCCAAACTTAAAAAGTCATCCAATTCAATGTTCTACCCTTTCAGAATATAAACAAAGTGCCTGCTATAGAATTTGAGTTATTTTATAAAAGTAGAATAAATGACTTAGAAATTTCTTAATGTGACCCCCCCCCCACCAAGATTACTGTGAGAGTTCAGTTTATCTATAGTTTATCATTAAAAGTTTACTGCAGCTGGTTCTATGCAGTGATTCCCTACCCGCCCTTCCATTTTCATGACCGTCTTGAACCTTTCATTGAAGCTCAGGCTGCTTAGGTAGAGTCTGAATTGTTTTGTCAGTATTAGTAGCTCATAATCAACATTGTGATTTGTCACATAACACCTCTAACTGCACTATTCTATGGTTTCAAGAAGTTATTTTGGTAGCAGTTCCTTTATGATCAGAAGGAACATTTTGCTACAATAGGAAATGCATTCTGTGCAGACAGGCTGCAAATTCCCATGACAGGGCAGGCTCATCTGTCAAAGAATATTTTTTATTCCCATTTACCTCTTTGATTACATTCAGAATGCCCCAGTAATGCTGATGAGATCATTCTAACTCTTAAGAACATTTTCCTCATGTTTTCTATCATCTCCAATAACATTAAAATGTTTATCACAGTGGAAATGGTAGAGAAATCTCTGTTTTTCTCTTTAGGAAGCTAATTTGGGGAAGGAAGGTTGGTATATGAATGTCTAAAAAGTATTTTTTAAATTATCAGTACCAGTGTTTATTATTTAACTGAACACTAAATTGCTCTTGCATGTGTCGCATTTGCATATACTATGGTTTCTAGTAGTGAACATAAAAGCACCAGTGATTTACTCAAAAAAAGATATTTTCTATTTATTTTCAATTCTACCTATACTATATTGAAAGACTAGGAAATACTATGAATTATTGATATGTTTTTTAGTGAAATATGGTGTTTTATGTACCATAATGAAAACCAAAATAGGTAAACACTTGGTTACAGTGATTTAAGTGCAGAAATGTGTAATTGATGCAATTAGGTGCTTCATTGGCTTTTTAAATGAAGTCTGTATTTCTGCATATGTAATTATAATTTGAATATATTCTGATTTTTTGTCCTCTACTTTTTTCCAAGTTATAGTGTTATATATGCTCATTACTTTATTTTTAAAAAACTTTTTATTATGAAATGTAAACGATTCAAAAAAGTAAAGAAAATAGTATAGTGAGAGCAATATACCCATTACCCAATATACCCATTAGCATGACTGATCTTATTCCACTTATATCTCCATTCACCACCCTTCTCCCACCACTAGATTATGTAAAATCACATACCAGGTATAATTTTATCCTTAAATACTTTCATATGTAAACTGTATACCAATAGATATTTAAAATATATTTTCCTTTTTTTTTTTTTTTTTTTTGAGACGGAGTCTTGCTCCGTCGCCCAGGCTGGAGTGCAGTGGCAGCATCTCGGCTCACTGCAAGCTCCGCCTCCCGGGTTCACGCCATTCTCCTGCCTCAGCCTCCCAAGTAGCTGGGACTACAGGCACCCACCACCGCGCCTGGCTAATTTTTTGTATTTTTAGTAGAGACGGGGTTTCACCGTGTTAGCCAAGATGGTCTCGATCTCCTGACCTCGTGATCAGCCCACCTCGGCCTCCCAAAGTGCTGGGATTACAGGCATGAGCCACCGCACCCAGCCTATTTTCCTTTTTTGTACTTTTAAGTTTTATTTTTTTAAAATTGACAAATAATAATTGTACTTATTTATGGGGCACCTATTGACATTTCAATACATGTAATGTATAGTAATCAGATCAGGTATTATCGTATCCATCATCTCAAACATTTATCGTTTTCTTGTGTTGGGAACATTCAGTATCCCTTTCTAGCTATTTGAAACTATATAATGTATTATAAAATATATTTTCTTCATACCATCAAATATTCAAAGAGTTAAGTTTTCCTCCCTCTTGATTATCTCTCTCTCTTTCTCTTTTTGACAATTTGTTTGAATCTGGATCCAATCAGAATCCACTGTATTTGGCTGATATTTCTCCTGAATCCTTAAACTTAGGTTTCCTCCTCCTCCCTCTTTTATTTTCTTACCAGTCATTTTTGAAGAAAACAGGGTCATTTGTCCTGTAAAATTCCCATATTCTGGATTTTGCTGATTATATTCCCTTGTGGGTATTGCTAATAGGTGCCTCTAAGCTGTTAGTTTCAGTATTTTAAGATTATTTTCCAGTTTTTACTTTGAATGTAAATCTCAACATGTCTTCATTTTTCTATTCAAGTAATTTAAATCTCTATTCAAGTCCAATCCAAAATCTACCTTTTTCTTGCCATACCAGTCAATCACTTTTGCAGTATTTTAAAAGAAGATTGCACATGAAAAGATTGCTTTTCCACTTGTTCCTAGACCTCAAAGAGAGATTAATTGAAAGACATATACTGTAGCTCGTGTCCTAAGAAAGTTGATCTCACCGAAGTAGAGGGTAGAATGGCGATTGCCAGAGACTGGGGTGGTTAATGTGGAGGGAGAATGGGAAGATGTTGGTCAAAGAACACATAATTACAGTTAAATAGGAGGAATAAGTTCAAGAGACATACTGTACAGTGTGGTTACCATAGTTAATGGTGATATATTGTATTTTTGAAAAATGCAGAGTGGATGTTAAGTGCTGTTATCACAAAAATGATAACCATGTGAGGTAATCCGTTTGTTAATTAGCTAACTATTCCATAGGTGTATATACACAATTGTCTGTCAATTTTTAAATAAAACACTTTTTAACAGAAAAAATAGGAGCTTAATCAATAAAAAATTTAGTTTATTAAGTTATGCCACATGTGAGTGGCATAGACTGCTACAAGGAATATAAAGGCCATTTTAATCCCTGTGGGTAAAAGTCTTCAAAAGTGACTCCTAATGTGGCCATAAATTCTTCATTACTAAGTGCTTCTTGACCATTGCAATTTTATAGGATTTGATTTCTGAAATTACAAACTTTGTTCTGATGAACTCATTCTCTCCTCTTCATAACTGTTCTAATTTAGTGTTTTTCTGCTTGCTATGGAGGGATGGAGGAGAAATGGCTCATTTCCAGAAGGGTGGATTGGAATCACTCATAGGGCTCTTAACGCCTCCTGCTGAATTGATGATTACTGTTGCAGTGACCCACTGCTACTGATGGAATTACAAAACATCTTTCAGATGTGCTGGGGTGGAAAAACAGTTGAAAACCATTGTCAAGAGTCTCTGTAAGACTTTCATGACAAAGTTGCTGTATAAAGTTGTAATATACCTAGTTGACTTTCAAAGGCATCTTAGCCTAAGGCATTGACTGTCAAGAAAATAAAAAGGTCACAGAACATAATGACCTCTTTTTCCCCACTAAGGAAGGAGGTTTATATTATATACCTTGATTATTAGTGAAGAGGCTACATTTCTGAATATAGAAATGTGTTCATTGAGAAGAGATTTATTGAGCATCTATTTAACTGCATTGTGTAAGTCTCTGAGGAAAAAAGGAAATAAAAGTGTAAAGTGTCTCTTGGTTCCATGAGAGCTTATAGTCTATTAATAGTTGAAGAGAAAGGCATATAGGGTTAAAAGAGTTAAATAAAAATGAAAGATACTATTAGATTAAGCATTAGAATTTGGGATGATAAAGTCTTAAGGAAGCAGAATAAAGGGAAGAATAAGGACCAAATAGGATTTCTGAAGAAGTCTGGGGTGTCTCCTATTTGGGAGGTGGCACTTTTATCATGTGAAGTGGAATGGATGACCCTCTCCAAAACCTCTAAGTTTCCTCCATATTTGTGATTCATACTAGAATATTATCAAAATCTAAAGTTTCGATGGACAAAAACTGTCAGTATGACCAAAATAATGTAACCCTTTCAACTAAACTGACAAGCTACATTTGCAACATATTTGCCAAAAATAAATGAAATATCTCAAAGTAAAAATAAGTATCAGCAGTAAGCCCCAATTGTGTCATTGTTTAAATGAAGTTAAAAATATATAAGAGTTCTTAAACTTTTTGTGTTGAGTCTGTAGAGAATTGATGAAACATATAGAACTCTTCTCCTGAAAAATACTTATATTTACATACAGAATATTGTACATATTTCAGGGATTCATGGACCCTTTAAAACGGATCCATAGACTCAATTTTTGAGAATTTTGACATATAAGAATAAAACAGAATCAAACTTTCTAATCTCCCTCAAGTCATGAGAATGGAAGGGCTTAAAGCTATAGACATTTAACAAATTGGGCCCAAGAAACAGTGTTAGTGGGCAGAATAAAGAGAAGTAGATAGAGAAGGGCTTATCAGAGCAAAAGCAGGAGTGGTCCAGGGAGGATAATAGTCTCAAGATAGTATCTGAGATTGGGTTTTCTTATTCCCAATATGTTCCTGAAGGCATATTCTATGGTTAGGCTGAGTCCATTTAAAGAGTATCTACTCAGGGCTGGGCATGGTGGCTCATGCCTGTAATCCCAGCACTTTGGGAGGCTGAGGTGGGTGGATCACCCGAGGTCAGGAGTTGGAGACCAACCTGGCCAACATGGTGAAACCCCATCTCTACTTAAAATACAAAAAATTAGCTGGGTGTGGTGGTACACACCTGTAATCCCAGCTACTCGGGAGGGTGAGGCAGGAGAATCACTTGAACCTGGGAGGCAGAGGTGGCAGTGAGCCGAGATCGTGCCATTGCACTCCAGACTGGGGGACAAGAGCAAGACTTTGTCCCCAAAAGAAAAAAAAAAAAAGTATCTACCCAGATACTTTTAGGAGAATACAGAACAATTTTGACTACAATTAATAGTGAAAAAATGAAGAAATTACAAAGTAAGTCACATTATTCCTAGCAGTTTTAATTTAAGAACTCGTGTTCTGGAACACCCACAAAAGGGAGTTTAAATAATATTTTCTTCAGCCCTTTAAGCATGGTGTATTAGGCCATTTTTGCACTTCTATAAAGAAATACCTAAGAGTGGGTAATTTATAAAGAAAAGAGGTTTAATTGGCTCATGGTTGTGCAGGCTTTACAGGAAGCATGGTGCCGGCATCTGCTTGGCTTCTAGAGAGGCCTCAGGAAGCTTCCAATCATGGTGGAAGGTGAAGGGGAGCAGGCACATCACATGGCAAAAGCAGGAGCAAATGAGGTTGGGGGAGGTGCCACACACTTTTAAATGACCAGCTCTTGTGTGAACTCAGAGCAAGAGCTCACTTATCACCAAAGAGATGGTCCACGCCATTTGTGAGGGATCTGCCCCCATGATTCAAACACCTCCCACCAGGCCCCACCTCCAGTATTGTGGATCTCAACATGAGATTTCAGTGGGGAAACATCCAAACTATATCATCTGGGTAACTTTCTAATAAACTATGTATGTGATGTCAAATGTAATTACCATATGTAATTTTAAATTTTAAAAGCCTTTTACTTAACTTTTATGCACTGGAATTGTGTTTTAAACCTAACAGGAAGCCGTTATCATTAGAATGATCAAAACCTGATAATAGTAAACAAAAGAGAAAGTTAATTTATGGGAATAATCATTCGGGCAATAGAATAACCAGCATATATTGCTGTCTTAAAGGGGAGTAGCTGTCAACATGTGTTACTAATAGTTAAAGGTTTCCAGAAAATTTTCAGTATCTCCCTGCCAATCAATAAAGATAGCATCACACTCATCACCATAGCTTTAGTTGTCAGAAATGGTGTATTTATTGACTAAATGCAGCACTTTGAAAAGGCAAAAAGGAGAGTTAACTTTGAGGAAGTAGTGATTACGGAATTTCAGTAGCAGTAATTTCCTCTCACTCTGAATAATATTACAGTTATGGATATTTCCCTATTCTTAGGACTAAATACTTATTTAGTAGTTATATAACTTTGGAAATACAGCACAATACTTTATTAGTTCCTATCATTAAAAGGTCCATGAATAGAAAATGGCTTACTTGCATTTGGACCAGCCCACCAAAAAATCAACATTGGCCAAATGCAGATGAAAGGTTGATTCTGGAGTTTAAATGCAGAGTTTATTAAGTAACATGTTTATTAAATTATAACAGGGACTCAAAAGTGATATAAAAACTCATTGAACTGATAACTAGTAAGACTATTTTAATTATTGTTAAGCTTACTTTTCAATCCCCCTCCTTTCCTTCCTCTTTTTCTCTCTCACTCATTAACGTCATTGACTTTTAAAGCCTAAGTCAAGATTTTCTCTAGACTTGAATAGGTCTTTGCCAGTCTACAATTTCTGTTGTCTGCATACACATTTCTTCCAGATACATTGTCTGGCAATATGGGTAATGGTGAAAGGAAAAGATGAATGGGTAGAAGAATATAGGAATCTATGGTATTCTCTTAAATTTACATGAGATTTCAATGAGTCTTTTGGGGAGCAGTAAAAGATTTCTGTATTTGACATTATTTTGGTAACATGGAAATGTCACTGACAGAAAATTTTAACTCTTATGTTTGTTTTTTATTTATGTAATTAGCATTTGCCTGTCTACTATATGCAGCAGTCAGCTGGTATACAGCAGAACAAGGATACCAGTTGTTAAAATACTGAAATATTTCCTTACTGGTAGAGAAATGGCACTTTCTTGAATGCCATACCCCACCTCTCAGGCTCTGGAAGTCCTAGATCCTCCTCCAGAAACCTCCAGATCTCCCTGTGACCCAGAAAATAAAAGGAAAATGAATAGCACAGCAGCAGGACTTCAGGACCCTCATCTAGTGCCAGGGCAACATCATTCTGATTGGTCAGGACTGTATGCTGTGCCAGTTGTTAAAATATTTAATATTTAATATTACCTTTGGCTATATGCAAAGCACTGTGTTTAACTCATCAGGAAATAAAAAGGTGAATAAGTCACATCCCCTGCTCTCAAGGAGCTCACAGATGAATCAGTAGTAATAATTATACCAACGGCTGACATTTACTGAGCACTTACTAGCAGCATTGTTCTAAGTACTTCTCATATATCATCTCATTAACCCTCATGATATCCTTAGGAGTTTATTTTCTCTTTTACAGAGGAGAAATCTTAGACATAGGGAGATTAAGTCCATATCAGCCAGTCTGACTCCTTAAAGAGTATTGGAGGAAGCACGTGGAGTTCTAATTTGTCACTAGTCATGTGATCCCCTTGGTTTTCACGTCCGTCTCTATGGAATGAAGAGGTTCAATTACATGATGTCTAACAGTCTTAAAAACCTGTTATTCCATAACAGTGATAAGACAAATATTAATTAAAGGCAGAAATCATAAGCATAACTCAAGGCAGAATATGAAAAGCCCTATAAAATAGATAAATACAAATGTAGAAGGGGCTATACATAATTTGTTTCCAGAAAACCTATAATGCTTTTCTTTCTCCCATTTCTCCTTTTCAATTAAAATAATTCTTAGAAAAAAGATCACACATAGTTTCTTTTGAAAGGTTGTATTTGGACTAGATATTGAAAGTGAAAAACAGAAGAGAGGGCATTTTGGGCAAAGAGGATAGCATGAACCAGTAAGTGTTTCACAGGGGAAGAGAGAGATGGGTTTATGGAAACTTGAGTGTCTTCCCTGTGCCAGGGACTGTGTTAAGTGTAAGGAACACAAAACTGACTGAAATACAGTTCCTGTCTGGTGAGAATGACGGAGAAGTAAACCAACAGTAATGATACTGTGACTGGGGAACAGTTGCATTGCATTCTTCATATTTGTCGAAGGCACATATTTATTGAATGTGCCTGTTTTCCAGGCACATGGAAGATGCTGGAGATACACCAGAGAGCAAAACGGACCAAAATCTCTGCCTTCATGAAGGCTATACTCTTATGAGCAAGATAAGCAGAACATAAATAAATAAAATATAGAGTATAACAGATGGTGATAAGTGCATTGGAGAAAAACAAGGCAAGGAAGGGGATGAAATCTGCTGGAGTTGAGAGAAATGAGTTGCAATTTTAAATACAGAGGTCAAGAAAAGCCTCATTGAGGAGACATTTGAATAAAATGCTGAAAGCCACAAAGAGGTAGCAAGTCCTGTGACTCTAGAGTGAAAGATGTTCCAAGCAGAAAGCTGTGTCCCCTCCAGAGTCTTGTCTCAGTATGCTTCACACACACCAGCAATTTGCTTCTTTTTCTTTTGCATCATCAGTCTGCTACTACTGTCCCGTGCACCACCCAGTCTGCTACTACTGACCCTTATTCACTCTAACCAGCTCTTTGGTCTCCTTGCTTTTTTTTTTTTTTTTTTTTTTTTGAGACAGGGTCTTGCTCTGTTGCCCAGGCTAGAGTGCAGTGGTGACATCATAGCTCACCTGGGCTCAAGCAATCCTGCCATCTCTGCCACCTGAGTAGTTGGGACTACAGGTGCACCCCACACCCGGCTAATTTTTAAAAATTATTTTAGAGATAGGGTCTTGCTATGTTGCCCAGGCTGGTGGCAAACTTCTGGCCTCAAGTGATCCCCCGACCTCAGCCTCCCAAAGCATTGGGATTACAGGTTGAATTACTATGCCCTGCCTGGTTTCCTTGCTATTCCATTAACATGCCAGATGACTTTCACATCAGGGGGTTTGCATTTGGCTGGTATATAGAGAATGAATTAGAAAGATGTAAGTCCAAAGTCAGAGAAACCATTTGGGGCCGGGGAAGAGCAATAATCAAGGTTAAAGATGATTAGCAACTGAATTACGGCTATGGCCAGGGGAATCAAGAAAAGTAGACAGATTGAGAGAGATTTAGAAGGAAAAAAATTACTAGAACTTGGTGACTGCTTGGATATGGTAACCAAAGGAGAATGGAGACGCAAGATAATTCCCAGGTTTCTGCCTTGGGTAGCTGGCAGGATGATGATGCAGTTCACTGAGGAGGGTACAGTTTTGGAGGCATTTAGGTGAGATGATGGATGTGGTTTGGGGAATATTACATTTGAGGGGCATTGGGCATGATTTGAGTTGGTATACCATACAGATTAATTTCTTGTCAATATTTTTAAAGTATTGTAATGTGTTTTTTTAACCACACCCTATAATTTAAGTAACAATAGGATCTCCAGAATGAGAATAATAGGGGGACCCATAGAGAGATGGCCTCTCAAAGGCAGTAGCCTTTTAGTGGGCTCTGAAAGATGAGAGATGCCAACTGTGCAGTTAGGGAAGACTCCAGGCAGAGGCACAGCAGACATGCAGGCATTCATCCCATGTCACCAAAACATCCAGTATGTTTTCAGCAAATGCTGAAAACTGAATTACAGCCTATTCTCTGTCCCTTGCTCTCCCTCTAGTTTCCCTAGATCAGGGTGGAAACTCTCCATCCAGCCAACCGTGCACTTCAAAAACCCAGAGGTCAGCCTGGACACCTCTTCTCCCCCGACCTCCAGTCATAAGTCCTGTGGATTGTCCTTGAAATCTGACTGTCACTCTGCTCCCTTCTGTCCTAGCTGCCATCTTCTGTCTCTTGAACTGTGCAGCAGCCCCCTGCCGGTGCCCTGCTTTCATTCTTGTGCTCTTCCAACCCAATCTCCATATTCAGCTGAGTGATCTTTGAAAAACACAAGTTTGCTCCTGTCATTCCCTGTTGCAATGTATTTTTACAAACACATCCTAAGATAGTTAGTCACGTACCAACTTTTAGACCTTTAAAAATTGCATTTATCTGCCAAGCAATTGTTCCCCATGGAAGAAGAGCTCTAGTGACTACTTTGTTCCTTTGTTGTCTCTAATTTTAATATTCCAAAACCCACATTTTTTTTTACAATTGTCATTTGATTTAGATGACTTAAAAGCTTTTTATTACAAGCCATATATATACTAATAGAACAACCTTTAACAATATATTTTTTTGATTCACCAGAAAAGGTGATCATTTCTTGATCACAAGCAGTAAGGTTTCTTGTCCTCAGCTCAACCTCATTATAACTATATATTTGAACAAACTAAGATATCCTCTGAACTGAGTCACCTCATCCCAGGGTTCAACTGACATGGGGAATTACCTTATTTTAGTCAGAAAGCCTTAATTAGATTAGGTTGGCCTTTCTGAACTTTATGTGTTGCTACATACAGGAGTTAAAAACCTTGATCTACACATATCACACAAATCAGGAGAAAACGAAAGCAGAAATGAGCTCATGTTTCTATATGCAGCTGCTTTGATGAAGACATTTCAAATAGAAACCAGAAAACCAAAAGCACAAAACTGAGGAGATAATAGCCAATGAAGGGGAGAAGTGATTAATTCAGATCAGGAAAAAAAGCTGCAGAGTTCAAAGAGACTATGATGAAATTATTAGGGGCTGTTGGAGATGTAATCCATATCTCCTTGTCACATGTGTCCTACGTGATAGTGCCGTGAATGTCATGGGATAAAATTAGTGCCTTACAAAATAAACATGTTTAAACTTTGTGAAAAATACCCACACAAGAGACTGATATACATACATTCAGAGGTGGACACATTTGTCTCTAGAGGGAAATTCATCTGCTATGTGGTGAGAGCAGCTGATAATCAGGAAACTCAAAGTCACATTCTAGCAGAAACTTTTATTAATATTGACCCATAACTGTGGCTCTGCAGGAGTTTTTAATCTCATTGTATTTATGTAGTGTCTTTTGTAATATGATAACACATTTCAAAATTATTATTGTTGAATTGCCAACAAAATGCATCCTAAACACACACTCCTTAGGTAAGGGAAGAGACCCCATGTATGCTGTCCTCTGCTATTGGAAACAAGTTAAAAAAGAGTTATCCAGTAATCTTTTTCTTAAAAACAGTCACAACATCTTGATGATACTGATTCAATTGTAAATTATTTTGGAATAATTCAAACTATAAAAGCTCTAATCTTCAAGATGGGAGGCTTGAATGTGGGAATGTAAGCACAGATGTTTATCTAATTTTATCCAATAGTTTATACTGCACGATGGGCTCACTGAGCCATATTTCCTCACTTTGAAGTTACCTGGAGTTCTACCTGGTCACAGGCTTGCCTGATTTATGTGAGTGAGGAAGGAAAACCACTTAAATGAAGAGTGTGGCTTTAAAGAATATAGTGCATTTTCTCTGAGTGAGCATTCGTGACTTCTGCAGGAAGGTAGATGATATTGGACAACAGATTACTTTGTTTTGATTGAAGATTGAATTAATATTACAATACCAATGCTTTGTCTGTTCGCAGGCAACGAATAAATGAGTGTGTGATACTGAAATGAAAAAAATAGGATATAGATGGCTTATGTAAGAGCCAAATATAGCAGAAGCATACAACTATCAAACTTTATTCAGACATCAAGAAAGCATCATATCTGAGCTATTCTTTTCATCTCCTTCCTGTTTCTTTGTATACACTTCTAGTAGTTAAACTGATTTTAATGGATGAATTTTCATTTAAAAGTAAAAAATGATGTTCTCTGCTTCAAGCAGCAGGTGTGTTTTTAATCTTTAATAGGTCACCTTCCCAAGTGCAAGCAGGCAAGCTGTTATTGATCAAAGAGGTTTTGTTGGGTAGCTCTCAGATTATTGAGTGACAAACTTTATTGAATTTGACTTAACAGAAGTCAGAAGACAGCTGAAGCATAAGAGCTTGCACTGCCATCAGAGTCATTTTACGACAGCCAGGGAGCAAAGCTCAGAGATGGATACTGAGCTTTTTGCTGGCCCTTGGAGATTAACTGAACAGCCTTCCTACCAATTCCCAAGCCTGTCAGCAGAACCAATTAGATTTTCAACCAGTAGACAAGAAGGGTGGCACTTGGGGACCTTTTTGCTTTAGGTCGAAGGCTTTTCAGACTGCGATGAGATGACATTGATGATGACACGTTGAGCATTGGTTGGTTTTAAGACAAGTTAAATTAGCAGTCTTGAAATGATTCCAACTGTCTCCTGACTTCTCACTGTTGCCATATTCAGTGGATCCTGTCAGGAGCAAGTTGATGACTTAATAGTCTTTCTTGAGTGGATTTGAGCACTTTGGCTGTGTGTTTATGTGTAGTTGTCATGCTTAAAATATTCATATGAAGGTTTGAAATATTTATTTGAAGGCGCCTTCTGCAGAGTTCAGCAGTAAGGCTCTCAGTGCTTCTACCTACTTTTTATTTTTTATTTTTTGCTTCTCTAAGCAGTTATTTTGTACAACTACCTTTTATTCTATTTCATGTATAATTGATGACAATGTTTCATGTAATTATTGATAACTTCATTTATGATAAACTTAAAAAGCCTTTCTGACATCATGCATTTCTCCCAGACTACTGTAAATTCAGATCTACTCATAAATAGTTTGGAAATCACTGGGGATTAGGAAGGGCACTATTGTTTTTATTCTGTGACCTTTGGTCCAAGAAGACTGAGGCAGATTTTCATGGAAGGGATATAAACAGAAGGATGGAAACATAGATGTAGTACTAATACACGTAAGATTGTCTTAAACGATGGAAACAGGATATCTTTGAGAAGCTTCATTTTTGACCTTGAAAAAGTTCTACAGGATACTTATTTGAGGTATTGAAAACACCATTACTCAAGTCTGCATTTGAACTTAAAGATTACTGAATAGTCTTAACATCTACTAATATCAGAAAATTGTTATGAGTGTACTTCTGTGTTATATAGATAATTGAGATTTTAAATTCTCAAATTTAAAGTTTTTGGTATTTAGTAGGGTTACCTGGCAAATAACTTAAATATAATAATTTGTAATTCATTGCACCTACTCTTGTACATTTTTATAAGTGAGAATAATTTTAGCTGATTATGTGTGTATATATATATATATATGCATCTGCAAACACATATGTGTGTGTA
Source organism: Homo sapiens (assembly GCF_000001405.40). NCBI lineage: Eukaryota > Metazoa > Chordata > Mammalia > Primates > Hominidae > Homo > Homo sapiens. The sequence continues at coordinate 44,619,508 of NC_000002.12, forward strand.
TATATAAATAATTCATGTTTTGTAACAAAGTTCTACATTTTCTACAGTTACATGCTGGTGCTATCACTTGGCAATTGCCGACCCTCCAAAAGGCATGAAAATGAAAATATTTTACAGTATAAATTCTTTCAGGCTACTAGAGAGTACTTTTTGCTAAGCTAGACTTGAAATTTTATAGCTAGCTCCTTGGCAACCTACAGTGGTTACGTCCTTTTTGAAGAGCTTGATTTATAAACAGGGCATTCTTGGTGTATGCACTTAACATTGGATTTAGAATTCTGACCCTATGGTTTCATACCTATACAATGCTGTGGATAGCAATGATGATATGTAGGAAATAAATATTTCAACATTAGACTCATGTTTTCAAAGTGGATTCTTCTAGATGCTTTTTAAGATAGCCACATTTGGCCAGAACCCCATGTAATCATCACCCAGTCCCAGTAAGTGACAACCCATGCCCAGTCTTGCCCGCTGAAAATCCCATTCAGTACTTCTTTTATATTATTTTGAAGCAAACCCAAGATAATCATATAATTTTTTCCATAAATATTTCAGTGTCTATCTCTAAAAGATAACCACAATACCATTAACACATCTAAAAAGACTTAGCAATAATTTCTTAATATAATTAAGATAGAATTAGTATTCAGATGTCATTTATTGTTATTCAGAATTACCAGTGATTAAGATTGTGATAGATTTTTTCTAAACACACCTATTTTTCTTCCCAAATCTGTTATCCTATTGTCCTTTGATACTTTTTTTTTTTAAACTCCTTTTCGTCTTGCCCAGCCAGGACCGTACTGTTGGACATTTCAACCACACTCTTATCACTACCTTTAATTCTTTCACCCCTTGACCCTCTTTTATGCTTACTCATCCTATCATTAACCCTACATAAAGCTAAAATTGGTTTTCTCTGTGCCTGGGCTGTCAAAAGCTATTGAAGAAAAATGCATAACTGTTGATGGCACCATTACACATTTATGATTTTCAGCCTCAGGTGGCCCCTTTGTACCACCTGGTGGTCATTTTACCCATTCCCCATTGAAACAGGAACTATTTCAAATCCATACCTCTTTAATTCCTCAACTTGGCCTCTAGCCAATTTCATCAGGCATCATAGATGACTTGAACATCTATTCTGTGAGAAAGGACAATAGTTGTGAGTTATTTCACACTTCTTCCTTACTCTATATTTATTTATCTTTAATTCCTACCCTCTGTTTCAAAACAAACAGATTCTTTCTTCCAAAAAAGTTAATGTTTAATACCATGGATTCTAGTGCCAGATTGCCTGTTTAGAATTCAGGCTCCACCCCTTCTTAGCTATGTGTCATTGGGCAAGTTATTCAACTCCTTTGTGCTTCAGTTTTCTCATCTGTAAAATTATAGTTATTACAGTTCTTGTCTTTAGGATTGCTAAGAAAATAAAGTGACAATACATGTAAAATTCTTAGAACAGAGCCTGGAGCAGGCCGGGTGCGGTGGCTCACGCCTATAATCCCAGCACTTTGGGAGGCCGAGGCGGGCGGATCACGAGGTCAGGAGACAGAGACCATCCTGGCTAAAACGGTGAAACCCCGTCTCTACTAAAAATACAAAAAATTAGCTGGGCGTGGTGATGGGCGCTTGTAGTCCCAGCTATTTGGGAGGCTGAGGCAGGAGAATGGCGCCAACCCGGAGGCGGAGCTTGCAGTGAGACGAGATCGCACCACTGCACTCCAGCCTGGGCGACAGAGCGAGACTCCATCTCAAAAAAAAAAAAAAAAAAAGCATAAGAAAGCACAACCCATGTAACAGTTGTTGTTACAGTTATATTTCCAAAACTCTACTCATGTTCCTGACTCAGGGTCTTTCCAAGGCTCTACCTGTGTTCCTGATTGTGAAAAGTAAGATACAAGAAAGGGATGGGGGAGGCTGCTTTACATTGGATGGCCTGGCAGGCTTCTCTGAGGAAGCGACATTTGAACTGAGATCTAAAGGATGAGAATAGACCAGTCAAGGGGAAAGCTGGGAGAACATATTCTAGGCAGAGGAAACAAATACAAAGGAGCTGAAAGAAGGAATGTGTTTAGTATGTTTGAGGAAATGAAAGAAAACTAATTATGGCTGAAGTGTAGCAGGAAGGGTGAGAATGGTTCAAGATGAAGTTGGGGAAATAAGCTGGGTCCAGATCATATATGGCCTTGTAGGGCAGAGTAACGTGTGTGGATTATATTCTTAGTTCAGTGGAAAGCTATTGGGGGTTTTAACCAAAGGAATAGCATGATCTAATTGGTATCTTGTGAAGATTATTCTTTTTGCTCCATGGAGAATAGATTTTTAGGACAAGAGTAAAATGGGGAAAAGTTGATAAAAGACTATTGCATTATTCTAAGTTAGAGATGATAGTCATTTGGATTGTGGTGGTGGCAATAGTAATGGATTGAAATACATGAATTCAAGATGTAATTTGGAGGTAAAAGGTGATGGATTAGATGTGAGGGATGTTGAAGGAAAGATAAGAATCAAGTATAACTTCTAAATTATTGGCTTGAACAATAAGGCAGATAGTGGTTTAATTTACGTAAATCATTCTCTAGGAGAGTCAACAATCTCCAGGCACCCAAAGGTAGTGGTAAGGAATAATACAAGGTCAACTACAAAGTTACTCATTTTGGTTTCAAAAATGGCCTTGGCTTCTCGTTCCTCATAAATTGGTAAATCTTGAGGAAAACTTCCACTTATTTATGTCTGGTGTCTTTTTAGCTTTTAAAAAATCAACTCCATAGAGGTAAAATTTGCATATAATCAATGCACCCATTTTATTTTTTATTTACTTTTTCTTTTAAAAAACATTTATTTTAGATTCTGGGGAGTATATGTGCAGGTTTGTTACAAAGACATATTGCATGATGCTGAGGTTTGAAGTACACTTGAACCCATCACCCAGAAAGTGAGCATAGTACCTAATACGCAGTTTTTCAACCCCTGTCATCTTCCTTCCCTCCTTCCTCTTATATTCCCCAATGTCTGTTCCCATCTTTGAATCTGTGTGTACTTAATGTTTGGCTCCCACTTATAAGTGAGAACATGCAGTATTTGGTTGTCTGTTCCTGCATTAATTTGCTTAGGATAATGGCCTCCAGCCGCATCCTAATTGCTGCAAAGGATATGATTTATTTTTTATGGTTGCATAGTATTCCGTGGTATATATGTAACATATTTTCTTTATCCAGTCCACTGTTGATGGGCTGGTTTGATTCCATGTCTTTGCCACTGTGAATAGTGCTGTGATGAACATAGAAGTACATGTGTCTTATTGGTAGAATGATTATATTCCTTTGAGTATATATCCAGTAATGGGATTGCTGGGTCAAATGGTAGTTCAATTTTCAGTTCTTTTCAGAAATCTCCAAACTTCTGTCCATGATGGTTGAACTGATATGCATTCCCACCAACAGTGCATAAGCATTCCCTTTTCTCTGCAGCCCTCACCAACATCTGTTATTTCTTGACTTTTTAACAAAAGCTGTTCTGACCAGTGTGAGATGGTATGTCGGTGATTTGCATTTCTCTGATGATTTGTGGTGATGAGCATTTTTTCATGTGTTTATTGGCCATTTGTATGTCTTCTTTTGAGAAGTGTCTGTTCATGTCCTTTGCCTACTTCTTAATGGGATTATTTGTTTTTTGCTTGTTGAATTAAGCTCCTTATAGATTCTAGATATTAGGCCTTTGTTGGTATAGTTTACAGATATTTTTCTCCATTCCGTAGGCTGTCTGTTTACTCTGTTGATGGTGTTTCTCTTGCTGTGCAGAAGCTCTTTAGTTTACTTAGGTCCCATTTGCTGATTTTTGGTTTTGGTGCAATTGCTTTTGAGGACTTAGCCATAAATTATTTGCCAAGGCTGATACAGAGGAGGGTATTTCCTAGCTTTTCTTCTGAGATTTTTATAGGTTGAGGTCTTCTGTTTAAGTCTTTAATCCATCTTGAGTTAATTTTTTTATATGGTGATAGCTAGGGGGCCAGTTTCATTCTTCAGCATATGATTAGCCTGTTACCCCAGCACCATTTATTGAATAGGGAGTCTTTTCCTCCTTGCTTGTTTTTGTCAACTTTGTTGAAAATCAGATGGTTGTAGATGTGTGGCTTTATCTCTGTGTTCTTTATTCTGTTCCATTAGTCTTAAGTGTGCATTTTAATGAGTTTTAATGAATGTATATACCAGTGTAAACACCACTCCAATCAAGTTATTGTTTCTGCTGTATTACTCTGAAAATTCCCACATGTCCCTTTTCAGGCAATCCCCTACTCCACCACCAGGAAGCTACAGATCCATGTATTGTCACTATAGTTTAGACTGTTGTAGAATTATATATAAATGGAATTATACAGTATGTAATATTTTATGGATGCCTTTTTTCCCTCAAATCATTATTTTTTGAGATTCATTCATGTTGTTTGTTTTCTATTAGTAGTTTAGTCTTTTTGAATTTTGGAGTAGTATTCCACTGTATGAATTTACTACCACAGATTTGTTCATCCATTCCACCCAACTGTTGATAAAACAAAAATTGGCAAGTGGGACCTAAGTAAACTAAAGAGCTAAGTAAACACCATCAGCAGAGTAAGCAGCCTACAGAATGGGAGAAAAATGAATACTGTTGATAAAAAGTTGGGTTGTTTCCAGCTGGAAGCTATTGTGAATCAAGCTGTTAGGGACATTTGTGCACAAGATTTTTTGTGAATATAAATTTTCATTATTCTTGGGTAAATATCTAGGAATGGAATGGCTGGGTTTTTTTTCTTTTTTCTATTTCAAATTTTATTTGTCTTTTTTATTATTATACTTTAAGTTTTAGGGTACATGTGCACAATGTGCAGGTTTGTTACATATGTATACATGTGCCATGTTGGTGTGCTGCACCTATTAACTCGTCATTTAGCATTAGGTATATCTCCTAATGCTGTCCCTCCCCTGTGCCCCCACCCCACAACAGTCCCCAGTGTGTGATGTTCCCCTTCCTGTGTCCATGTGTTCTCATTGTTCAGTTCCTACCTATGAGTGAGAACATGCGGTGTTTGGTTTTTTGTCCTTGCAGTAGTTTGCTGAGAATGATGGTTTCCAGCTTCATCCATGTTCCTACAAAGGACATGAACTCATCATTTTATGGCTGCATGGTATTCCATGGTGTATATGTGCCACATTTTCTTAATCCAGTCTATCATTGTTGGACATTTGGGTTGGTTCCAAGTCTTTGCTATTGTGAATAGTGCCGCAATAAATATACCTGTGCATGTGTCTTTATAGCAGCATGATTTATAGTCCTTTGGGTATATACCCAATAATGGGATGGCTGGGTCAAATAGTATTTCTAGTTCTAGATCCCTGAGGAATCACCACACTGACTTCCACAATGGTTGAACTAGTTTACAGTCCCACCAACAGTGTAAAAGTGTTCCTATTTCTCCACATCCTCTCCAGCACCTGTTGTTTCCTGACTTTCTAATGATTGCCGGAATGGCTGGGTTTTATGGTATGTATGGTATATGTTTAACTTTGTAAGAAACTGCCAGACTGTTCTCTAAAGTGATTGTACCATTTTACATCCCCCAGCAGTGTATGAGAGTTTCAGTTGCTTCACATCCTTACTAACGCTTGGTATGATTAGTCTTTTTAAATTTAGCCATTCCAATGGCTATGTAATAGTATCTTATTGTGATTTCAATTTGCATTCCCCTAATGATTGCTGATGTTGAATTTTTTTCATGTGTTTATTGACCATTTGTATATATTTTTTGGGACATGTTCAAATCTTTTGTACAGTTTTTAGTTGAATTGGATACCTTTTTATTAAATTGCAATAATTCTGTATATAACCTATACAAATACATTTAATAAATACATATATTTAACAAATCAGTTGTTAAATGTAAGTATTGCAGATTTTTTCCCAGTCTTTGGCTTGCCTTTTTATTTTATTAATACTGTCTTTTTAAGAGCAGAAGATTTTAGTTTTTATAAAATCTAAGTTATCTTTTTTTTCTTTTATGGCTAGTGCATTTTGTGTTCTAAAAAGTTTTGCTCACACAAACATCATGAAGATTTTTCTCCTATGTTTTAATTTGGATATTTTAAAGCTTTAGCATTTATGTTTAGGAATGTGATATATTTGAATATTATTTTTAATACAGTGTGAGGTAAGGGTCGAGGTTCATTTTTTTTCCGTACCGATATCCAGTTGTTCTAGCATTACTTGGTGAAAAGATCATCTTTTCTCCCATTGAATTACTTTTACATATTGTTGAAAATTAATTGATGTAAATGTCCAGATCTCTTACTGGACTGTCTTTTCTATTCCCTTAATCTGTATGTCTACCATTATGCCAATACCATACTGTTTTGATTACTGTAGATTTACAAGTCCTTAAATCAGGTACTGTAAGTCATCTAATTTTGTTCTACTTTTTCCACATTGGTTTTGGATATTTTAGGTCCTTTGTATTTCATATAAATGTTAGAATCAGGTTGGCAATCTCTAAAAAATCAAAAGAAGAAGGCTGTTGTGATTTTAATTGGGATTGCATTGAATTCATAGATGAATTTAAAGAGAAGATAATTCACATCTTAATAATATTGAGTCTTTTGATCCATAATAATGATATCTCACTCCATTTATTTAGGTCTTCTTTAATTTCTGTTAGTAGTGTTTTGTAGTTTTCAGTGAACAGATCTTGTACACCCACTCCGATGTGCATAATTATTCCTATTATTTTGTTTTCTTTTTAAATGCTATTGTTAATGGTATTGTATTTTTATTTCATTTTCCAATTGTTTAGTGCTAGCATATAGAAATACAATTGATTTTTATACTGACCTTTAATGCTGTGACATTGCTAAATTCACTTATTAATTCTGATAGCTTTTTAAAGGATTTTATAGAATATTTTATGTATAACAGTGATTTAGTCCATTTGGGCTATTATGTCAAAATACCATAAACTGGGTAGCTTATAAAAAACAGAAATTTATTTCTCAGTTTTGGAAGCTGGGAAGTCCTCAAGGCACCAGCAGATTAGGTGTCTGATGAGGGCCCATTCCTTCTCGACTGTATCCTCACACGGTAGAAGGGGCTAGCTAGCTCTTTGGGGTCTTCTTTATAAGTGCACTAATTCCATTCATGAGAGCTTCACCCTCATGACTTAATCACCTCCTAAAGGCCATACCTCCTAAACTCATCATTTTGGGGGTTAGGATTTCAACATATGAATTTTGGGGGGACACAACATTCAGAACATTGCACGAGACCATGTCCTGTATGAATAAAGACAATTTTACTTCACCCTTTCTAGTCTGTATGTCTTGATTTCCTTTTCTTGCTCTAGTGCACTGGCTGGGAGATCCAGTGCAGCACTGAATAGAAGTGTTTACAGTGGATATCCTTGCCTCGTTTCTGATCTTAGGATAGGGATTTAGTGTTTCACCATTAATTAAGAAGTTAAGTATAGATTTTTTTGGTGAATGTCCTTTATGAGAGAATGTCCTTCTATTTCTAGTTTGTTGAGAAATTTTTTCATAAATGTATGTTAAATTTTGTGAAATTATTTTCCTGCCTCTTTTGAGATGATTGTATAGCTTTTCTCCTTTACTTTGTTAATGTGGTAAATTACATGATTTTCTAATGTTAATTCAACCTTACAGAATAGGGATTAGATACTGTTTTATCATAAGGTATTATCCTTTATAGATATTACTGGATTTGATTTGCTATTTTGTTTAGGATTATATGATTTTATTAAGGGTGGTGTCATCTATGTTCATACTAGTTACAGTCTTTTTAAATAAGTTTTATTATAGTTTCTTTTTGTCTGGTTTTGGTATCAGGGTATTGCTGGACTCGTAAAATACACTGGCAAATGTTCTTCCTTCTTATGTTTTCTGAAAAAATTTACAGAAAATTGCTAGTAATTCTTCCCTTAATGCTTGATAGAATTAATCAGTGAATCCATCTGAACCTGGAGTGTGTTTGGGAAAAAAAGTTTCGTTCACAGATTCAATTAAATAGACATAGGCCTCTTCAGATTTTTTACTTCTTCTTGTGTCAATTTTGACAACTTATATCTTTCAAGGAATTTGTCTATTTCATGTAATTTTCCAAACTTATTAGCATAAACTTATTTATAATGGTCCCATTTTATCCTTTTTTTTTTTTTTTTTTTTTTTTTTTTTTGAGATGGAGTCTCACTCTGTCACCTAGGCTGGAGTGCAGTGGTGCAATCTCAGACTCTGCCTCCCGGATTCAAGCGATTCTCATTCCTCAGCCTCCCGAGTAGCTGGGACTACATATGCGTGCCACCACACCTGGCTAATTTTTGTATTTTTAGTAGAGACAGAATTTCACCATGTTGGCCAGGCTGGTCTCTAACTCCTGACCTCAGGTGATCCACCCACCTTCTCGGCCTCCCAGAGTGCTGGGATTATAGGCATGAGCCACCATGCCTAGCCCCTTTTTATTCTTTTAATGTCTATAGGAACTGTAGCAATCAATGTTCCCTATTTCAGTCCCAACAGTGCAAGTAGCTGGGACTACAGACACATTCCACCGTGCATGGCTAATTTTTAAATTTTTTTGTAGAGATGGCATCTCACTATGTCACCCAGGCTAGTCTCAAACTCTTGAGCTCGAGCAGTCCTCCCACCTTGGGGTCCCAAAGTGCTGAGATTACAGGCATGAGCCACTGTGCCCATCATTAATTTGTATTTCATCTCTCTTTTTCTTCTTGAGCAGTCTAGCTTCTAGCTTAAGGTTTATCAATTTTATTAATTTCTTCAGAGAACTGGCTTTTTGTTTCATTGTTTTTCTCTATTGTTTGTCTGTTTTCTATATCTTTTCTTTCTCCTTTTATCTTTTCAGTTCCTTATTTCTAATTACTTGGGGTTTAATATAGACTTTTCTAGCTTCCAAAAGCTAATTATTTGGGGCTTAACGTAAATTTTTCTAGCTTCTGAAAGTGAAAGCTTAGGTCATTGATTTCAAACCTTTTTTTCTAAGTTTTTTTTTTTTTTAGATACAAGGTCTCACTATGTTGTCCAGGCTGGTCTTGAGCTCCTAGGTTCAAGTGATCCACCTGCCTCAGTCAAATCTTTTTTCTTATGTAAGCATTCAAAGCTGCAAATTGACCCTGTAAGCCCTACTCTTCCAACAAATTTTGATATGCTATATTTTAATTTGGTTCAACATATTTTTAATGTTTCTTATGATTTATTCTTTGACCTATACATTTTTTAAACAGTATATTGTTTAATTGCCAAATATTTGAGAGTTTTCAAGACATCTTTTTTGTTATTGATTTTCAACTTAATTTTAGTTTGGTCAGAGAATAGAGTCTGGATAATTTCAATCTTTAAGTTATTGAAGAATTGTTATATAGCCCATCAAATGGTTTATCTGGGTAAATGTTTCATGTACACTTGAAAAAACATATATTCTGCCCTTGTTTGAGGTCCTGTTTTGTAAATATCAGTTAAAACAAGTTGGTTAATAGTGTTATTGTCATATTCTACATCCTTACTCATTTTATGTCTACTTGCTCTGCCAATTACTGAGAGAAGAGTAGTGAAATCTCCTATATAATATATACGTATGTGTCTATATTTCTGTTTATTTCTATCAGCTTCTGCTTCATGTATTTTGAAGCTCATATTTGTTGCGTACATATTTATGATTGTTATGTTGTCTTTTTGATGATTTGACTCCTACGTCTTTATGAAATGTCTTTCTTTATCCTCAGTAATATTTGTTCTTTGAAGTCCGCTGTGTCTGATATCAATACAGCTACACTAACCTCATGATTAGTGTGCACATGGCATATCTCTTACTGTTCATTTATGTTTTACCTACCTATCTCACTGTGTATGCATTTCTTTCTTTCTTTCTTTTTTTTTTTTTTTTTTTTGAGACAGGGTCTCACTCTGTCACCCAGATTGTAGTGCAGTGGCCTAATCTTGGCTCACTGCAATCTCCACCTCCACAATGGCTCAAGCAATCCTCCCACCTTGACCTCCCAGGTAGCGGGGACTACAGGTGCACACCACCATGCCTGGCTAATTAACAGAGAGCCAAATCATGAGTGAACTCCCATTCACAATTGCTTCAAAGAGAATAAAATACCTAGGAATCCACCTTACAATGGACATGAAGGACCTCTTCAAGGAGAACTACAAACCACTGCTCAATGAAATAAAAGAGGACACAAACAAATGGAAGAACATTCTATGCTCACGGGTAGGAAGAATCAATATCGTGAAAATGGCCATACTGCCCAAGGTAATTTATAGATTCAATGCCATCCCCATCAAGCTACCAATGACTTTCTTCACAGAATTGGAAAAAACTACTTTAAAGTTCATATGGAACCAAAAAAGAGCCCACATTGCCAAGTCAATCCTAAGCCAAAAGAACAAAGCCAGAGGCATCACACTACCTGACTTCAAACTATACTACAAGGCTACAGTAACCAAAACAGCATGGTACTGGTACCAAAACAGAGATATAGATCAATGGAACAGAACAGAGCCCTCAGAAATAACACCACATATCTACAACTATCTGATCTTTGACAAACCTGAGAAAAATAAGCAATGCGGAAAGGATTCCCTATTTAATAAATGGTGCTGGGAAAACTGGCTAGCCATATGTAGAAAGCTGAAACTGGATCCCTTCCTTACACCTTATACAAAAATTAATTCAAGATGGATTAAAGACTTAAACGTTAGACCTAAAACCATAAAAACCCTAGAAGAAAACCTAGGCATTACCATTCAGGACACAGGCACGGGGAAGGACTTCATGTCTAAAACACCAAAAGCAATGGCAACAAAAGCCAAAATTGACAAATGGGATCTCATTAAACTAAAGAGCTTCTGCACAGCAAAAGAAACTACCATCAGAGTGAACAGGCAACCCACAAAATGGGAGAAAATTTTCGCAACCTACTCATCTGACAAAGGGCTAATATCCAGAATCTACAATGAACTCAAACAAATTTACAAGGAAAAAACAAACAACCCCATCAAAAAGTGGGCGAAGGACATGAACAGACACTTCTCAAAAGAAGACATTTATGCAGCCAAAAAACACATGAAAAAATGCTCACCATCACTGGCTATCAGAGAAATGCAAATCAAAACCACAATGAGATATCATCTCACACCAGTTAGAATGGCAATCATTAAAAAGTCAGGAAACAACAGGTGCTGGAGAGGATGTGGAGAAATAGGAACACTTTTACACTGTTGGTGGGACTGTAAACTAGTTCAACCATTTGGGAAGTCAGTGTGGCGATTCCTCAGGGATCTAGAACTAGAAATACTATTTGACCCAGCCATCCCATTACTGGGTATATACCCAAAGGACTATAAATCATGCTGCTATAAAGACACATGCACACGTATGTTTATTGCGGCACTATTCACAATAGCAAAGACTTGGAACCAACCCAAATGTCCAACAATGATAGACTGGATTAAGAAAATGTGGCATGTATACACCATGGAATACTATGCAGCCATAAAAAATGATGAGTTCATGTCCTTTGTAGGAACATGGATAAAGTTGGAAATCATCATTCTCAGTAAACTATCGCAAGAACAAAAAACCAAACACCATATATTCTCACTCATAGGTGGGAACTGAACAGTGAGACCACATGGACACAGGAAGGGGAACATCACACTCTGGGGACTGTTGTTGGGTGGGGGTAAGGGGGAGGGATAGCATTGAGAGATATACCTAATGCTAGATGACGAGTTAGTGGGTGCAGCGCACCAGCAAGTCACATGTATACATATGTAACTAACCTGCACGTTGTGCACATGTACCCTAAAACTTAAAGTATAATAATAATAATAGTAATAATAATAAAAAAGAAAGGAAATACAAATCAAAGAGTTTAAATAAGAAAAAAAAACAATTTTTTATTTTTTTTGTACAGATGATGTCTCACTTTATTGCCCATGTTGGTCTTGATCTCCTGGACTCAAGCAATCCTTCTGCCTCAGCCTCCCAAAGTGTGATTAGTAGCATGAGCCACTGCTCCCAGCTGTGTATGCATTTCTTGCGGACAGTTGTATAGTTGGGTCTTGGATTTTGAGCCCATCTGACAAGTTTTTCTTTTTAATTGTACTGTTTAATTGAACTGAATTTAATTATTGATATGGTTATGTTTAAGTTTACTATCTTGCTATTTGTTTTCTGTTTGTCTTTTTTGTTCATTATTCTTTTTACCTCTTTCCTGTCTTCTTTTGTATTATTTTTTATTATTTCAGTTTTCTCTACTCTTGGTTTAGTGGCTATACCTCTTTGTTTAGAATTTAGGTGTTCCCTAAGGTTTAAACTATATAACTTTAATTTATATTCACCTTCACATAATATTATACTATTTCACATATAATGTTAGAAGCTTTAAGAATATACTTCCACTTCCCCACCCTCTCCTTTATGCTGTTATCGTACATTTTACTTCTACAGATGTCATAAACCTCACAATACACTGGCATTATTTTTTCTTTAAATGGTTAATTTTCCTTGAAAGCAACTTAAAAAAAGAAAAATGTTTGTATTTACCCATGTACTTACCATTTTCAGCACTCTTCACTGATTTTTATATATACCTGAGTTTCTATGTAGTATTAATACCATTTTCCTTTCACTTGAAGACCTTCTTTAATTATTTCTCACTGTGCAAGTCTGCTAGTAATATCATCTTTTGTTTGTCAGGAAAATTTTTATTTTTTCCTTTATCATTGTAGTAACTTTTCAATGAACATAGAATACTGAGTTGATGTCATTTTTTAAACACTTTTCTCTGGATAAATTATTTTTTATTTTTTGAGGCGTTAGTTTATTTTTCAAAATAAATTTCATCGTATGTATTTGAGGTTTACAACATGATGTTATAGATACACATAGATAGTAAAGTTGTGACAACAGTGAAACAGATTAACATGTCTATAATTTCACATAGTCACTTTTTTTGTGTGACAAGAGCAACTAAAATCCTACATATCTAACAAAAATCCCTAATACAGTACAGTGATGGTTAATACGGAGTATCAACTTGGTTGGATTGAAAGATGCAAAGTATTGATCCTGGGTGCATCTGTAAGGGTGTTGCCAAAGGAGATTACCATTTGAGTCAGTGGGCTGGGAAAGGCAGACTCCCTTTAATCTGGGCCGGCACCATCTAATCAGCTCCCAGTGTGGCTAGAATATAAGGCAGGCAGAAAAACATACAAAGACTAGACTGGCCTAGCCTCCCAGCCTACATCTTTCTCCTATGCTGAATGCTTCCTGCCCTCGAACATCAGACTCCAAGTTCTTTAGTTTTGGGTCTCAGGCTGGCTCTCCTTGCTCCTCATCTTGCAGATGGCCTATTGTGGAACCTTGTGATCATGTGAGTTAATACTTAATAAACTCCCCTTTCTATATATATATCTATCCTATTAGTTCTTTCCCTCTAGAGAACCCTGACTAACACAAGTACAATTTTATTAACTGCGTAAAGAATTTACTTTGATTTTTTTCTTTAATACTTGAAAATTTTCATTCCATTGTCCCCTGGCTTCTATTATTTCTGACGAGAAGTCAAAAGTACACCCATTTTTGTTATTTTGAATGTACTGTCTTTGGGGAGTGGTGATTATAAAAAAGAGAACTTTATCACTGGTTTTTAGTAATTTGATTATGATGTGCCTTAATGTTATTTTCTTTGTGTTTACTCTGCTTTGGGTTTGCTGGCCTTATGTATCTTTGGTTTTATGATTTTCATCAAGTTTTGGGCTTATTCCTTTGAATATATTTCTGTGCCATTTCTTTCCCCATTCCTGTGGGGCATCAATTATGTATATGTTAGGCAGATGTTATTCAATATGTCACTGAGGCTCTGTTGTTTTTCGTTTTTTACCCCTTTCTCTTTCTCTTTCAGTTTGGTTAGTTTCTATCACTCTTACCAATGTTTACATCTGCACTGACTAATCTGATGTTAAGCCTATCCGACAAAATTTTAATTTCAGGTATTATATATTTTTTACTCTAAGAGTTCATTTGTTTTCTTTCTTTTTGGTTTCTATTTCTCTTTTCATTATGTTTCTATTTTCCTTTAATCTTTGAATATGTTTGTATTATCCTTTTATATACTTGTTGTTTTGCTAAATCCATCATCTTTGTCACTTCTGAGTCCACTTCTATGGTTAAATTTTCTTGAGTTTCTTTTATCATACTTTTTTTCTTCTTTAAACATCTAGTAAGTTTTTGAGGATGCAGGATACTGTGAACATTACATTGTTGAGGGTCTGAATTTATTTTTTGTTTTGGTAGTCAGTTAAGCTACTTGTGGATCAGTTTGATTCTTTCAACACTTATTTTTGGTTTTGGTTTTTGGGGTTTTTTTAAGCTTTTGGAGGACATGTCTAGTGTGACCTTTACTTTATGCTAGTTTAACCCTACTATTAAAGCCTTACCTTTTGGTGTTTTCACTGAATGCCTCTGTTATTTAATAATATCTCTCTACTATGGCTAGAAGTAACTGGAACATCTTACAGACTATTGTTTTTTTGCCTAGCCTGATGGAGTCTCACACTGCAACACACAGCTTAGTGCTCAGGCAAAGATTCAAGGAAGACTCTGCATCGGTTTCTGAAACTCTACTTATGCATAGCTCCCTCTTCTCTGGTATTGTGCCCTGAAAATTCCAGCCACCTCAGCCTCCCCTAATTTCATCTCTACCTCCTCAACTTAATGAGTCATCCACTTTCTGCTTGTAGTGATCTTAAGTCTCACTTCACTTGTTTCCCTTTTCTCAGAGATCGCAGTCCTTTGCTGCCTGTTGTCCAATAGCTGAAAACAATGGTTCGATATATTTTGTCCAGTTTTCCAATTGTTTATAATTGGAGGTCAACTCTAGTACCAGCTTTCAGTCATCACTAGAAGCAGAAGCATTTTAATGCCTTTTAAATATAATAGTATATTGTTTAGAAATTTACTTATACATCATACCACAGTGATTTATTGAGTACCTACGATGTGCTAGGTACCATGCCAGGATTTGGGGATACAAAGGAATAACTCTTTCTATCTTCAAGGAAGCTCACAGTCTGTTAGAGAGGACAAACATGTAATATAAATAGTTAGAAAGGTGTTTGGGAGCTCAAATGAGGTCATAAGTAACTATATGGTGTGGGGTAGAAGTATTTATGAAGCAACTAGTCTGGTTTTATAGGTATTCTCCAGGTTGAGGGCTAGCCAAAAAAAAAAAAGCATTCTAGTCAGACAGAGCAATAAATGGAAAGGTAGAGAGTTATAAAATAGCACAGTGTGTTTATAAAGCTAGTTTCATTAATTAATCATTCATTTAATAAATGTGTCTGTAGGGCTGGGTGCAGTGGCTCATGCCTGTAATCGCAGTGCTTTGGGAGGCCAAGGTGGAGGATCGCTTGAGCCTGGGAGTTTGAGGTTACAATGAACTATACTTGCACCATTGCATTCCAGTTTGGATGACAGAGTGGGACACTGTTTCAAAAACAATAAATAAAAGAAGAAATATTAGATGCTATGCAAGGTGTTAAGTGTTGAGCATCCAAAGGGTGAGTATGATGTTCATGACTTCTGCCTTCATAGAGCATACAGTCTACTGTTTAGTGTGAATGGAGCATAAGGTGTCTAGATAAGGATAGTATTTATGGACAAGGTAGCAGGAATGGCCAATAGAAGGCAGATTGTAAGCTACCTTAATTGGTACCCTAAGGGGCTAGTTATTGTTATGAAAGCTACTGGCCTCCAAAGTTTTCTGACTATATATCCAGCCTATAAAAATTTCACATATTTACCCCAACATATGTATACATTTATTAATAAACTCTATAATGTATATTATTGTACTGATATATACACTGTAAAATACACCAAAAAATATAAATGAGATAATTTAAATATAAATAGACAAGCTAGTATTCTCTTCCTGCATTCCATGCTCCATCTTGCATATCTTGGGTTCACGCACCTTACTTTGTAAACTAGCAGGAAATGGGAAGCATTCAAGCCTCTTTTGCAGCAAAAAGATTTGATCAGAATTCTGATTCATAAAGATTCTGAATATGACTTTTATTTTAGTTGTGCTGAATAATGTTTTTAAAAGCATAGGAGAAGCTGGGCTCATATGATTCCTTCCAGTTCCAGGGTTTTGTAGCTGGGGGTGCTCCTTAGAAGAGGTTAGCAATCTAACCTAGTGTTGTTGATTAGTTGTGTTATTAAGATACAATACACAAGACTAACGAAGTGACTTAAAATAGACTATCCAATATGGAGTTGGTATTCCCTGCAGTGAAACTGACTTTGTTACTTGCAAGTCACCACTTTATAAATAAATGAGTCACAGCAAACAATCCAACTGGTTTCCTATATAGATATTTCAGTGGGCTACGTGTCAGTTTTCATACATAGGCCATGCTTTTTTATATTAGAAAAACACAAAACCAAAGAAGTTGATTTGTATAAGGCAGTGCTTCTTAAATGGAAGTAATAAATCTGACAGGAATATTTTTTTCCTAAATAAACTTTGGCAAATTACTTTTTGATTCATCCATATTATACCTGGAAGTGGAGAAATAAAGGTGGGGCACACTATCCAAAAAGCTGGACTAAGGGAGCAGAACTGGGCAGTTTTAGAGGTCCCAGAAATCAGTGGTACAGGATAGCAGAGACATAAGGCAGATGAGATGCCAGGTTGTTTAGAAGGCTAGTAACTGGGAAGACAGAATTAGGATGAGTTATTCCAAATCAGGAAGACACAATTACCAGAGTTAGGACCCAGATGTGCAAGAGTTTGGAGAATGCATGTAAAGAACCAGTCCCGAGGAAAACCTCAATGACTGAAGAGGCGGCTTGCTTCAGCTCAGCAGGTCTCTGTGCAAACACTAAGGCGGTTACCAGTGTAACTTAGGTGCAGCTGAGAACCTGACTGGAATGGGACACAAAAAGGCTGAAAGAAAGATGGTTTGCAAGAAGTCAGTGTGCCCCAAATTCATCTTCCTAATGAAACATTTATATTACTTATTTCTGAACTTCCAACGGTTCTTTTATGGTTTTAAAAATATTCTCTCATAGAATAAAGGGAAGTGTTCTTCCTAAATTATATGAGAATGTATTAGCTGTGTCTTTATGTATACATTTCCTATGCAGTTTAAGAGCAACAATACATAAACTCATTTTACCAATTGGAAAACTATGACAAGAAAACTTAGGTAGGAGACGGTTCGGTTTGTTTTTGTCGGTTTCCCCCCAACTTTGATTTTGTTCCCTGTCTAAATACTGTAATTGCTTTGTAGCAAATGCACCTTTCTCTTGCCCCACTTTACCTCACCTCTCTCAAACAACTGAGGTAACATCACATCACAAGCCAAGAACATTCTCATTCTGAGTTCACTTGGCAGTAGATAGAACAGTACTCCAACTTGACAAGCATTATAGCAGGTAAGAGGGGAAAAAAAATGGGTTACTGATTTGACATACTGCTGTTGAAAACTGTCCTAAGGCTAGTGGGTGTTCGCTAAAACCAAAATGGGCCATGGCTAGAGGCACCTGTAGAATAGTTAATGACAGTCATTTAGCTTTCATTCATTTTTCAGTTCAAATTATTTTAGAATACTTTGTTAGTTCAGAACATGTTTGCTTAAGTCATTTCAGTAGTAATGCTTTTCTACAGGAGGCAATTAGGTATTCTTCATTTTACAGCTCTTGAATAATAGCTAAGAAAACTGCAATTGCACAAGCAAAGTGCAGATAAACACCAGATTATCATATTAAAGTTCTTATTAGTCTGTCAGAAGAATTTTTTGCACTGAATGCTTTTTAGTTTTTTTATTATCCATTTTTTAAAGTCAGACTTTTCCCCAATGTTAGTTTAGTTTTAAATAAATTAATCAGTCTACATTTTTACTAGGAAACTAATCTTTACTTCACGTCCCTGCCACCATTAACTTCAGCCTAAAATAGCAAATTTCCCTTCAAAATTTTAAAAATATGTATAATTTTAATTTTTTTTTTCTGGGCTACCCAATGGCTTCTCTACTACAAGCTGTATTAGAAAAGGTGAACCTCTCCCTATGTCAGGTGTGATTGCTTTGTTAAGAAGCCTATTAGTAATCCTAAACCCAGTATGACAGTGGTCTTTTAAAATAATAGTAAGTTTCCCATGTGTTTGCAGAGTTTCCTAGGTATTTGAAAAGCCACCAGCCAGGCACGGTGGCTCACGCCTGTAATCCCAACACTTTGGGAGGTTGAGGCGGGCAGATCACAAGGTCAAATGATTGAGACCATCCTGGCCAACATGGTGAAACCCCATCTCCACTACAAATACAAAAATTAGCTGGGCATGGTGGCACGTGCCTGTAGTCCCGGCTACTTGGGAGGCTGAGGCAGGAGAATCGCTTGAACTCGGGAGGCAGAGGTTGCAGTGAGCCGAGATCATGCCAGCCTGGGCGACCGAGCGAGACTCCATCTCAAACCAAAAAAAAAAAAAGAGAAAAAGAAAAAGAAAAAAGAAAAGCCACCAAATTAAAGTGTTCTTAAATTTACATGAATATTTATGTTTTGCCTATGAAACTATATATACTTTCTTTTCAACTATGGTTTCATCTTCTGGAAGGGAGAAACTGTATCTTTGGCAACTATTTCTCTTGTTTCTTTCAACATTCAGGGGAGTGTTAAGAAAGTTAGACTATCAGTTAATATTTCTCAGTTTCTATTTGAAATAGGGTGTTTTTTTCCCAAGATCTGAAGAGAATACACAGAGATTCCCCCTCGTAAAATCTAAAAGCAACCTTCCCTTTACTGCAGGCATTATTGCAGGTTAAAAACAAAAGGAAAGAAACTGAAGTTACCTTAGAGTGTCATAAAAAATTACCAAGAAGTCTAAAATCCTGCCATCTGCTTTACGTGAAAACTCTTCTAGTGAGAACCCAAGGCAAAAACTGTGTGTTTCTTCTGTAATACTTCCTCAGAGTATCTATTGTCTTTCAAATGGGGCCAAGGCTTCTCAAGGGAAAGGAAATACTCTAAAATAAAATTGTAGGGTGCAACATAATTTGTGATTTGTTTTCTTTTATGAGTAAAATTACATGGTATTTTGGCCACCTGTTTATAACTGTGTAGGTCCTCCCATGAGGAATATTGTTGGGTCCAGAAGAAAAATAGACAAGTAGGAGGCATGCACCGTTCTTTCAGATACCATCTGATTAATTGCCTCTGACATTCCCTGACCTTTGTCTGCTCCAGCACGTGTTGTCAGTGACAGAGGCCTTGGACTGCCAGTTTTGCTATCTTTGCTGGCAGAGGGGCAGAACCGACACTTTTGTAGCCACTGGCAAGACTAAGCCTTCAAGTGGGGAAAAAGATTATTTCTGGGTTGTCTGAACTGCCAAGTTAGCTCCCCAAATGGTTTGTGCCACAGCAGGTTTGATCTTTTCATTGCATCCTGAGTTACATCGATTTCCTTTGGCTTTTTGACATGGAGAAAACAAGACATAAGAAAATGAACCAAGACCAGTTCTTTAGTATTTAAGAACTATTCCAGTCAAAACGAAATAGTCTGGGTATATTGACAAAGCTAGCTTGGAATATTAACAAAGTTAATTCAGGTCAGGATATCTGACAGAAATAACTAGTCAGTGGGCAAGGAATTAATTTATTGTGTTCATCTGAACTTCCAATGAGCTTATATCAAGGTAATGAATATGACCAGATTATGGTTTGCCTGTTGCACAAACAGCAAATGCCATCTTTCAGATTTCCTGGGGGGTTATATTCAGTTCTTATGGACAGCTTAGCATAGCAGTTAAGAGCACAGATGCTGGAGTCAGACTGCATGGGATTCAATCGCAACTCTGCCACTTTCTAGTAAATTTGGGCAAATTAATCTATGCGCTTCAGTTTCCTTATCTTTAAAATGGGGATAATTATGGTACCTACTTCATAAGGTTGTAATGAGTTATAATCAGTGACTTGCTAGGTATGAAAGCACTTTAGCTTAGTGCCTGATATTGGGAAAGCACTATACAAGTGTAGCAGTAGCAGTGGGTGGTTTATATATGACATACATGTCATTGGAACAACTTTCAGCACCAGCTCCTATCTTTTGTGGTTGGATGCTGGATATTTTGAGGACATTTGGGGAGTATGTCAAGGCTGGTTTCTTTTATTCTGTTCAACCTATTTTTCAGGGTGCCTTATTTAATAAAAGTTGATTTGTTGCTTTGGAAATACAAGCTAATTTTATGAATTATATAAGGACATCAGGGTAACTTAAAAGCACATAATGCATTTGTAAATATTTGGGATTGGTTTATGTTTTGGATTGTCAGAACAGCTACCCTTGACCCCATCTTGGTTGACCCAGTGAATGCATGTGAATTTATAGCAGTCTTGGGTTTTTGCCTGGCAGGAAGCATCTATCAAGTACCCAGCAAATACCCATTTCCCTCCTGCTTGAAAACTGAGCTTTTCTTGTGGAACACTTATCCTTGCACTTAATATCTGGTTTCTGAATATTCACATTAAACAACAGATAATTTGAGTTATTTTACTATTGATGTGTCATCAAATAGGAAGATGACTATCAATAATATGACTTTTGGTAAAATGGAATAGAAGGAGTACTTTAAATAGAGGCATCATTAGAAAAATGAACACTGGTTCTTAATACTTAAAAAACACTGGTTTTAACAATACAATACAAAGAAATATCACCTATGATTTTGTTCCCCTTTTATGTAGAGTTTTATTTTGAAAGGTCGCATTTTGAGTATTTGAGAGACTGAGCTCCTCTGCCTGGATAATCTCCAGGTGCAAAACATAGGAATGTCTGTGAATACACACTGGGTTGCACATAATTTAACCGCATGGGCTTTGGAATTATGCTGCCTGTCCTCATATCCTGGCTTTGCCACTCTCTGGCTGTATGGTTTGTCCAAGTTACCTAACCTCTGTAGTCCTCAGTTTCCTCATACATAACAGTGTTGTGAGAATGAAATGAATTAACAATATAAATGAAGCACACCACACACTGCCCAATTGGTAGTAAAAATTAGTTGCTGCTACTGCTACTTACTATTACTATTATTGGTGCTTTGCTATTATTAGTACTACTAATAATAATGTCGTTATTCAACCAAGTTTCTTTCCCTAACAAACAAAATCACCAAAAAGTACTGTGTGGAGAGCATGCCCTCTGTAATGTTGCTATTGAAAAGATTAGAGATATTCTCAAGCTTCTTTAATATCTCAATGTTAATCCACCAGCCATGAATTTTCCCAAAGCCTTTTCGAACATCTAAGCATGTCCAGCTAGTGCTGCCTCTTGAAATCATGAGTTCCATGATCTTCCTGGGCTATATAGAAACTGACATAGAGTGACCAAGGCCACTTGGTTCCAGCGTCATGAAGTGGTGCCTCCCTCCTTTTTATGTTACAGACTTGGTGAACATATCACTTTTGATCTCTTTCAAACACACAGAGTGATTTTTTATAAATCCCTGTTGCCCCCCTTTTATCTCACACATTATCTTCTAAGCCTAAAGAATCTTTCAAGTAATGGTATAGATATATAAATATCTTCTTAAATGGCAGCTTTTCCCCCAGTAAAATGACATTCAAGAGTAAGGCAGTGGTTGTTTCTCTATCATGATTTCTAATTTTTCTAGATTCTAGCATAGATGACCTACGGTTGCCTATTCTTTTTCTAATGTACATCTTTTTAAGCTCCTTTCAAAGAATTATAGAGAAAGACGGTCTTATGCACCCATTTAGTCTGCCCCTGACTTGGGCAAACATCCCTTCTATGTATTAGGAACAGCAGTTTTCCCAGCTGAGGTGATAACAGTCCTAGTCTTGCAAAAACCCAACCCCAGACCTAAGGCAGTAGACTCAAACACATGCATGTGACAATCATTTTTTGTTGCTGTTATAGAGCCAAGTTCCATTGTTCAGAATTTTTATGATATTTTATATATATATATATATAATTTTGAGACAGGGTCTCACTCTGTCACCCAGGCTGGAGTGCAGTGGTATAAACTTGGCTCACTGTAACCTCCATCTCTTGGCCTCAAGCAATCCTCCCACCTCAGCCTTCTGAGTAGCTGGGACTACAGGTGCATGTCACCAAACCAAAATAACTTTTGTATTTTTTGTAGAGATGGAGTTTTGCCTTGTTGCCCAGGCTGGTCTTGAACTCCAAGGCTCAAGTGATCTGCCCGGCTTAGCCTCCCAAAGTGCTGGGATTATAGGCGTGAGCCACCACACCCAGCTCTGATGTATTTTTATCTGATCCTCAACATGAACCAGGACTTTAGAAGAGAAATGCCATCCTTGCGCCAATATTAACTATCACATTTCCCAGCATCTACTGAGCTGTCTTCACCCATCTTGCCACCTGACATCCTGAAATTTGGGTGAAAGTCTTCTCTGGCTTACTATTCTGAAAGGCTTGTATTGTTTCCAGACCTCTTACCTTATTTGTTTGTATTTTATCATACAGACATAGTAAAATGGTAATGAATATGCTATTTTATATTTTTTCTGCCTCCTATATAAAAATAATTAGTGGAAACTATTTGTAAAGGAAGATACATTTACCTTTGTTGGCTAAAAGTTATCTTGATTGCCAGTCTGAATAGTGCCATGGATGGTATAGGCAGGCCTGGGGCATAGATGGGAACAAACCTAAAAGATAAGCAAAGAATGGGTGGAGAGAAGATAAGGGTGCAGAGAAAACAGAGGCTCATCTGGTAGAAAGAAATAAAGTGCCCTCTGAAAGTGTCTCAAGTGCTTCCTAGTGGCACTGGTGCCATAAGGCAGCTGTGTTGAGTCTAAGCCAAGTATCTTCCTGATCTCCACTGCTTCCTGCGGCTGAACGGGGCACAGGTCTTTCATACACATTTATTGTAATTTAGGGAGTGAACATGGTCCAGGTATTTGAAAAGAAGACTGGTTGTCAGGAAGCATTCCTTCTGCTTCTCTGCATTGTGTGTCTGTGATTATGTGTGTGACTTTATGAGAAGTATCTGACCTTCTCTCTACACAATTCCTCCTGCTTGTGAGATAAGGTGTGCCCTGGCTGGGGTGTTGGCAAGCCTGGTGAACATGTCTAAACTACTCTGGGGGAGAGAATTGTGAGAGTGGGGAGGGGGTGCCCTTGGGTCCAGCCTTCCCAGAGCATAAAAAGAAGTGACACCCTGGGACCCAGCCACTCTGAGGCTCAGGGAGGGCTTGGTAAATGACTTCATCCACGGTATGAAATGGTTAATTTTTCTTTGTCTGAATAAAGATAGAACATACAATTACCCATGGATGATTCTCAGGTAAAGGCTCATATTGAGTGTCCGCTGTGTTTATGGCATGGTTGTAAGCCTAATGGATAATTAAGAACACCTAATCCTCACTCTAAAGGCAAAGACAGTAAAATAGGGGAGGGGTAGGCAGACTGACAGGAAACACATACATAGAACCCTATAAATCAGTATTATTTTATCAGTCAGTGACATGTCTCTTTAGCATTCATTATACTTTTTAAAAAACTCCCAATTAAATTATTGTCTATGAGTATATTGAAAGCTCTTCTATTTTATTTGTAAAAGTTTGGCTACTTAATATTCCTTCAGAAACATTAATGAAAATAAGATTTTCCAATTAGTCAAGTAAATTCAGGAGCACTGTGTAAGGCATGGAGAGGGTAAGAGTTGAGGGAACTCAAATTAATTTATTGAAACATTAAAGAAACTGTATGGAACTACTAACAAATAACATGAAAAGATACATAATTCTTTGCAAGTATAATGAATGGACTATATTGAAGTTATCCAAATGAATGGAATATTGTGATAGGTTGGAAAAGTGAGAGAGGTCTAGATGGAGGAAAAAGAGCTTGAACAGTTCTTAAAAGACAGGTAGGAGCTAGATCGGTAAAGATGAGATGAGTTTTCTAGCTAAAGGAAATAACTAACCTATAAAATTGTTTTTAAAATTTTAATAGTAAAAGCCATACTCATTCTTACTTATTACTTGCTGGGAAAGAATAAAATATTTCCAAAGGAATTTGGGTGTTTGAAAAAATTGTAGAAATATTCTGTATTTTTCTCAGAAAAAAATTAAATATTGTATTTAAAAGTGACCATTAGCCTTTCTGGTGTGACTCAGAAATGTTTCTGTATTTAAATATCATTGCAACTTTAGTTATATCTTTTCCCTGTGAGCCTGGAAAGACAAGATGCTGGTATCATACCTGAGATCAATTAACATTTTTATAGTGTGTCGATATGATTGATATTAATACATTATAATAAAACAGACTAATTAGAGTTAGCGACAAACTGTTGAGATGGTGGTATTGATGAAATATCTCTGTCCATTGCAGGAGAGTTGCAGCAATCCACTCATATAGTGATTACACCTTGTGACAAAAGACAGTATCTTCATATTTCTTCATTTTAAGTCAAAGCGTAAATGTAGGCAGAGATGTTTTTAACTAACATGACTATGATCATCTATGTGCCATTATCTAATTGCTCACAGAAATCAAATTGTACAAGTGCCGAGGAATCTGAATCCAGTCTTGAGCTGTCAGTGGAGAATGTCAGTCATTTCAGTAAATTGCCCCCTTAGGGTCATCCTGTATAATTCTTTAATTTTAGGCCCAAAAAACTATGAAAGGAATTTTGTGTAAAATGTACCAAAAGAACTGTCCCATTTAAAACATTTTATGCCATGCTTGGAAATGAAAATGGACCCTTCAAGAAGTAAGTCTATAAGTTGTTTTATCAACTTATAGATGTTACTCAGATGGAATGGTAACAACTTGGCTTGTGTGTTCTCTAAAAAATTATCACGTTTTCAAGTTATGCATTTAACCTGTATTGACATATGGAAGTTTTGATGTAGTTTCCTTTCTCAATCAACTCCAAAGAGTCAAAAGTGATTATCAAAGCTGAAAAGGCTTTTGTATTTTCTTCAAATGTTAAAGCCATGTATGTGAACAACAAGGCTGATGAATTTGCTGTTTTATTTCGTTGACATCTTAATTCAAAATGTAAACTGAAGTTTCTTTTCATTTCTTTGCACTGTTAATATTATTCTGTTTTTGGTTAGGTTGGGTAAAAACTGTTCACTGGTGTCATTTTTTATAATTAGACTTTTATAGCTTGGGGTTTTTGGTAAGCAAATAAATATTTTAAATGTAATTGGTGCAATTACTGTATGTGCACTGAACAACTTTATATTGAGCTTCATGTCATGTCACATTTTTATGCTAGTGGTTTCTTATGATTTTTTTAATTGTATGTGGTATTCTTCTGAAATATATAATTACCAACTCACCCTGAGTTGGAGAAGCAAGAGTTCTGTCGTTCTCTCAAACAGACTTGTATTGAAAGATATAAAAAAGCTTGCTTTATTCTAACATTATTTCCCCATCGATAAAAGTGGTTCATGTCTATGTTATTTTTACATCTTGTACAATCCCAGCATCACATTGTTCTAGTAGGAGTACAAACAGATAACCCAAGCTTAGTCCAGATTTGATTTGGGAGAAACTAGAAGGCTGGGAAAGGTAGATGGAAGGTTGTGATGAGTAGGAGGCCAGGGGTAAAAGCAGAAGGAAACAAGAATAATGTAACCATTAGCTAAACATGAAATTTTACCCCTGCTCCTGCCTTCGTGGCATCACATAACATGGAGAGTTTTAAGATGGCATATTTGTTCTAGCTTCATCTTTTCTCAGAATGCCAACCAGCAGCACATTCAGGCCACATACAAACCACAGCGGAGAGGCTAGGGCAAGGATTAGTGTGAGGGTGAGCCCAAGGAGAAGGGGAAAGTAGTAGCACAGCCCTGGGCTCTAGGAAGTTTTGGAGAGGTTTTAGAATGGCAGGATGAAAAGTAGTATCAAACAAAACCAAAAGGTCCTTATTAAAATCAATTAGCAAAAAGAATCTAGACCGGGCACAATGGCTCACACCTATAATCCCAGCACTTTGGGAGGCCGAGGCAGGCAGATCACTTGAGGTCAGGAGTTCAAAACCAGCCTGGCCAACATGGTGAAACCCCGTCTCTACTAAAAATACAAAAATTAGCCAGTCATGGTGGCAGGTGCCTGTAATCCAAGCTACTCAGGAGGCTGAGGCAGGAGAATCGCTTAAACCTGGGAGGCGGAGGCTGCAGTGAGCTGAGATTATGCCACTGCGCTCCAGCCTGGGCAACAGAGCAAGACTCCATCTCAAAAGGAATCTAAGAGGAGTCAAAATCTAAGTCTAAGATAATCATTCCCAAATACTCTCTTCCAAAGGGTAGGAAGACTGACAGTGTCCTACTGAAGGGCCAGAAAAAGAAATTATCTTTGCTCAGTGTTGAACTATTCTGTTATAAAGCATTGTAAACATTATAGCAACACTTATGACCATTATAACCCTACATGTGTTCCCATTGCATGTTTAATAATTTCTCTACTTTAAAAAAATTGAGAACTAGATCGAGAAGACAACTGATTGTAGAACAGTCAGAGAGCTTCGTGCTGGTGAACATTAATAGAGCTATAATAGTCTGCCAAAATTATGATGAAATCACTGGAGGCATCAAGGCAAAAAAACAAATCAAGGGGAAGCTATTAACAGTTTAGCATTTCTAGTTTGTGTGAGAATATGGATTCCAGCTAGCAGAAGAATACTTCAACTCAGATTGGCTGTTAGGCATTGCTAGAAATCTTGTTTGTTTTTGTTTTTTGTTTTTTTTTTCAAAAACAATATTGAATTCTATACTGGTTCTGAAGGTCACCTTAATAGGAGGGCTAGTTTACCTGTCTCATAACGTTACAGAAAAATATGAGCCTAAGGGAAAGAGAAAGTTCAACAAACTTCTTACAATTCCATCCAGTGATTCTGAAGCTGAATTAGTACTGACTGCAATAAAACCTAGTAGATTATTTCAAATCTTCACTGCCTAGATGTGCGAAGTCCTGTCAGAATCTCCTCACCAAATCTGTGCACTTTATACTAAGGTGAACATTTGCCCAGCCTGTTCTTTAAGCTAGCCTAGAAAATCTTCCCACAAGAAACTTTCTACCCTTTTTCCCCAAAACCATGAATCTCAATAATCTTACATTGATTATAATTTGGAAACACTTTATTCAAATTGCTTCAAAGAAAACCACCACCAGGCCCCCAAGTTTCCTTAGTGAGAAGCCAAAGACTTTAGAGACACTAGATTCTCCAGGAAGGTATATTAGTGCTTTTTAAAGAGCTGCATGTTGTCTCTGGTTAGTAAACGATGGTTCATGTCTTAGATGAAAGAAGGATGAGAGCCAATGGGTCTGTGCTCTTCTCCAGTTGGAAGGTGAAAGTGATATGAAAAGGCTATTAGGGAAAGTATATTTTTCTGCTTACTTTTCTTATCAATGGTATATTTTAAAAGTATTCCTTGGCCGGGCGCGGTGGCTCACGCCTGTAATTCCAGCACTTTGGGAGGCCGAGGCGGGCAGAACACGAGGTCAGGAGATCAAGACCATCCTGGCTAACATGGTGAAACTATGTTACTAAGTTCCTCTAGCTACATAGCTAGCTAGAGTCTCCCCAGTGGCAGCAATTGTCAACATTCCTGTGGTCAACTACAATAACTCCATTGACATTCAATTCAAATTTTAATTCTACTGTTCTCACTTTTAGTTTCTTTGTTGTACCTTCCTTTTTGTTGGTCAGTTTTCCTTTTTCAGTTACCCCTTTTCGTAAAGTGTCACGTTGGTTTATCACTGGGAGACAGGGAAAAGCAAAACTACATTCTTTGCTGTCTGTGCATGGACTGAATAATGAAGTGCAGTGAACAATCACCAACAGACTTAAAAGAAGTGATGTGATTGGTCACTGATCATGATGCGCATGTGTTATTTACATAGCAATTTGTAGAGACCAAGCAGTGAAGTTTGTACTTCATGCAGTTACTCATAGTTAACATTCTGTGGTAACTGAAACTTGAACTGTGTTGCTCGGGGGACAACTGTGATAACTGAAATTTGTGAATATTGAAACTATGGGCCGGGCACAGTGGCTCACACCTGTAATCCTAGCACTTCGGGAGGCTGAGGCGGGTGGATCACGAGGTCAGGAGATCAAGACCATCCTGGCTAACACGGTGAAACCCCGTCTCTACTAAAAAAATACAAAAAAATTAGCCAGGCGTGGTAGTGGGCGCCTGTAGTCCCAGCTACTCAGGAGGCTGAGGCAGGAGAATGGTGTGAACCCAGGAGGTGGAGCTTGCAGTGAGCCGAGATCCCACCACTACACTCCAGCCTGGGCGACAGAGTGAGACTCCGTCTCAAAAAAAAAAAAAAAAAAAAAAAAGAAACTATGAACAGCAATGATTGCCTGTATAAGGATGTTCACTACACCATTATCTGTATTAGGAAAAAGTGGAGATTAAAAACCCGAATGAAGAAACAGTTAAGTAAAAGTTAGCACATCTACACTAGGCAATTGTTAAAAAGAATGAGGTCAATCTTATATGTATTGACAGGGAAGGGTGTCCAATGACATGTCATGAAAAAAAAGCTTGTTGTAGAACATTATGTATAGTATAATGCCATGTATATAAAAAAGAAATATTTATGTATATTTGTTTATTTTTATATTTAGGTTTGATAGAAAAAGCTCTGGAAGGCCCACCTAATTGTCAGCAACAATTACTCCTGCAGAGTAGAAATTGAGGACTGGAGTTTGGTGGTGGGCAGACTTTCAAATTGTATTCTCACACTTTTTAATAATTTTTTCCCCAATAAATGCATGATTATTTATTAAATTTTCAAAAAAAGTACAAAAATTTAAAATCTCATATGAGGAACCATTTAAGATATTTTGCCTGTCATGGAGAACATGATGGCATTCTTCAAACATTTGAAGGGCCGTCATTGGAAGAAAGATTACATTTGTTCTGAAAGATATTGAACAGCTGATATGGGACCAATGGATGCAATAAAATCATTTCTTAAACTATAAGAAATGTAAAATCCTTTTAAAGACCATACACAGGGCTTTCAGTCAGAATGCCTGAGTCTTAACTCCTTCACCATCACTTACTAACCTTGGGTGTATTTCTTAACCTTTCTAGGTCTCAGCTTTTGTATCTGTGAAATGAGTAATCAGACTAATGCTACCTTTGAGAGCAGTGATATCTTCAAGGTGAAGTTAGCGTTGCTTCATAACCCTTCTATAATCTCCACCAGCTTTCTCCCCTAGACTACCCCAAATAAATATACAATCTAAGTAAAAACAAAAACATGAGCCAGCTAGGTGAACACAGCTTCCAGACAAGTACTATAGTCATCCACTTCTAACCAAATTACTACTATAAACCCTTTCTTTATAAAAAGTCATCTAGAGCTGCCACTGCCTCAGAAGGTGTTGAAGGGATTAAATGAGATATTTAATATAACACTTCTAGCGTGATGCCTAGCACATAGTAAATACTAATGAAACAAAAATCACACATACACATATCCCACTAAATCATGATATAAGTGAGATGACATTTTAACTGGGGGTATATTGAACAGGTTTTTCCCTTCAGTGAGGGGGGGAAAATGGTTTGATAATTAAAAGCCTAGCACACTCTTGTTGCTCTTGGATCCTGTTTCCTTTCAGTTTTCCTGCCCTTGAGGTTCAGTGACTTTTCTCATTCTTTTGTTAATTCGGCCACCATTTATTGAGTACCTACTGAGTTCCAGGTTCAGTCCTAGGTGCTGGCCGTACTAAGATGAAAAAACAGGGACTCTGTGCTCAGACGGCTCTAGTCAGAAAGAGAAGGAAGTTGGATAATTGCAATATGATGTGATCTGGATTAAAAATAAAGGTCTGTAAATGACATTAATGGAGCAAGCAGAAAAACATACTGAGGTCAGTCTGAGGGAGCCAGAGAAAGCATCCTAAAGGGAGAAACGTCTGAACTGGAGCTTGAAGGGAAGACAGGCATCTGCTGGGTAGAAATCCTCTTCATAGGATGTATGCAGATGCTGCTTGATGTGGGTTGTGAAATTTTCCATGACTGTTCATAAAGCTGAAATGACAGTAAATTTTGGCTTCTCTTTTTCCCAACATTTGGCTGTAGTGATGGAAAACCGAACAAGTAATTATTCAAATATGTTAGAGATGTGATAGAACAAACTCACCCATTCCTGCTCTCCTGTCCTTACCCTGTGGCTTTCATTCTTAGTATCAAGCGGGTCACTGTACCTTTAGCCAAGGCCTTCTCCCTGTGAAGCTTTGTAATTTTATCAGGAAGGAAAGTCTTTCCCCTAAATCTTCCACTTATGTCTCATTAGACAGAATGGTGTCACGCAGCCACCATAAGTTGTGAGGGAGGCTGAAAATTAATCTAGCAAACTACAGTGCCTGCCAGAGCAAGAAATACAACTTCTCCATAATTCCTATCTGGTTTGGTCTTATTTTTATAGTTGTAGCCATTTGTTTTAGTTCTCTGGGGTTTCTTTAACAAAGTACCACACACTAAGTTACCTAAAACAACAAAATTATTCTTTCACAGTTCTGGAGGCTAGAAGTCCAAAGTCAAGGTGTAGAGCCATGCTCCATCTGAAACCCCTAGGGGAGTCCGTCACTGCCTCCTTGTAGCTTCTGCTGTCAATCTTTGGCGTCCCTGGGCTTGCAGCTGCATCACTCCAGTCTCCACCTTTGTCGTCACCTGGTGCTCTCCCTGGGTGTCTCTCTGTCTTCACGTGGCCGGTCATATTGGACGAGGGGCCCACTGTACTCCAGTGTCACCTCATCTTAACCTAACTAACAATATCTGCAGTGACCCTGTTTCCAAATAAGGTCATATTTTGAGGTATTGTGGGTTAGGTGGAGGGAAGGAGATCAATCCATAATATCATTGCTTTGTGCTTAGTATATAAATAAGAAATGCTCTATTTCCAAGTGACGTTTCTTTATACCTAGGATTAGTAATGAACTTTTAAAAGCCTTATTTTTATTCCTAGTTTGAGAAACAATTACTTTAACTACAAAATTGTGGCAATATGAAAGATTACTTGATAAACCATTTTCAAATAACTGGTTACAAATTTAGAAGAAAGTTTAAAAATCCAGACTATACTGTATGCCAAAAAAATGTACACATGTGTTAAAGAGTTAAATATTTTATAGAATTGCAGGAACTGGTCTTTTGAATATTTGTGTGGTTATAAGAATCAGTAAAGATTATAAAAGATTCATAAGTCCTAACTGTATAAAGTTGTAAAACTTATTGCACAAGAAAAAAAAAAAACAGTGGGAAATGACAGACTGGAAACATTACAACGAATAATTCAGACAATAGACATGAACAATTCATACAACTATTAAGACCCCAATAGCTAGCTGGTCAAAGGATGTGGCCAATCTAAAAACACCAGGTTTGTTAAGCAAGCATATGGGAAAATGTTCAGTAATAGTTTAAAAGTGCAGTTTAAAGTGAAGTGTGACTGATAAATTACTCTATTGCTGATGGTGATATAAATTGATATAATCCTTCTGAAGAGCATTTGGCAAATACATCCAGAGCTATAAAATGTTCATTCAATTGATGTTTCTGGGAACTTACCCTAACTAAATAGGCTAAAGAAGAAAAAAGCTGTGTTTATGAAGCTGTTAATTGCAGAACCATTTGTAATAAAGTGAAAACTTGGGAGCAATCTAGTTACCTGAAAGTAGAATAGTCAACTGACTTACGCATCCTTTTTTTGGAATATGCAGACATCAAAAGTTCTTGTAATGACCTGTGGCAACATGAAGAAATACCTGTGTTTTAAAGTTGCATGTTTTTTAGCCAGACGCCGTGGCATATGCCTGTAATCCCAGCACTTTGCTAGGCCGAGGCGGGTGGATCACCTGAGGTCAGGAGTTTAAGACCAGCCTGGCCAACGTGGTGAAACCCTGTCTCTACTAAAGATACAAAAAAAGGCACTCTAGCCTGGGTGACAGAGTAAAACTTTGTCTTAAATAAATAAGTAAAGTTGCATGTTTTTAGAAAGTGGCATCTATGATTGCAGTTATGGTAAATTTAAAAGTATGCATGTGGAAAAAGTCAGCAACAGTGAGATAGTGAAGTGTGTAGAAGGTATTAGGGAGCCTGGAGTTGTGTTAAGGTGAATGATTACGAATCCTTTTCCCAACTTTCGTATAATTTAAAAAATATTTAAATGTATTCAACTTACAATGAGTTTAAAATCCTCCTGTACTTTTTGCATGTTAATGAAACCATTAGAAGGAAAGAAGAATTTAATGAGCTTTCTGGGAAAAAAAATAATTTTGCTCACAGTAGTATTGTAAATCACACCAGATGTTTTTCTGTCATAGAAAAGTCTGTACTATAGTGGGATTATTCTAATGTGAAAAAGTGACATTTGAAGAAAGCTTTTTAATACAGTATATGTGCATTATATGATTAATGGTGATGTTTTTGACTGGTGAAGTAATTATTTTAATCCTGTCTCATCATTCACTGTAGTTTTGTTTTGTGGCTGAGATTTTAAAGCTATGTTTATAAATAAAATAACTCTACCCACAGGCTGGAGAGAAATAGTTTTACTTTCACCATGACAAATGATCTCTTCTGACTTTCTAGTTATGACTTAATAGTGTGGATTTAATGGCAGGTGATCAATGTAGTTGATACTATTTTAGCAATCCCTTTTACTTGTGTTCTTATAAAGAGGACTTGCCCCTCGCTTCTCAGAGTCAGAGTTTATGAGAACTGTAAAAACATGATCATTAGCCCTGTTCCTTGTTCCTGGTGGGGCACCCCTAGCATGTTTCCTAGGCTTGCTGAACTGCTCAGCGTCCGCAAGGGAACACAGGTGCTGACTCTCTTTGGGGGTGTGAGAAGTAACCAGGGATGACAACCCCTCTGGGGTCTCCACAGGTAAAGCTTGATTATGCCTCTATGGTTGACTAGGCTTTGAATTCACTGGTCTGAATTTACTACCTGAATATTAAGGTTGGGTGGTAGTGCATCTCACCACCACTGCCTCCCCCTCTCCAAAGTAACAAGCGCATGCACACACGTGCGTACAGACACACACTCTTGGACACTGGTTTAACGTGAAACAATCAACATATCCTTTAAGAGAAAAGGCGGGGTCTAGTGGGAGGAGTGTGGGAGTGGGAGTGATGATGGAAAGGAGTTAATCCGTATCTCCGAAATAAAGACTAGACAATGAGGAGCCCTGCAAAGCAGTGCTGGACAATTGACATCCACTGACTCCCTAGTGAAATGCAGCCTGCCCTCAGTTATTCAGAGACCGAGCATCTAAAGTGTGGATTATCCAGGCCATATGCTTCTCCTCCTTTGCCATCTGGCTGGTTGCCTGCTTCCCTTCTTATTCACATGGAAAATAGTCAAAATACCTCAGTCCATTTCTGCCAAACCTTTTCTATTACCTCTATCAACCCTCCCTTTAAGCTTATTCTGTGCACATCCTGGTCAAATCTGGTCACTTGGCATATTCTGATTCCTCCCAGGACACATTGGCTAGTTTCTAACGTACAGTCTTGTGCTTGTTGATCCTGGCTTCATAAGAGTCTTTTTTTATTATTTCTCACTTCACTAGCTCGTGAGCTCCTTTAAAGCAAGGGACATCTCCTCTGCTTTTAATATCCTCTTCAACTGGCCCAGAGAGCTCCTCTTCACAAGGCAGGTGTGGGACAAGTGTTGTTGGCTAAGTACTATTCATTGTCATTTCAACCAGATAAGTAATAAGAAAGTCACAACACAGAGGAGAAGTAAGCTGAAGTGCCATTTGCTGTAAAAATCAACCAAAAGAGAATCGCAGACTTTTAGAATTGGAAGGAACATTAGATATAGTTTTATCTCATTGATAGAGAAACATGGGCCCTTAGGAGTGAAGTAACTTGTCCTTGGTCACCCAGAGCATTTGTAGCAGAGCTAGGACTAGACTTCACCTCTTTAGAGCCCATTTCTCTTATACTCCAGTCATCCAAGGATTATAAAGGAATGGAGTTATGCAGAAGGTATGCAGAGAAGGAGTGGCTTAGGTTAGGTTCCCAGGAGGAGGAGTCTACATTAGTGACAGGTGACCAACCAAGATTAATGAAAAATTTTATCCCCCTTTTAAGTAAATTAATCTTTTGGGATTGTAGATATAATAGCAATAATTTGGAGTTATTTTTATTCATTTTAATGACTGATCTAAAACAAGAATTGAAAAGATCTCATCGAGTGCCTAGAACAAAACTGACACATAGTAGACATCAATTAATATTTGTTGAGTGAAAGAATGAAACCAAAACTGTCACATTTTAGCCTAAAGACTAGGAGTATTTTTCAGTTCCAGTATAATCAAACCCATTTATGAAAATTGTTAGAGTCTTTCTTTGAATTAAAATTTTCTTAGTTTGCCGTGTATTTTAATTGACTCTGGACAAATAATTCAGCCATGAGTTACAATGAACTTATAAATACCTGTTTTTGGATGCTGTAAATTACCAGAGAAAGCTAGTGCCCTGTCACTTACCAATGAAATGTCCATTGAACATTTTATGATCTTAGCCTAAACATTTCAAATAGGATTCCTGTAAATTTCCAAGGTAAATCTCAAACATCAGATAACATTTCCAAATCCAGTTGTGGGGGAATGTAATTCTATGTAATTTACATAGAATTTAGGTTTAGAATTATATAATTCATGAACCTTTACATGAAGGCAAAATTGAATTCTATTGTTTTCTTTAAGTTTTTTACATTACTCAAATAATACATATTCATGGTAGAGAAAAATTAGAAAATATAGGTAATCATGAAGAAGAAAAAAACTACTCTTAATCCTAGAAGCCAAAGATTAACTGTTAACAATTAGTTGTATGCCCTTTAGACCTTTTTACACATATTCATGGGGTCATATGCTACAAACCATTTTTCGTTTTTGTTTTTTTGTGAAACAGAGTCTCACTGTGTCACCCAGGCTGGAGTACAATGGCATGATCTTGGCTCACTGCAACCTCCACCTCCTGGGTTCAAGCAGTTCTTGTGTCTTGGCCTCCCGAGTAGCTGGGACTACAGACGTGTGTCACCATGCCTGGCGAATTTTTTGTATTTTTTGGTAGAGACAGGGTTTCGCCATGTTGGCCAGATTGGTCTCAAACTCCCGGCCTCGAGTGATCCACCTGCTTCGGCCTCCCAAAGTGCTGGGATTACAGGCGTGAGCCACTGCGCCCGGCCTACACGCCATTTTAAAACAACTTTTTTCATGTCTTAGGAATATTTCTCAGTGTCAATAAATATTTCTAGGAACCATTCTTAATGGTTGCAGAGTATCCTGTTATGTACATGTACCATAATTTGTCTAACTAACCCCTTGCATTTGGATATTTAGGTTATTTTCCATTTTTTTGCCATTATAAATGATGCTGTGATGAACTTTCTTATTTATATATCTTGACTCACGTGTTCAGTGATATTCTTAGAATGCATTCTGAAGAGTACAATTGCTGAATTTAAAATATATCCAGTTTTAAGAGTGGAAAATAGGAATTTTTAGGTGTCAGAGATCACTTTCATGTAGACTTTGAAATGCTGGCTTTTAGAGACTTAGTACTTAATTTTGGCTCTTCATGGCAATAATAAACACATTTTTATTATGTATTAATACAATTGTATTTGATAAATGATAAGCTCCCAAATGCATTGTTTTAGATGGTTTTCAAACATTTAAATGCTTTAAATGCTGGTATTCTTCTAGTAATAATAATGATACATTATGCCTATCAGTTTCCTCATTCTTTTCAAAGCCTGGATGCTTTATTTGGCTAGTTGACATGAGGCAGTTTCTTGCTGGAGGCAAAATGTCATTGGACCATGAACTAATCTCCCTTCCCCCTCCCCATTTTACCCACTTCTAGGCTGATTATATAAACAATAATGTGTTGTCTTTTTAATTAAGTGAAAGTGACTCATTACAGGTGCTTTTCAACCATCTGAACTTATCTCCTAAATAGGCCTTGCATTATCTATACGCAAATGAGAATATGATTATCCAGGCAAGGCCACTCTAGAAAAGCATTTAAAGCAAGGAGCAGAGAGTCTTCTCCAGTTTTGCACGCGATAGGATGTAAGAGCAGAGCTATCCAATTAGAAAAGGAGACAGGGGAGGCGGGGAATGAGGCCATGCTTACCGAGCTTGTTCAACTTGATGACATTATGGTTTTCATGATAAAGTCTGCAATAACCTTTATCTTTTTGCATTCAATTTAATGGCCTTGGAATCTGGAGAAGCCAGTAGGACCTCATTTACCATGTAGCAAACATCAGCCTCTTCTGGTACAATATTTTGTGCTAACTAAAAGAGACATGAAATTAAAAATAGGTCAGAAGGCTTTCCGTTCCAGTTTTGTTGATTTAAGTGGGGCAGTGGGGAGGGTAGGCAAAACATTAGTTTCTTTTAAGTGATATTATGGAGAAAATAATCTATTAATGAGTGAAAAGAGATTATAGCACTATGAGAAAAGTAAAGATTATGTTTTGTGAAAAGAGCTCTTTCTGAAGCATCAGAGAAGCATAATTCCCAAAATGATTTCAAGTTATCTACAAGTAGTTTTGGCTTGAAGAAAGTAAGGGAATGTTATTTATTGGAAATATTTTAATTGTCTTTATGTAAGGCTGTGATGGAAGAGGTGAATGTGTGTTTTACCAAATCATTTCTTCATTCATAAGACAGTACATTTAAATCCTGTGAGAAACTTTTCTCAAAAGGAATTTTTTTCTTTTTTTTTTAAAAAAATGAACAAAAATAATGCTGCTTCTGAAAGTATGTTTAGAAGGCCCTGGCTTCTCAATAAGAGTGGATAAGGAATGTAAACTCAGGTACATTACAGCTTTTCTCAAAAAGAATTTAATTATAAGAGTGTGGATAATAAATGTAAATTCTGGGCCATGGCTACATGACTGTAATGAAACACATTATAGAAATACAAATAGCTGTTGACATTCTAGGTGAGTTATTTCTCCCTTCTCCATTCCACTATGACAGTCGCTCTGTTTCACTGAGCACGCTGAAACCCATTGTGCCCTCTAATTATGATGCTAAAGGCCTCTGGAAAAGGTCCCCCCCACCCCACCTTTTTTTTATTGGTCACTAACAAATCCCTCATTATTATTCCCAAATTAAGAAAAAAACCTTATGGCAAGAGTCAAAGTGGGCAGAGATGACCTTCTGACAGAAAAAAAGTTCCTATTTTAAATGAGGTAGCACACTTAAACTTATATTCGAACAATGTGATCCCTCTCAAATACACTGGATAAATATTTTTCTGACACTGCAAGCAGGAAGATAAGCATCTCCTTATACACCAGGGCCACAAGTGCTCTCAAGAAGCACCTACTATCAGAAAGAACCACAAAACTAAAATGATTGATTTTTGACAGGGACATTCTGAATCCAGACTGGGTCACATTAATGTGTTTAACAGGTTGTTTCAGATATCCTTCAGATATCTGAGGATACAGGCAGTTGCTAATTTGTTCTAATGTGCTGGTCAGAGTGCAGCCCCACCTGAAATCCAGTTTGTATGAGAGCCATATGAAGGCCATCCCGTGGAGAGGTCAGGACCTCTCAGAGTTGAATTTTAGAAGATTCAGATAACTTCTTCAATTTGAGGTTCCTGGTACATTAAAGAACTAAAGAAATGCCAGAAGAGTGTTGCACAAGTTAATTGATTTTCAGTGGTTACATATAACATATCAATGTCTAACCTGACTCATTTGGAGAGGGCTTTAAAAGTCTTAGCATTGAGGATCCCCATGAATATTGTGAACCTGAAGTTCAGAATGACTCTTCCACCCTCCCTATGAAAGGATTGGCAGATCAGAAATTTGGTTACATGTGCCATCAAGATATTTCTGGCCAAGGTCATGCCTTCCATGCTTTATGGTATGTAAGTTTGGAATTAAACTAAGTCTTCAAGTTCATGAATAGATGGACATAGAACTTTTTTCGGAACAATTCATGTCCCTGACTACAAGTGTTCCTGGGGCCACGTCTGAAAGCAGCTTATCACTTCACTAATACAGCAAAAGCAAGGCATTCTGTTGTTCAAAATACATCTTTGCCAGGTACATGCTTACTACTTTGTAGATTTTTAGGACCAAAAAAAGCTTATTTTGGTAACCGAATAACTGACAATGATGGATTCTCAAACATTTCTGCTAACCAAAGAAGGAAAATGAGATTGTACCCCTTTAGAGCTGGAGTCCAAAATAGTATGGCATACTTAACGTTTATCTAACATCTTAGGTGTTCATTTCAAAATTCATATAAATGTCTCATTTTCCTCCATACTCTGTTTTTATATAAAATAATGGTATCTCTCTCCTCAAATTATTTTTCACACAGATTTACTCTCCTGAATTTTCCAGAAATGTAGATACTTTTAAATCAAAGGAAGGCTGTATTTTGTTTTGTTCAGAACTTTTCTATTCCAGAAAATCATGTCAATTGACAGCAAAGCCACTTGTGGTCATTGAGCCTCCTGTGTAAAGCACCGACGTCATTCTGTAGTTGTCATCACTGTATTCAGGGTGATTCTACACGTAGGAGTGAGCATTTGACAGCTTCCATGTCTTCTAGTGCGGCTGAGAATTTACATATTAAGATACACATTATTTATTATCAATTACTTTCCTGTTTCAATGTCCATTTAGAGCACTAAAAATATCTTTGTAGGTAGTTGATATTACTTATGAATTTTATTTCAGGAGAGCAAAGGAAAATACAAGATAGTTGTATGAAAAGGGGGCACCGGGTGTGCTAGAGTGGCTCACCACCGCCCTACACAGTGGGCTAATTGGCTGGAGAGTAGAGCTGACTCTGCACAGTTGCATGCTGACCCTCTGAAGAATTTTTTTACAAAAGCGTGACGTCGCGTGAAGACCTTGACAGAATTAGCAAAGCGGTTGAGATGCATACTTTGGAGTCAGACAGACTCCAGTTCACATCTTGGCTTTTATACTTACAGCTGTATAACCGTAGACAATCTATCTACCCTCTGGCCGACTCCATTTCCTCAATTATAAGATAGGATAACTTGTGAAATGCTTTCCACAAGATTACTATTGCATTTATTCTCCTCACCACTCTTAATGAAGAGAGTCTTGTAACAGATAACTCTAATTGTCTTCAGAGTTCAGGTCCCCAAGAAAGATTATGCCTTCTAAAAGCTAGTCTGTTTCCTTCCAGTGGGAGCCATTTCATTCATGCTGCTCTACTCTTTACTTGGACTGCTAGCAAACATGGAGCTAAGTACTCATGCTTAATTTCTGTGGCTTTCCTCAAATAGGGTTTCAATACTATAGTTTGCCCTCACTCCATTCCCTCCTCCAATTCCCCCTTACTGCTAAATTTTGGTCTTTCATCCCATGTTGTTAGCTGTTGGTCCTAGTGATCCTGTGGTTTTTATTATAAAACCACTTTTGTGTGTGTGTGTAGTTTTTTTTTTTTTTTTTTTTTTTGGTAAAATGATTATCTTAAATCATTTAGAAAAAGTAGGTGAGGCTAGGCACAGTGGCTCACACCTGTAACCCCAACAGTTTCAAGGCCAAGGCAGGAGGATTTCTTGAGCCCAGGAGTTCAAGATCAGCTTAGGCAACATAGTGAGACCTTATCTCTACAAAATAAAAAATAAAAAAATTAGCCAGGTTTGGTGGCTACATGCCTGTAGGCCCAGCTACTTGGGAGGCTGAAGTGGAAGGACAGCTTGAGCCCAGGAGGTTGAGGCTGCAGTGAGCTGTGATTATAACACTGCACTCCAGCTTGGGCAACAGAACAAGACCCAGTTTCAAGAAAGAAAAAGTGGCGGAGGGCGGAGTTCAGTGGGTCATGCCTATAATCCCAGCCCTTTGGGAGGCTGAGGTGGGAGGATCCTCTGAGCTCAGGAGTTCTAGACCAGCCTGGGCAACATAGGGAAACCCCATCTCTACAAAAAAAAAAAAAAGAAAAATTAGATGGAAATTAAATAAGTAAAATAAGAACGAAATAATAAAGTTCCATTCTCTTTATGGTACTTTATAGTATTTATTTCTGTAGGTGGCAAAGTTACTTTTTTCCCTTAATTTATACTGTCTATTCATGGTAGTATTAGATCTTTACTGTATCACTTACTTGGGGAAATATGACAATAACACTAAGATGATATTTTACCTAAAATACTCATCTATAGAGTTATTTCAGCATAAACTATTTATTTCTATTTTCTTAGCAAAAATCTGAAGAATAGCACACATTGCTGTCTCTCATCATATTATTATAGAACAGTAATTCTCAAGATTTTTGGTCCCTGGACACCTCTTTGCACTTTTAAAAATTATTGAAGACCCAAAGAACTTTTGTTTATATGAGTTATATCTATCAATATTTATTGTATTAGAAATTAAAACTGAGAAATTTTAAAAATATTTACAAACTCATTCAAAATAACATTAAACTCATTATGTCTTAACATAAATAACATATTTTTATGAAAAGTAATTATATTTTCCAAAACAACAATAATGGGTAAAACATTCTTATAGAAGAGTGTCATTATTTTTACAAACCTCTTTAATGTCTGTCTTAGTGGAAGACAGCTGGACTGTCTTATCTGCTTCTGCATTTAGTCTTTTGCCATAACGTATGTTATGTGGCCTCATGTGAGAATGAGAGTGAAAAGGGCAAATATGTATCATTACTATTATTATCGTTAAAATAGCTTGGACCTTATAGATCTCCTGGAAGTGTCAAGGGGATGCTCCAGGGTCTGGACTACACTTTGAGAACTGCTGCTGTATAGAAGATAGGCAATGCATATTGCAACATAAGAAATGGAAATAATATTTTGCTCACATTTTAATTTTTAGTGGTTTCAAAGAGCCACTAAGTTTTAAAAAATATGCCTCTTAATCCTTCCTCCAAAGTCTACAGAAACATTAAGGGTCAAACTATGGTTGACAAGAAAGTTTAGATTTTTTCCTTGAAGATCTGGCCAATATATTTTTTTGTTTGTTTGTTTTGAGACAGGGTCTCACGCTGATGCCTAGGCTGGAGTACAGTGGCACAATCATGGCTCACTGCAGCCTCAGCTCAGGTGATCCTCTCACCTCAGCTTCCTGAGTAGCTGGGACTATGGGCACACACTACCATGCCTGGCAAATGTTTTGTGTATTTTGTAGAGACAGGGTCTCACTATGTTGCCCAGGCTGGTCTTGAACTCCTGGGTTCAAGTGATCCTCCCATCTTGGCCTCCCACACCTGGCCACCACACCTGGCCAGGCCAGTGTATTTTGAAAGGTACTAGCAATATATGGCATCAATGTTATGTTTTTGGGAATAGTTTTTTTTTAAATATATGTATTGAACAGGGATGATCCTTTTACTTGTGGTATATAAGAAAACTTAGCTTTTTTACCCTTCCAATCTATAGTGGTAAAGTTGCTTTATTAAACCATTATTTTTATTTGTGTGTGTTGCTTGTTGTATCATCTTTATACCATTCAATAATGAGAGTAGAACAAATCGATTTCTCTTATTCCTGCTGTGAGATGGTTCATAATGAAAGGTAGATGGCTTGCCTAATTTACAGAGTGGCATTAGGTTCAGAATGAGTTAGTACAGAAGAATAACACATTTTATTTTGCTCTATTTTATTTTTCTTTATTTAGGTAATAACAACAATGGTTGTGAGCAGCCTTTTTTTTTTTTTTTTTTTTTTTGAGACGGAGTCTCGCTCAGCTGCCCAGGCTGGAGTGCAGTGGCATGATCTCAGCTCAGTGCTACCACTGTTTCCTGGGTTCAAGCGATT
Source organism: Homo sapiens (assembly GCF_000001405.40). Lineage (NCBI taxonomy): Eukaryota > Metazoa > Chordata > Mammalia > Primates > Hominidae > Homo > Homo sapiens. The sequence goes on from NC_000002.12 coordinate 44,661,423, forward strand.
CTCCCATCTCAGCCTCCTTAGCAGCTGGGATTACAGGCACTCGTCATTATGCCCAGCTAATTTCTGTGTTTTTAGTAGAGAAAGGGTTTCACCATGTTGGCCAGGCTGGTCTTGAACTCCTGACCTCAGGTGAGCAGACTTTAAGCCTTGGTATTGCTATAAGACTAAGGATGGCAGCTGCACTTTCAGTGTGATAGAATCTCCGTTACAGTGTGATTTTGCTAGTTTCATTAATTACTTGTGTTTTGTTTCTCTTTCCATGAAAGAACAATCTTAAACTATCAAGCACTTCCCCAGGAGAAAATGGATCACTTGCCCAACAGTGGCATTAGAGTTAGGTTTAGGATATTTTGAAGTGGCAGAGGTATTAAGTAGTCTTAGTAGACACAACCCAACTAAATTTCTTTGGGTTTCAGACAGGTGGTGGTAAAATAGACAAGGTCAAGAAGTGTCAACTACTATCTCTAGTGACTACATGAGTCCTTGCTGGGCCCTGTGAATCTCCTTTATATCACATCAGACTTTTCATGGAAGATTAGATTATGCCTTCACCTAAAAAATAGCTTGCCCATATGAGTCTATATCTATCACTGTATGCAACCCTCATGATTTGGGACAGCTGTAATTATTGGGAAAGGTTTTTTCCCAACTTAATCAGAGACTAACAGATACTGTTGTCCACACTATAGTACCTCAAGTGTTTGAAGACAGTTCCCATGTTTTACTCTTGGATCTGCATGAGCCTTCTCATCTCCAGCCTCAGCTCTGTTCTTTATATGAAAATGTTGCCAGTCCCTTTCCTACCCTTGTTCTCTCTCCTGTTGTCCTGTTCCAGTTTTCATTGTCCGTCTTAAAAGTATGATGCCTAGAATGACAATCAGTGCTTCTGATATTGAACGACTATAAGAGGAGAGTGGGGCCAACTGCTTTCTTACTGCCATTGTCTGCTAATGAAGCTGAAGATCTGGCTTCTTTGGCAGTTGTATCACAGGAACTTGTACTGTGTTTACTGTCAATGGAAATTGTGTCTTAGTCACATCAAACTATTAAGCTATATTTTCCTCATCCTGCATTTGGGCAATTGTACGTGCACATTCAAAACTGAATCCATTGAAGTTTCACAAGAAAGTGTTCTTTTTTGTTTTCTGTTTTTGTCAGTGGAAATAACATTTTATTTAATTTTTTTAGATATGGGGGTCTCACTTTGTCACCCAAGATGGAGTGCAGTGGTGCCATCATATCTCACTGCTCAGGTAATCCTCTCACCTCAGCATCCTGAGTAGCATATGCATCACCATGCCAGGTTAAATTTTAATTTTTTTGTAGAGATGGGATTTTGCCATATTGCCCAGGCTGGTCTTGAACTCCTGGGCTCAAGCGACTTTCCTACCTCAGCCTCCCAAAGTGCTGGGATTAGAGATGTGTGCTATTGTTCCTGGCCTAACTTTTTATTTTGCTGTAATTTTAAATTTACAGGAAGGTTTCAAGAATAGTTCAAAAGATTCCTATATGTCATTTGCTTTATCATTCTCTAAATGAATAAATATAGATTAGATACACATATAAATAATTACATATAAGTTTTTTCTGGACAATTTGAGAGTAAATTGCAGATTATCATGCCTCTTTAAATATTTCAGTTTATTTTTACCAAGAATAAGAATATTTTCTTAAACAGCCATGGTATAATTATAAAATCAGGAAATTTAACATTGGTATAATACCATTATCTAATCCATGATCCACACTCAAGTCTCACCAATTATCCCACTAAGGTCCTTTATAGTGTTTTTGGAAGTGGGAGGGTTTCCAGGTCCAGAATCCAATCTAGGATCATGCATTTCATTCATATACCTGCTAATTTCTCCACCTGAGAAGAGATGTTCTTATCCTTCAAAAATTGGATAGTAGCTGTGTGGATTACCCACTCCTTTGTCCATAGCTTCTACATCATTGATTCGCAAACATTCCACTACCATCTTCAAGCAAAACCAAAACAAATAAATCAGTCTGTTCATCTTTGAGCTTCCCCTTCTGTGAAATCTTGTTTAGTATCTTAACTATGGACATTTCAATGTGGACATCAGAGAGTAATAACTTTTAAAAGGTTCATTATTCTCCACTCAAGTCCATTTTCAGAAGCTTTGCATTCAGTGAGCCTTTCTTCTCCTTCCTGCAGATGTGGCATGGCTGTTAGATTGTCCTTTTGCCCTGAGGCTCCCATGTCAGTTATGCCCCAATGCCTATTCTCATGGGGTTTTAATTGCCTATAACATTTTATTGTTCACCCTCTTCAGTCTCCTAAACTCTATTTATTTCTCAAGGTACCATCTTGTTCGTGAATCTTTCCATTCATTTATATAACAAATGGTCACCTTCTATGTGGTAACATTGTTCTTAGGTGCTGGGAGTACAGCAGTGAGCAAACCACAAATAGTCTTGCCTTTTAACACTTACATTCTTGTGGGGGAAGATAAATAAGATAAATAAAATTTATGGTAAGTGAGATGGTAATAAGTCTAAGGAGAAAAAAAAATAAAGGAGATAAGGAGTGATGGGGGAGGTACAGTTTAAGTTGGGTGGCCAGGGAAGGTTGCTAAGTCATTACTGCAGCAAAGCCTCTGAACTCTGCTTTTTCTGAATTCTTCAGTCTGTAAGTAGTTAATCTCAATTAAACAGTTGGGTTATAGTTGTTTCATGATAATCTGTTTATTAAAAGCAGCAGAGTGGAAAGCACTTGGTTTCTGAAATTAGACATAAGTTTGAATATACATTTAGTTGCCAAGTAAACTTGGATAAAATATGTAGCCTCTCTAAGACTATACTTTTATGATCTATAAAATGAGGCTAATGATGCCTTATAGGTTTGTTAAGAGGACTAAATGAAATAGCAAAGATGTAGCATCTAACATTGCTTGGAACAAACGTTAGAAATTTAACAAATGTTAAATTTAACAAATGTTAGAAATCCTATTGTCTCCTCTATGTGGAATCCTATTGTCTCCTCTTGGTGTCACCCACAGGAGCTAAGCTCAGTGCTGGGTATAGAATAGATGTGTAATAGACATGTTCGGTAATCAGTGTCCTATTATTGGCTCAGCTTTTATTTCATTAATTTAGTCACATGACATTTACTAGCACTTTCTGTATATAAGGTGCTATGAATATTAATACAACCCTAAGGTGTTTATAATTTAAGAGGAAATAAAACAAATACATAAATTAAGCTAGAATGTAAAGATAAAAGTAAAGACAAATACAATAAGAGAGGCAGGCACAAATTGATATTGGTATTCACATGAGATTGCCTCCTCAGTGGAGAGAAAGTTTTAAGAAGAGGTGACATTGGAACTGTGTCCTAAATTTCTGAAAGGGTTTTAAAGGAGATTTCAAAAAAAAAGCAGACAGAAAATGAGCAGAAACTAGTGGATGGAAAATAGCCTTCAGAATGCAAGAAACTGGCAGGTGGTTCAGTGTGGGTCACAGTGATTCTCAGCTCTGGCTGTAGAGTAGATACTGGAAGGGCCCTATAAAAGATACTGCTATTCATTGCTACCCCCCAGGAATTCTGATATAGTTGGTCTAGTATGGGACTTAAACATTGTCAATTTTAAAAAAAGAAGAAGTTCTCAAAGAGGTTTTTTTGTTTGTTTGTTTTTTGTTTTTGAGACTGAGTCTTGCTTTGTTGCCCAGGCTGGAGTGCAGTGGTGCGATCTCGGCTCACTGCAACCTCTGCCTCCCGGGTTCAAGCAATTCTCCTGCCTCAGCCTCCTGAGTAGCTGGGATTACAGGCACCCGCCATCATGCCCGGCTAATTTTTGTATTTTTGGTAGAGACGGGGTTTCACCATGTTGGCCATGTTGGTCTTGAACCCCTGACCTCAGGTGATCCTCCCGCCTCTGCCTCCCAAAGTGCTGGGATTACAGGTGTGAGCCACCGTGCCCGGCCTCAGAGAGGTTTTAACGTGCAGCCATGGGCTGAGACCTCAGGCCAGAGTATACTATAGGGGAAAGGTTTAAGATCAACCAAGAACCTTATATTGAGGCCATATTGTAGAGGCCTTGTTTCAGATTAAGGAGTTTGATTTTAATTTAGGAAATCATTGCCCTTGAACCAGGCAATGATAGCTGGACCACTTCTGAACTTCCTGGATGGTTGATCAGATTTTTAAGGCATTTGTCCCTCAATGCTCCTGTCTTCATTGTATTACTGTGATTTGGGTACATTTCTTATATGCCCTATAAGCATACCAAAGGTGAAAAGGGGGTTGTACTCATCTTTCCGTCTTCTTCAGTACCTAATATTGTCTTACATTTATATTCCCTGTAAGTGTTTGTTGAATGAGTGAATGAATTAGTCAAGGATCAGAGCTGCAATTCGATTTGGGGTCCATACATCAAATCAGTAGACTGCTGCAATATGAGCACCTGGGTAAGAACACTGGCAGCAGGGATGGAGAGAAGACACCCATAATACCTGCTGCAGAAGAAGTGGTTCTATTTTGTCCTTTAAAGGTGGCCAAATCACTCACCCGTCAAACTGACTCAGAGTTAAAGCGGACTAGGAAAAACACGGAGATAATGAAAGAAATAGGCAAGCCATGTGAATTTAGGAGAAGATAGATTTTAAATCGTTTGCATTGAAACTTCAGAGATACATCCAGATTGAGCTGTTTCTCAGGCAGATGGAAATGTAGGTTTGATCTTTGGAAAGAGGTTAAGAGATTTACATTTATAACTTAAGCATAGATAAGGAAAAAATGAAATGTGAGGGAAAAAATTGTTCGACCTGAATAGGCAGATGGAAAGTAGTGGTTCTGAGCAAAATTTCAGACAGTTTCATCAAGTCATTGATTTTCTAAAAAATACATACTGTTATAATTTGGGGCTTTCTGTTCTTTACCTGAAACATAACTAAATTCTGCTTTTTCTTTATCAACATTTTCCCACTGCACTATCTATTCACAGCTTGATGAAAAAGTCCAGGACCCCCCCGAGCCCTTTGGCCCCCAGAATGCGATAAGCAGCCTAAGCCCAGCCTGGTGTCCTTAACTTCTCCTCCTGCAAATAGGGTGAACAGACAGACACCAAGATCTAAGTTCAGGAAGGAGAAGCCACCACGTTCTCCAGTCCAACTTTATTAGTAATAAAACTGAACTTGTATTTTGATCTCCTTTTGGCTCCTGGAATCTTTTTTTTTTTTTTTTTGAGACAGAGTCTGGCTCTGTCACCCAAGCTGGAATGCAGTGGCACAGTCTCGGCTCACTGAGCCTCCGCCTCCTGGGTTCAAGGGATTCTCCTGCCTCAGCCTCCAAGTAGCTGGGAGTACAGGCGCGAGCCGCCATGCCCGGCTAATTTTTGTATTTTTAGTAAAGATGGGATTTCTCCACGTTGGCCAGGATGGTCTTGATCTCCTGACCTCGTGATCTGCCCGCCTCGGCCTCCCAAAGTGCTGGGATTACAGGTGTGAGCTACCACGCCCAGCTATGTTCTTAATTTGTTAAGAATCCATACAGGAGGAGAAGTAACCAATTTGCCTACCCCCAAACCTTCTGCACTTATAAACCTTAAATCTTTGTACAGCAGTCTGGTCATATATTGAATCTAAAGATATAGCCATACTCATCTAGGGATTTGATAAAATGTTCTGAAATGGACATTTTAGCTGCAGGGAGGCAAAACCCGAGAGACCTTTGTATCAGCTTGTGTTCTTGGAAAGAGAGCCTCCAATTCAGACCACCCATCGCTGGGAGCTTTAGGATCCAACAGTTCCCTGAGGGCCTTAGCTTCTAGCTAAAGTCTCCTGACTAAATGGATTGATTTCCTATCTTCCCATAAGGGACTATGTTGACTCATTCCATCCACCCCGTGTTTACCTCTATCACCAGCAGATGATATCCCCATCCGGCTCTCCCCTGAGGACCCTGCTTCCCTTGCTGCCCTCTCAGCAGCTGAAGAGGTTTCTTTCATCCTTCCTACTGTGGCTCCACCTTGCCACCTTCACACATTTCTCCTGTCTCAAGAACTGTAGACCCTTTAAAGCACAAGTTGCTATTATCCGCTAATGTTTAAGACACTCCCTCTTATTTGCTGAAGATTTTAGAACTTGGCTCACTATCTTCCTCTTTGTCATTATTCTCAAAGTCTTCAACATCCACATAGATAGATCATCTATCTGTAGTTTGTTATTCCTCCCCGTTATCTCCATAGTTCTTTCCCTGCACACCCTCTTAGCTACCTACCCCCGCAGTCATACCCCAGACCTTGTCATCACCAATAACCACACCACCTCTGAAATCTCCAGGTCAAGCATCCCATTCTCTGATCCCCAACTTCTTTTTCTACAGCTCAGGTACTGTGATAGCTCCACTCCAACAGTGTTTCATTTTGGACCTCCACTCCAACACCGTTTACGTTTTTCATTGCTCATCACTCCCTCCTCCCTGCCTGCCTCAGGTTCTCATTTATCTTCTTCCCTATTTAGGTTCCATGCCCATGACTAGGTATTTCATCCTCGACACTCAGCCTCTATGCCCCTTCCTCTCTCACTTCAACAGTCCAGCTCTAATTAAACTCTGAGCCTGTCCCTGAGCAGCTGACTGTGGCAATCAACCATGCTGAGTGGCTTTGGTTTGAATAATGACCACAGATCTCAAATCAGCATTTGAGAAATCCTGCTACATTTCCCTGGTAAATTTGTTCTTCAAACCCCTCCAATATCTCCTCTCCTATTATTCTCAGCTGATGACCTGGCTGATCTTGCATTGAGGAAACAGAAGCAACTACACCAGAACTACTTCATTTCCCATCACTAGAGCCACCTGTCCACCTGTGTCTGTGTCGTGTCTCCTCCTTTTCCTTTGGTAACAGTGAATGAATGGACCACCCTTGCTCCTCACTAAGGCTAGGCATTCTTCTTATGCTTCAGACCCCAGCTCTCCTCGCCAGCTTAAGTATTTTGCTCCTAAAATTATTCCGTTTCCTTCATTACCACATTCCTCTCTCTGCTGATCGACTCCTATCACCATAAAATCATGTGGCAGTATCACTCGTCTTCAGAAAAGGAAAGACAAGACCCCTCTTGACTCCACAGTGCCCTCTAGCTATCTTGTTTCTCTGCTCTTTTTCATAGCAAAGTACCTTGAGTTGTCTATAGTGTTCTATTGCCTCACCTCCAGTTCACCCTTATTTTTCTTTACTTTTTTTGAAATACACATACAAGACAGCATATATAATTCGTAGAATATTACCAATGTTTTTAACACTTTGTGCATCCTTTCCCAATAGTGTGCCCTTACCTCCACTGCTTAAGTAACCACTCTCTCAAATTTTTGCCATCATTTACTTGCTTTTCTTTTTTCTTTTTTCTTTTTTTTTTGAGACAGAGTCTCACTCTGATGCCCAGGCTGGAGTACAGTGGTGCAGTCTTGGCTCACTACAACCTCTGCCTCCCAGGTTGAAGCAATTCTTATGCCTCAGCCTCCCAAGTAGCTGGGACTACAGGTGCCTGCCACAACGCCTGGCTAATTTTTTTGTATTTTAGTAGAGGCAGGGTTTCACCATGTTGGCCAGGCTGGTCTTGAACTCCAGAGCTCAGGCAATCCACCCACTTCAGCCTCCCACAGTGCTAGAATTACAGGCGTGAGCCACTGCACCTGACCCCCACTTGTTTTTTGTTTGTTTTTGTTTTTAATAATTTTACAATATACATATGTATCCCTAAATAATACATTTTTGTTTTGCATGTTTTGGACTTATGTATATGGAATCTTATTATATATTCTTCTGTGAATTGCTTATGTTGCTCACCTTTAGATTTTTAAAAAATTCATATGGTGTATAATTCATTTTTACTGCAATATAATATTCTACTGTATGATATTAGTTTATTTTTCCAGTGTATTGTTGATGGACACTTGGGTCACTTCAGGATTTTTTGCCATTACAGACAAAGCTACTATGGACATCCTCGTACTTGGCTCCTAGCACATGTGTGCAAAAATTTCTGTAGGGCATATACTGAGGAGTGGAATTAGTGGGTTGCCTTTACTTGATGTTACCTAATTATCCTCTGAAGTGTTGTATCAATTTATACTAATATAAGCACTGGATGAAAGTTCCCATTCCACCATATGTTTGTCAAAACTTGGTGCTATCTGACTTTTAAAAATTTTGCTAGTCTGTTCGTTAAGTAATGGCATCTCATTATGGTTTTTTTTTTCTTTCTTTTTCTTCAGACAGGGTCTCGCTCTGTCACCTAGGCTGGAGTGCAGTGGCACAATCCCGGCTCACTGCAGCCTCAGCCTCCTGGGCTTAGGTGATCCTCCCACCTCAGCCTTCCAAGTAGCTGGGACTACAGGTGTGTGCCACCACATCTGGCTAATTTTTGTATTTTTTGTAGAGACGAAGTTTCACCATGTTGCCCAGGCTGGTCTCGAACTCCTGGGCTCAAGTGATCTGCTCACCTCAGCCTCCCAAAGTGCCAGGATTACAGGTGTGAGTCCCTGTGCCTGGCTCATTATGGTTTTAATCTGTATTTCCCTATTTACTAATCAGCTACTTTTCAATGATTATAGGCTTTCATGTTTTCTCTCTTGTGAAATGCCTATTTGTATTTTTGGCCCATTTTTCTACTGGGTTAATTGTCTTTCCCTTATTGATTTGTAAGAATGTCTTATATATTCTGAATACTAATCCTTGATCAGTTATGTGTTACAATTATCTTCTCCCAGTTTTTAGCTTGTCTGTTTACTGTTGTTATGGTGCCTTAATGAACAGAAATTTCTTGAACTATAAGAAATTGCTTATATGTGATGATTTTCACTTACACAAACTATTCCATGTGGTTCCTGGAGAGCTCATTAAAACACAGACTGGGCTGGGTGTGGTGGCTCCACCTATAATCTCAATACTTTTGGAGGCTGAGGCAGGAGGATCACTTGACACCAGGAGTTCAAGACCAGCCTGGTCAACATAGGGAGACCCCATCTCTAAAAAAATCACTGGAGTGCAGTGATTGCACCACTGCACTCCAGACTGGGCAGCAGAGCGAGATCTTCTCTCTAAAAATAACAATAAAAATTAGTTGGGCATGCTGGTGCATACCTATGGTCCTAGCCACTCAGGAGGCTGAGGTGGGAGGATCAGTTGAGCCCCAGTGTTAAAGGCTGCAGAGAGCTATGATCATGCTACGATAATGCCACTGCACTGCAGCCTGGGTGTCAGTGAGACCCTGTCTCTAAAAAATAAATAAATAAATAATAAAAATTTAAAAACACAGATTGCTGGACCCCACCTCCAGAGTTTCTGATTCGGTAGGTCTGGGATGGAGCCTTAAAATTTGCATTTCTAGAAAGTCCCTAGGTTATGCTGCTGATCCAGGAACCACACTTTAAGAAACGCTGCCTCAGCCAGGTCTGTCTTCTGAACATCTTTCGCCAATCCTCTCTCCATGGTTCCTTAGAGATTACACTCTATTGCCTAAAATATAATCCACCTCTTCTGCTCTTGACCTATCAATTTTTGGGCCCTGGGTCACCTTAATTGACTTTTTACCAGGCCTTCTCAATCCTGGGTACAGATAGCTAGTTGCCTAAGGAATGCTTGCAATATTAATAAATGCTGCCTTTTTGTTCAAAGTTAACAGGTAGCTTTTAGAATGGCCTAGTATTATTGATTAGCTGACTTTGTAGTCTCCTTTAGGAGTATAAGTGTGCTGAAGTTATTCTGATACAACGTTAAGTCATGAATCAAACTCATTGTCCTTCCATGCTCCAGTACCTAGTCTCCTTCCCCAAAATCCTACCCCCTTTTTTCCTTCAAAATTGCACTTCAGATCTGCATCCTTTCCTGTCATCAGTTAGTCCCCTAAATCCCCAGTCCTATTTGTGATACCCATGTATTTTTCTGGGACATGAATAACAACCTCAAACATCTTAATAATAAAGCCTCAGATGGGTAACAGGAATACACTGCAAAAATTAAATTACAATATTTAAGCCTTCCTTGTAATTTATTTAGAGCCAGGTTTCCCAGCAGTGACACTGTTGGCCTTCTGGGCAGATGACTGTTTGTTGTCTGGGCCTGCCCGGTGCACTGAGGGTGTTCAACAGCAGCAGTGGCCTCCACTCACCATGCCAGTGGCTCTCCACCCTCACCCCGTGTGGCCACCCCAAATGTCCTTTGAGGGCAAAAACCTCCTCTGGTTGAGAACCACTGATTTAGAGACATCTCATGCCTTATTTGAATTTTCAGGGATTTTTTTGGTGTGAAGTATTGTCAGCTGGTTTGGGCCTTTTAAAATTTCAACTCCCCAAGCCCTTTTAATCTTCTCCATTTCTTTTTTATCATATATTTCTCTTTGTTTCTGGCTAAAAGAGGGCATTGTATTTTCATGATTTTTTGAAAACCGATTCTCAACCACATTTCTCCAAGACAAAGGGCAGTTCCCACCAAACACACAGAAGCAGACCCTAGGACACACTTCAGATTCTTTTCCTGCCCTTCCTGCAAGTATTACTCTCACCATAGGATGGTGGTAGTTACTGTGATTAATATACTTTTAACTGTAATGCGATTATAGAAAATCATGCCAAAATTGCTAGAGCTAAAACTTGACCTGCCCCGACAGGATGATGAAAACTCAATACCATTCTCCCTGACCCTCCCCATCCGCCTCACTCCCCAAATAGTCTTGCTTCTTAATGAGTAAGAGTAGTTTAAGCTGCAATTATTTCCTCTTACACTGACTGTCCTTTTCACCCTGATTACTCTTTGGATGTATAATGGGGAGATAGCCGCATGCAGACTAGCAAGGAGGTCTGGTGAATGGCAGCAATACATACTTACTCGGGAAGAGTGCATTCCACTCTCAGAACAACCTGCCCAAACTGAATGCGGCTCACAAGTGGAGTGGGCAGAGCTTTTTACAATTTCAATTTGAAATGCCACTTTTCTAGTTTTCGTGGCTAAAATAGTAAATAATTTTGTGGGTTTTTTTTTCAGCTGCTCTTCATTTGACATTTGCTGAGCCCCTCTTGAATTTACTTTTGCAGAACAAGACCATTTGTACCCCAACTATTTGTACCATTAGGCCACTGCTCCTTTTTAGTTGCATTTAGGGACCTTCTCCAATTCAGTCTCTTTCTACATGAGCAGAGCACCTATTCATTCAAAGGGAACACCATGACACAGCCAGAGACTATGCCCCGGGAGTATAAAGAGCTTTGTGTCTGCTTCCCAGTTTCAGAAACTCATAGTTGCTTATTTACCAGATATCAACCAAGCTCTGGGTACCAGGCACTTTTGTACATTTCTAGTTTTGTCTTAGCTGAGATAAATACCAACTACCCTGAAGTACTGTAAGATGTACAAGTACCTTATTAATCATCCAAAAAAAAAGCCTAAGCAATAACAGTGTTTTATATTAGTTTGAGGGTTAGATGAATTCTATTTTTAGCTATATTTTTCTAGGTAGCAGTTCTAATAAACAGACATTTCATAACTACTAATCAAAATAAGTCAATGCCTTGGTTATCTGTAATTTTCTCTTACAACAACTTTAGACACTGGAATAGCACTGAAATAGGGAGTAATGATCTTAATTGTGTATTTCTTGGTAAATGACAGAATTCCTCCATATATATGATTTTGTTTGATTTTTTTAATTGGCACTACGGGCAAAGGAAGAAACTTTGGGGCAATGAGTGGTTTTAAAAACATAGGCTGGGCGACGTGGCTCATGCCTGTAATCCCAGCATTTTGGGAGGCTGAGATGGGAGGATTGCTGGAGGCCAGGAGTTTGCAATCACCCTGGTCAATACAAGGAGACCCCATCTCTACAAAAATTTCAAAAAGTCAGCAGGGTATGGTGGCATGTACCTGTGGGTCCAGCTACTTGGGAGGCTGAGGTGGGAGGATCATTTGAGCTTCAGAGGTCAAGGCTGCAGTAAGCCATGATTGCACGCCACTGCACTCCAGCCTGGGGGACAGAATGAGACCCTGTTTAAAAAAAAAAAAAAAGAGAGAGAGAAAGAGAAAGAAAGAGAGAGAGGAAGGAAGGAAGGAAGGAAGGAAGGAAGGAAGGAAGGAAGGAAGGAAGGAGGGAAGGAAGAAATCTATACACCCAAAAACCTAAACATCATCCCTGATGAGTGTGACCAGCTTGCTTATCAAAAGGCAAAGAGGGGTTCTCATTTGGTGGCGGTAGCTATCTAAACCAAGGCACTTGCTGCAAAACCTAGAAACATGGGAAAATGACAAATAAAGGAGCCAAGCAAAATAAGCGTTAAGGAAAGGGGGAAGAAGAAAATATGAAGACTGCAGGACAAAGAAGGGAGATGACTGGAAAGAGAAGTGAAGATTTCAACACTGATGTGAGAAAGTGACAGCATAAGTTACAAAGAATTTGGGAAAGATTAAATACTTCTTCAGGGTGGGAACAAACAGCCGAGCATAATGGAACAGTCTTTTAGGACACCCAGCCCTCAGAGCTCCAGACACCTCACTTCATACCAGTTTAGCCCAGTAACTGCTCTTCATAGCAAATCTCCTTCTTGCTGAAGAAAAGTTTGAATCATGTTTGCTATTTTCATGCACCAAAACCTTCAAAATTACCTAAAGAAAAAAAGAAGTTTGCTTAATTTCCCCTGTAATGAAAGTCTGTGTGGAATCACTTATTGTCTGACAGGTCTCACTAAATTTGACGTTCCTGTCCTGGATTTATCAGGATACCTCATTACTTCATCATGCTATATGTAAGAGTCAACTAGAATATAGTCAACTCATTATTGTTTGAATGATGTAAGAAGGAAAGGTTGATAATCCAAAAGGGTATGCAAACCCCTGTGATTTATACTTGGTTATTTGCATTTGTATTTTGATATTATAAACTTGCCCCTTTGTATTGTAACAATCTGTTAACCCATCTGTCTCCTCCACTAGACTATCAGCATCTTGACTGCAGGGACCATCTTAGTATCCAAAAGCTAGAGCACAGTCTCTGGCACATAGCTGGGGTTCGAAAAATGTTAAATAAATGAAGAAAAACATGTATCTGATCTGAGAAATCACTGCAAACAAAGTAATGCCTCCACACAATGAAAACACTCAGTAACACCTGGAAAGCTTAACTGCTTGTCTCTCAGACTGCTGCGAAGCCCCCAACCTCAACCAAAGTGCCCTACTGTAAATCTTTTCCCAGAATAACGGAAGTGGTTAAGTGTTCAGGTGTCAAAATGCTACCCTGCTGGGCTGCAGGCCACATACAAAGTTATATTACATTGAGTTTGAAATGCTAACAAAGCAAGTAATTAAGCTGAGTAAGTGCTAACTTGCTTGCAAGCAAGATTTGAAGCTGATAAACCAAAATGCTGATAATTAAGAGTTGATTATACAGCTTTGTTGTTTCTCTACCCTGCTAATAGCCTCACATTCTTGGCATGTAATGATTTCTTCCCCACAAGGAAAAAAAAAACACACAAACTATCAATCTTCTCCTCCTGTCTCCCACCCTGAAAAAGGTGTGACTCCCTCCTTTCTTAAGCTAAATCCTCTCCCTGTGGTCTTGATCCTTCTCTCTATTGCATCTTTTACCTCTCACTCTCCACGAATTTCTTCTTTTCTGTTTGCAAACATGCTCGGGATTTACCAACCTTAAGGGGGGGAAAAAAAAAAAGGCAAGCCAGCAAATGATAGTAGGAGAATCTTCCCTTACTCTACATTCCCTTAATTCTCTCCCATCTTTCTCCTCTGTATCCCCTAACCTCTTGGAAAAGGAATCTGTGTTCCTTGCCTCCTCAACTTGATGGCTGATTGCTTTTTATTCCCTTAAACACTTCTCCTGGTTTCAGCACTCTAATGAGGCTCTTTCAAAAGCTATAAATAATTCTTAATTGTCAGATTCCGGAATCTTTATTTTCTTCATCTCTGCAATCTTTCACATGGTTGACCTGCCCCTTTGGTAGAACTATTAAAGGGGCTTTTATGACTTCCATGACATTCTTACCTTCTGGTTTTCTTCTTCCTTCTCTTATTACTCTCCTCACCCTCCCTGTTCTCCTTCTTTCTTTTCCTTCTTCCTTTCTGGTAAGAGAGGAAAAGAAACTAATATTTATTGACATACAAGACAAATTATTTGTCAGATGTTGTGCCAAGTTTTCAAACGTCTTTTATTGTCACATCAACCCTAGGATATAGATATTCTTATCTCCATTTTAAAAATTATTTATTTTTAATTGTGGTAAAATACACATAATGTAAAATTTACCATTTGCATCATTTTAAGTGTACAGTTCAGTGGTATTAATTATATTCACATCATTGTGCAAACATTACCACCATCAATTTCCAGAGCTCTTTTCATTTTCCCAAACTGAAACTCTGTCACCATTAAACAATAGCTCTCCATTCTCCCCTCCCCCAGCCCTTGGCAACCATCATTCTACTTTCTTTCTTTGTGAATTTGACCACTCTGGGTACCGCAAATAAGTAAAATTGTACAGTATTTTTCTTTTTGTGGCTAGCTTGTTTTACTTAGCATGATGTCCCCCAAGGTTCATCCATGTTGTAACATGTGCCAGAATTTCTTTCGTTTTTAAGGCCAAATAATATTCCATTGCATATACATACCATATTTTGTTTATCCACCCAACTTTCAATCATCCGCATATAAATGGTGAAACTGTGGCTCAGACTAGTGCAGTAAACTCATTGAGGTTGCACAGCTTTTCCCTCTGGGGAAGCATTCTTCTAAATTCTATCCTTAGTCTTATTTCCTCTTTCCCTCTCTCGCTCTCTCTCTCTTCCCTCTCTTTGCTGATCTACTCCCATATTTTTAATTTTAATCTCCATCCATGTGGGTGTTTCTTAAATGTATATCCCAAATTTATCCTTGGTACTGAATCTAGTTCCATATTTCCAGTAGATCCAACCAGAATATTCCCATATTGCTTTCAATTCACTATGTATAAAACCCAAATGCGTTATCATCTGATCCTCAAAACAGGCTTGACTTTCTCACACTCCTATTGTTGTTAATGGCACCACAAATTTCCCAGTCATCTGGACCCTAAACCTCTGAGTCATCCTTAAGCCTCTTTCTCCACATCTCCCAAATTCCGTAAATCCTAAAGTCAGTCTTGTCAGTTGGGTCTCCCTAATCATCTTCATGCCCATTCCAGCCTTGCTGTGCCTGCAGAAGGGGTCCTACAGTCTGGTGGGTCTAAGAGCTTGGGTTGGGCTTAAGTCCCAGCCCAGCCACTCACTGGCATGGAGAGGACGGAAGGTGTTTGGCTAGTCACCTGACCTCACTGAGCCTCAGCTTCCTCATCTGAGAGAGAGAACCTAATGAGCAAGGTATGTTGATCCTTAAATGAAATAGTATTTATGAATAGTTCAGCACAATGCCCAGCATTTAGTAGATGCTAAGTAAATGGTTATTTTTTCTTCTTTTTTAAAAAATTCTGTCTTCCTGCTTCTAATTCACTAGCCTTCTTCCCTCATAAGGATTTTTTTTCTCTCTCTCAGAATTCTCTGCAGGAAACAAACCACTGTATTTTAGCATTATGTTTTATTTTACAGTGCCCTTGATTCTTTATACCTGTCTGAGGACAGTGACTGTGCTGACCCTTTACATTTGTGTTTCAACAATCCTGAAGGGGATTTTCATCTCCTGAACTGCTTTATCAATATTGTTTTATAAACAATTGTGACCTACAAAATTTATTGAGCCCAACCTCATTTTTTAAAGGACTGCTATAAAGTCAGTGGAATAGCATTTTCATGATTAAGAGCAGTCGGAGGGATTAATGGAGAGGCAGCATGAGCTTATTCCTAACTTTGAGTGTGCCAGGAGTTTTAACAGGGATAAGAGGAGTCACCAAACATCTCTTCCCTGTCCCTTGTATTATTTTGCAAGAACATAGGCAAACTTGTGCATATTTCAGCAGAAGGGATATCTGGGTAGAAGATTGCATTCAGTTTGTGGAGTAAGGGCATGCAAGCAATTAAATCCCAACTTCCTCATCAGCAGTCTGTACTCAGGAGAGCTGTCCAGAGTAGCCAGGCCACATCCAGCCACATTGGAGATAGGAATTCCATGTATATGGCAAAACCCTATCTCTACTAAAAATACAAAAATTAGCTGGGCATGGTGGCGGGCACCTGTAATCCCAGCTACTCAGGAGGCTGAGGCAGGAGAATCACTTGAACCAGGGAGGTGGATGTTGCAGTGAGCCGAGATGGCACCACTGCACTCCAGACTGGGCAACAGAATTGAGACTCCGTCTAAAAAAAAAAAAAGCGTATTTACTTTTAGAAGGTTGTGTTATTTTTTACAATTCTCTTATAACAATGCACCTCCTTATTGCCCGCACCTGGTGTACTCCATTCCAATCTCCTTGCTCTTGGGGTGTGTGTGTGTGTGTAAAATGTCTGGCATAAAACACAAGTGTGTGTGAGAGTCAATGTGTATGTGTATTTCACAGCTGGACTCATGCATAACACCCAGTTAATGGTGTCACTAAGGAGTACAATTAGAGGATGTATAAAGAAGAGAGAACTGACAAACTTTTCTGTACTATGAAAATTTTACAATGGGAAATAACTCTTTACAATACAGTTTTTTCAATAAGAAAAAAAAAAGGAATTCCATGTATGAATCCTAAACTAACTGTGTTCCTTACCTAGCTGGGTTGCTGCGTTTCCGAAAACCCATTAGCAACAAAAACACCAACAAAACCCCAAACAATCTTTATGAGTAGCTTGGAAAAAAATTTTTTAAATGCGTGAAAAAAGTAGACTTGTGATGGTGCACTTCAGATTAATTCTTTCCATTAACATTTTGAAATGTTAAGTAAATAGGTAGTGAAATGGGGATGGTGCTAGTTCTTCATCTTGTGTTAGACATCCAGGTCTAGCCATGTCTGTACTTCTCTAAATGTGACTGTGTATTCACTGAGATTGCTGCTGAGCCTACCTGAGATCATGAGGCTGCTTACTCATCAGTGAACAGCATGACCACCCTTGGTACACACTCCAGCTTCAAGCTAATGGTTCAGGCATATCTAAAATGGCCAATCTCTCCAAACACTTGGGCTGAATTCATTACTCCTGCCTCATTCCTGAAGTGCATAATCAAATTCTAAAGACCAATTGCTTGATATTCATATTTTTTTTCCTACAGCAGGTTTTACTCAGCAAAAAACGGACAATACTACTCAATGGATAACTTAGTAGTTCAGAAGCCATGTTATGTTTTGTGCTTGTATTTTTATCTCATGAGTAAGACTGTAATTGTGAATGTTTGTATATTGTCTTCTGAGTGTTCTTTTCTCCTGATAGCCTTCCTTCTCATCTTTTCTCAGTCTGTCTCTTATGAGTCCTGAAAGTGGGAGCCCCTGGTATTCCATGTACCTGTTTTGTGAAAATGGCAGACTCTGCTACTCACTTTTCTTTATTCATAATTATCTATCTTGGCCCAAATCCTATTTTTCTCCCATTCTAATTGAGAAATTTGGTTCTCTTCTCTCTACATTGAGTTGAAAATCCCCAGGAACCCAATAGCAGACTGGTTGTTAAGTTGATTTGGTCCCAAAAGAACCTTAACAAAATCCTCTTTCTACTCTTATGAATCGAATTCCCAAAACTCTTTTGAATAAACCATCCTGGTTTCCTCTAAGCTGATGGTTAGAGTTGGGTCATGGAGTTCAGGGTGGAAGTATTAACTCAGAAAGTCAAACTCCAGTGTTTTGGGGCCTGTGGGTGAATCAATGCTTGAGGAATATTGTGACCATTTATTTGCCTATTCTCTTTTGTCCCTGCCCAAAACCTCAATATAGTGATATTAAATTTTATAAATGTGGCTCAAAACTTGACAACTATTATATTTGATATTGGACTGCAGCCATCCTCTCAGGGATCTCTGCCCTCATTTTTTTCCACTCTGATTACTTGCCTCCGAGTGAAGGGTTCAAGAATAAATGCATTACCAAAATGAAGGGAAACAGTCTTTGAACTTCTGAGTGGAGAACTGTAAAGTGACCAAGAATTTGATTACTAGTCAGGCTTCTAGATGGTTTATTAATGAAGCAGTGCATTCTCCACGAGGGGAAAGAAATGCCATTAATGTTATACCCTTGGCACGGAAGTTCCTATTTAAGGAAAAGTAAATGCATAGCCTGCGCCATGTCAGAAAACTAATTTTAACGTTAACAATGAGTTGAGTATTCTTATAGTTATGAGAAAATATTCCAGCCTTCATTGCCTTCCACAAATAAGTTGCTGGAAGTAAACGAGGTGTGCTATTTCAGTACCAATTTAGCAATACCTCTGCTCTATTATCAGCAACATGCACAGTTGGTTCATGGCAGAATGCAAGCCACTCTTGTCTGTGAATAAGCATCAGGCTGACTGTGCAGGATGATAATTGCTCTGCCTGCACTTCCTTTGGCACCTACTGATCTCCGCTAAGTGGTTAGTAAAACATATTTTTGAAGGAATGTCAAGCACTTCTAAAAATTTGAAGGACTTCATCTTTGATTGTTCTTTTTCTTATGTTTAAGTTTGAAGAAAGTTCACACCAAGCCATTCCACGGCTGCCATTACTCCTAGCAAATGTCTGAAATAGCAGGGTGCCAGTGTGTCTGTGCTTGGCATCTTTTAATCAGCGGTGTTTTCTTTTTCATGATACTGTGACACTGGCTGGATGTGTTGGGATATCAAGTGACGGACTTCAAATAGATGGCAAATTCACTAAAGTGAAAATGATTGTGGTAGTTCCCTCATTTCCTCCTGCAGTGTATGCAAAACTGACTTTTAAAGTGTTTAGTGGATAATAGATCATGTAAGGTCAGTGCTAGCCATGGCAGCCATGGCTATTATTTTCCCTTTTCATGGGAGTGTGCTCAGCAAAATGAGATTGTCACACTCTTTTTTTGAGAGGACAGCGACAGACAGTTAAAAGCCTCTTCATGTAAGGATGTTATTTCATAAGGACACCAGCACTGGATTATCCCCTTCACTTTAAACTTCTGCCAGCTTGTACAAAGAGATAAAACAAAATAGCCCTGGTCCCAGGGGTGGGGAAGTGCCGGCCAGCTCAGCCTGGGTCCACAGGCTTTCATTTTGATTCGTCACATGTGAGGAAAATTCACTTAGGCTGAGAGGTAAATTTAATACCAGTTATGCCCATGCTGTTCATATCACAACCATTTTCACATGATGCCACTTAATTCCCTAAGAAGCAGAAAGGTAAATCGGTGGCTGGCCAGCAAAGGTGTCACAATGCATTAAGACCAGGACTCGCTGCAGGGGATAATGGTTCTGATTGCTGTTGACTCATGTCTCCACCAACTGCCTCATGTAAAATAAGTGACATTTAAAAGACATCAAGATGTGAGAAGAGGTAAGGGAGAGAGAAAGAAAGAGAGAGGAGGGTAAAAAGTATGCGCCACTAAACTTGCCACCCGAATGTGCAGTTTCTTTTCCACCCTAAGTGGTAGGAAATGATAACTCGACATGCCATGGGTGACCTGCGCTAAGCCTTTAACTTCTTGTCTTGTGTTTTTAGAGAAAAATCTGTAAAATTGCTTCTGGGAACTGCTCCAACATGTTATCATTTATTTCCAATTTAATTTTTTTTAAACTCTTATTCTTTTGCCCTCACATATCAGTCTATTCATCTCTTTAAAAGCTTTAGGCTGAATCAAGTTAGGCAGTGGTAGACAACAAGAGGCAGGCTACTTTCTGAAGGCCCATTTATGTCTATTTTTATAAAGAGAATCAAATTCCAGTTTACAGTAAGCATATGCTTCAGTTGACATCTGTTTCTAAGACTTGGACGCTTTGTTTGCATAACAGTCACCAATAAATGGCCTTGTTTTAAGTCTGCTCACTGAGTTGTATGTGGGTTGTTCAGCTGGGGATTTTAGTCGCAGCTGATCCCCTACCGCTCATAGCTGATAGGAAGGGGGAAAAGCCGAGAAGCCCAGTCCTATTTATTAATGCAGATTTTAACATTCTCAATGAACCACTTATCCAGTGTGATTCGGCAACCAAATCCTTATTTGCTCAGGCAGAGGAGGGGGTGTTCTTAAAGTGCTGAATTAAAGCTCTTACCAGCTTTTTTTTTTTTTTTGGAGGGGGAGGGGAATGGGGAAGAAGAAGCAAGAGCAAGGTCCTTTCTTTAGCCAGTCTCTGATAATTTGGAGTACAATGAGATCGAATCTTTAAACAGGACATCATAAACCAAGCTTATGTTTAATGTATTTGTTGTAAACTAAGATGATCAGATGTTTGCAGAGCCCTAAATGTTGGCCCTTTGTGCAAAGTCTTGATGATTTTATTTAATACCACTTAAATATCAGTTTAGAGTTTGATAGAACAGGGTTATGTTTCCTTCATTCATCTGGTTTTTGTTTCATTTTAAAGCATATCTGATTCTGCATACGTGGGAAACGGACACAATATTAAAATATTTCAAGATATACATGTGACTGTCTTTAGAATCGTTACTGCTAATTAAAGAAGTTACTACTTGTGTTAAGCAGCTTCAAATACAAAGCTAATCCTCGGTCTCGATAAGTCTGCCCTTTTTTCTCTGCCCCTGAAAGGCATGCCAGCAGTTAAAAATATTAAAAGTCCAAAGATGGGGTCGATGTGCCTTAGAGTGTAAACCTGATTAATAGAGGGCTTCCCTTTAATTCCCTTTTTTACATAGAAGAGATCTAACTGTAATGTATTTGAAAATATGTGTTCACTGACAAATACACTGAACTTTTTCCCCTGAATTATTGTATAATATTCAGTAATCGTTTATGAAATGTGTAACATTTTTCAAGGGGATTTACATATCAACTTTTCCTAGTGGAATCAACAACAGTAGCATGAAATGTATCTACTCCATTTACTCTTATCCAGTGCTCCTACTTTCTTTTTCCCTTTAATTTTTATATATGGTAAAAATTTCATTGAAGAGAGATTTTAGATGACAGGACTGTAATTTTAAACCCAATAGAAGAGGTGTAAGCAATTTGAGCTTAGCTGAAGCATAATCTTAGGTTGTCAAGAAGAAACCCATTCTCCCTATGCTAATCAATCAGTGTATCAACCAACCAATCATCTCTTCAGCTTAGCATATATCCTAAGGTTTGATATATCTATTAACTGCCCATCATGCAGCTGGTCTCTGGATGATGAGATTCCCCCTATCTTGGCATTTGGCGGCAGACGACCGAGCTATCACAGCCTCAGATAAATACCAAAGTGGAGATTTCAATCCTGTTCCTGAGTGCAGAGACAATCGAGAAACGTTGAAAATATTCTTAGAAGAGAATACGCAGAAAATTACATTTCTCAACACTGTTGTATGTGAAAATTGTATATATTACATGATTCTCCCTCCCTAGACACAACAATGTAAAATAAAATTACTCTTTTATTATGATTGGAATGCTGGTAATCAAAAGAATTGTTGGAATCTGCTACAAACTCTTAATTGCAAGACAAATTACATGTAGACATCTGAATAAGTAAGACTAATGACCGTGTAGATGATAAATTTCCTGAAAACAAACAGAAGCCCAATTATATAAAGCAAGGCACACAATCATTATAATTCTGGAGAAGGGGGTCACTATTTCTAAAGATTTTATATTGCTTCCTGGCCTCTATTCAGAGATTCTGATATTAGGTAAGCTGCAGCTGAATGTATCTGTAGCCTCTTCCACCAGCCAGTGTATTGGAGCATGGAAAGGAGGCAGGGTTTCTATAAAACTGTTTATTGAGAAATAGAAACCAAAAAAAAAATGATTTAATTGCTAAGCATCTGTGAATATGTTGAAATTGGGATGAGTATGATTCATTTCTTCAAACACTGATATCCACCTGGAAGGTAAAATCTCTCCACAAGATGCAAACTCAAATCATGTCTTTCCCACACTATAGTTAAAGTCTCATACTCTGAAAAGAGAACCATAGTGAGGTATTAGGGGACTGAGGTTCTAGCCCAAACTCGGTCATTAACTAGCTAGCCTCTGTGTGCTAAGCAAGCCCCTGGATCCTTTAGACCTTACTTCATAAATTGCAATGTCTCTAAAGCACCTATGAAAAACAGTAACGAGGCAGGGCGCGGTGGCTCACGCCTATAATCCCAGCACTTTGGGAGGCCGAGGCGGGCGGATCGCAAGGTCAGGAGATCAAGACCATCCTGGCTAACACAGTGAAACCCCCTCTCTACTAAAAAAATACAAAAAAATTAGGCGGGCGTGGTGGCGGACGCCTGTAGTCCCAGCTACTCGGGAGGCTGAGGCAGGAGAAGGGCGTGAACCCAGGAGGCAGAGCTTGCAGTGAGCCGAGATCGCGCCACTGCACACCAGCCTGGGCGACAGAGCGAGACTCTGTCTCAAAAAAAAAAAAAAAAAAAAAGAAAAAGAAAAAAGAAAAAGAAAAGAAAAATAGTAATGAATTACTCTCCTGATAAGTAAACACGATTTCATATTCTTCCAAAAGGTTATTGTTTTTCATGTCACTAATGGTATGAATGTAGACTTCCACCATAGTATTTGCTCAGCCAAAATCTCTTCAATGCTGTTGGGCAGCATAAACAAATGAGAAACATATTCTAGCCTAAATACAACGTTCTGGGTTTGAAGCCATTGTTTCAATCATTTGTTGAGGGTGGGGCCAAGGAGGAGAAATGATGGAGTTCACAATAACATGAACTCTTTACTGCTGGAGAGAGAAGGAAATCTGTTTTCTGTCCTGAGAAGTCCAGCATGAGTTCATAGAGACCGTGATGACTTCTCCGTTCTCAACAACTCAGCCTGTGCACTTTGATCTCAACTTAAGAACACTCGTGTGTCCTGGTGTGAAAGGGCTGATAACAATATAACAGCTCTAGAATTTTTGTATTTTTCCTAACAGAAGGATAATTGTGGTGTCAAGTTCAGAGCAAGAGTTCGGTTTAAATAGTGTATTTTGAAAACCTTTCTCGAGGAGTTGTGATTCTAAGAGAAAACAATTTTCTATATGGCTTAAGGTTACGAATTTTATCATAGCAAAGAGAAGGGGACAAAAAAAAAAACCTAGACAGAATCATTTTCTCTCTCTCAAGTCACTTAAAGCGTCCATTCTAGGACTCATTCCAGGCTCCTATGATTAGAGACCTGCATGTTTGTAGATATCCCCAGATAAGCCCCAGATATGAGCACCCATGACATGGTCTCTGCTGAACAAAGCAAAAGGATTGATTTAGAGAAAGATGGCCTATTGAATGTGGATTCTTCCATGTTGCTGGCCTGGAAACTGGTAAGCATGCACCTTTCAGGCCCAGGGCAGTCCTCCTCCCCAGAGGATCTATCCTGTCTATTGGTGATAATTGTCCTGCCAGGTCTACAGATTGTGGATATAGATAAGAAAGTCAGTGAAAGTGGATTGAGTGCAATTAGAAACTTACCCACACAAGAACTGACCTGTGATTGCATTTGTAGGTAGAATCAGGTCTGGAGTAGAGAGACAGCATTTAAAGCTCAGCAAATAGATCTTGCAAAAGAAGAGGGATTCATTTTTTATTGCTGAGTTCTAGGTTTAGAACAATTCGTTGCTATTCTCCATGAATACAGCATAACTTCATGTGCATCGTGTAAACATGCCCCCGAGAAGAAAACAATGAGGTCCCTGTCCTCAAGCAGTTTATGTTCAAAGACAACATAAAGAAAGAGATCAAATTATTTTAATGAAACCTTGAAGGTGGGATCAGCAAATTTTCTTTATCAAAGTATGATTGATTTTTGCTTTTTAAAAGAAAGGTTTGCTCTTATGTTATGAATTCTCTCAAATAGAAAAAGTGGGCACTAAAACAGACGTGAGGATGAAAGTGAAAAGAAGGAGAGAGAATGAGATGGACAGAGGGAAAACTGAGGGAATCAAGGGAGGGAGAAAGCAATGGGCAAAGTGAAGGGAGGGAGTTCTTTCAGCTTAGAATACACTGGGGCTGGAGAGTGAGTATGCACCCAAACATCAGGCACCAAGGTTTGACCACCAGTTATAGCTAGAGAGAATCTCCCCAAAGGTGTCCTTTCCAACTTGCTCTTGGAGAGACCACCATTAACCAGTACAAAGCTTATGAATCTCTGCAGGATTCTAGAAGCATTATGCTCAGCCATTAAAACAGTGCAGCAGACAAGGGAAGAAAGCAGGCACAGAGAGGAGAGGGAACATAGTGAATCCTTTATAAACACTCTAAATGGGGGGAAATAATGACCTCTGACTTCTTTGTGGTTCTCAACTCATGCTGCCACAAGATTGGTTATAAGGTCCATATCACACTGTGATATGAAAGTATTAATTGAATAGGAGCAATCAGCATTTCTATGTGAATAATGACTTAGAAATAATATTCTGCCCATTTCAACAATGGAACAGGAAACCAAGGCTTCACCTGGCTACACAGTTCTTTTGATGAGGTCAGATTTTTTTTTTTAACTCTGAGGTATATATATTTTGTGTCCTCTTTTAACACTTCAATCTGATACGCATTTCTTTGGAGTAACTTAAGAAGATGGAATAAAATTAAGGGAAGGCAATATATGATAGATGATAGTATTGTCCTTTAAGTTCAAATTATGACTTTCTGACAGACACCTTCATCAGCTCTCATCTGAATAGTGACTCTTCTATTAAAAGCAAAGCCTTGGCCAGGCCCAGTGGCTCACGCCTGTAATCCCAGCACTTTGGGAGGCTGAGGTGGGCGGATCATGAGGTCAGGAGATCGAGACCATCCTGGCTAACACGATGAAACACCGTATCTACTAAAAATACAAAAAATTAGCCGGGCATGGTGGCGGGCGCCTGTAGTCCCAGCTACTCGGGAGGCTGAGTCAGGAGAATGGCGTGAACCTGGGAGGCAAAGCTTGCAGTGAGCTGAGATCATGCCACTGCACTCCAGCCTGGGCAACAGAGCGAGACTCTGCCTCAAAAAAAAAAAAAAACAAAACAAAAAACAAACAAACAAAAAAACAAACCCTCGTTTAGTTCATAGTAATGAACCAATGTCAGTTTCTTAATTTCGAGAAGTATAAGATGTTAACAATGGGAGAAACTGAGCGAATGCTAGGAACTCTCTACTATCTTTGCAACTTTTCTGTAAACCTAAAATTATTCCAGAATAAAAAGCTTATTTAAAGAAAAAAAATGCAACCATGTATATGGGCTTTGCCATGAACACGTTTGAATAAGAAAGCCCTCAGTGCTACATTTATGGGAGCATTTTCTTAATCTTTCTGGAAATGAACGCTCATTGGAGTTTGATATCCTGAGAAGCTGATGACTAACCCTATGCTCATGTATACCACCAGACAGGTCACTAGCTGATCAGGCTGAAATGCTCACTTATCCAGTGTTGAGTCAGAAAGAGAGGAGAATTTAAAATTAGCTGACTTCTTGGACTGGCACCTAGCACTAAAATAAAATAATCCCTTAGCATGTTTACTAGCCAAAACATACTGTATCACATTGTAAGTTGCTTTAAAGTTTGTATTTTCTATTAAGCTTGCTGCATGGTGATCATGTAAAAGTGTCTAATGGTTACTGTAAAATTAGAGGCTGTCCAAACGAAACTTAAAATCCTGAAACTTTCTCTCCAATGTATGATAATTCTTGGCTACACTAGTAAACAGTTTGACATGTGTTTAAACATAATTCAATTTTTTTATCAGATCGTCTTTTCTTAAAGGTATGTCTAATGAAGTGTGTGACTGTATAATAGAGGAGACAGTATTTGATTTTTAATTTTTATGTTAAATGGTTTCCACTGTTGTATGCCCATTTGAGTTTTTACAATAAAAGACAAATATAAAAATGTGTATCTATATCACTGTGCTTACCATATTGTTTTACTGATGTTTTTGTGTTCATCTTTTCCCTTAATGAGTGAACTCCTTGAGAGGAGGGGCTGTGGTCTTAGTATCTCGCCCAGTGCAACATATAGTAAGGATTCAGTAAATATTTGTTTGGATGAATAAATGAATGAAATCACATTCAAATGCATTATTTCTCCTTTGAAGGGAACCAAATAGCTGCCAGTCAATTTGCTCCCTTCACTGCCCTTGTTTTAGGGTGGCCTCACAGTTTGGACTGGTTTTTATCATTGCTATCATTCAGCCACATATACTAACCTTTCAAATCTGCAAAAAGTATTTAAAAGAAAGAGAAATTGTTCATGTTTCAAAACCTATTATAATGCATCTTCAAATATGTCAGACACATCTTTGTTAAAATTAAACCAGGGATTGGTTTTGAGCGAATAGCCCTATATCCTTACAGATGCTGTGGATGGATGCATCTAAGCTGCTTATTATATTGATGGGTTTTGCTGCTCTGCAGCAAATGAAAGCAGGCAGCTGCTTCCTCCATCAAAGCAAAAAGCAGCCTGAGTTTTTATTAACCGAGTGTTCATTTCTTCTATTGCCAAAATTCTTACACAAAACAAAAGAGCAGTTTTAGCACATTATTGCTTAACTAGACATGAACAACTGACAGCAAGTGATAAGCCTGTCTGCTTTTCACAACTGGTAATCATTTTTGGAATAGATGTTTTAATATAGTTGAATATAAATTTTGTAATTTACATCTACAATGGTACGTAAATTTATAGATCCAGTTTGTTGCAGGAGAATGAAGGCTATAATCACAAAAGGCTTTTCCCAGTGTTGTTTAATTTTTAATGACTATTTGAAAACTGGGGAAGGAAAATGAAATCAAATTCATTTCCTTAACAAAAAAAAAAGGTGTTAAAGACAATCATACAAGTTGGTTGGAGACATTTGTAGATGGCCCCAACAGAGCAAGACCGCTGTGTTTACAGCCAGGACGTGCTTAGCACTACATTTCCACATTAGTTGCAGTGAGCTGCCCAAGTTAGTGCAGCAGCAGAAATTTTTGGAGAGCAGACTGTCACATTTCCTTCATATCAATGAATAATGATGAGTGGAGATACAGGAAGGACAGAGTCCTGGCCATTTTGCACAGCTGAGATTGTCAGCCAGCTCTCATACATATATATGTGTATATATACACATACATATATATACATATATATATATTTTAGCAATCTGAATGTCATATATTTAATTTCAGATGGCATGGCAAAGTGAGGTTTGTTTAAAGTAGGTTTAGACTAAACCCCAATGAGATGTTGCCCTACTTACCATGTAAATTTGCTGAGTAGTGTTTTACCTTTTGGAACTTGCTAATGGCAATTCCTGCTGTTAGAAGGGGAGGCAGTTCTCCTCCTTCCCCCTTCCCCACACAGAAATGATTCTTTCCTCAAGACCTAAGAGAGGAAACTTGGAATAAATGCAGTGTGATATGCTGGGACGTGCACCTAAACAACATTGCTAAAATAAGTTATGCTGCCTAACAGCCTGATACCAGGACTGTTTAATGAATGTGTTCTGTTCTTGCATCTGGAACATGCACCTCCTAAATACTATTTACTCTCCAGGAAACCTTGCATAAATGTGTAGAGCATGCATTCCACATGGAACACATGGCTTTCAATTTGTTTGGAATTTAGCCATAGTGTTTACCTGCAAATGAGATAAAGCTGGACTCCGAGGCAGGAAAATGCTTTAGAAATCAAATTCATGAATCACAGGTAACTCCAGGGAAGAAGCTCACTTTTGCTATTTTGGTATGCCCTGTAACAAGTATGTGTCTGTGTTCGGGATGTGGCTGAACACCTAAGACAGGGAACAATAACAATTATTCCTAATACTTTATTTCCTCCACTCCATTGGCACATTGCTGCTCTTACGTGCCTTTTCAAGACATGACCCAGCACTATTTTTTATTTATTTATTTATTTATTTATTTATTTATTTATTTATTTATTTTGAGACAGGGAGAGTCTCGCTCTGTTGCCCAGGCTGGAGTGCAGTGGCATGATCTTGGCTCACTGCAACCTCCGCCTCCCCGGTTCAAGTGATTCTCCTGCCTCAGCCTCCCTGTAACACGGCACAGTTTTAAAAGGGAAAAGGGTGATCTCATCAGA
The DNA here is from genome assembly GCF_000001405.40 of Homo sapiens. Lineage (NCBI taxonomy): Eukaryota > Metazoa > Chordata > Mammalia > Primates > Hominidae > Homo > Homo sapiens. Next base: position 44,689,470 of record NC_000002.12, read on the forward strand.
ATGATGGCCTGTTCATCCCACCCTGAGGACACTCAAGCACAGCAGGGCCTTGGGGGAAGGCATTACTTCCCCCACGTAAAGGAATAAAACTGACAATGAAAGTGTTCCTTTTTCTTCTTCTCTTTTTTGTTTTTCCACTGTGGGAAGGACATGTGGTGTTTCTGGGGAAATCCATGTCATGTTTTCCCTCCTGCTAGGAACTCTGTGGTCTGATTTTCTGGGTCCACCTGTCCTAGACATGCTTCTTCTCACTTTCTGACATCCTCTCTGACCAATGGAGATGGAGCATTTTCTCACATAGGCCCAGATAGCTCACATCAGGAGATGTTCTTCTACCTGTGCTTTGAGACCTCAGGAGAATCTCTTCTGCCCTTAGGTAGTTTTGTTACACTGAGGAGAAGGAAATTCTTCTGAGGAAAAAAATACAGCAGAGAGCTGTGCTCAATATTGGAGAGGGAAAATCATACTTGAAGATGTTTTCTGTTATTAATATGCTTGATTAACTAAATAAGCATTCACATCTAGTTTATATAGGTGTAGGGCAGTTATTTTCTGAAGCTCTGAGATTTAATTAACAAAGGTAGTTCTAATTCCATTGAAATAGACATGTAATGAAGATTTAACTTCTAGGACCATTTCGAAACCCATCTAAAATATTTCTTGGTAGAGGTTTAAATTTGAGATTATAGTGAAAATAAAATATTTTAACCAATCTAATTTCTTTAAAATGTCACAGGCTAGAGCCCACTGGTAATTTTATAGTTTTCATTTGGAAGTGTACACATATAATGATCTCTAGTCATTGGATTTAGAGTTGGAGGAGGCCTCAGAAATCAATTCAACTCTTCCATTTTTATTCTTGAAGTGAGAGCCCAAATATGATTTGTCCAAAGTCCCCAAATTAGTTATTGACAGAGCTATGAGAACTAGCAACTAGTTCTCTTGATTCTAGGACCAGCCATCAGGGTTGGGGCACAGAATGCAGTGATGAGAGACTGGGCTCTAGAGTTAGAGTATGTGGGCCTAAACCCTGGCTGTGCCGCTTCAGCTTACTATTCTGTTTATGCTGTATTTCACTGTGCCTTTTAGCTGGTCATAAGGATAATGCATATCTTATAGGGGTTGTTTTAAGGATTAAATGTGATCATCCATGTAAAGTACACAGCCCAGTGTTTGCCAGGTAGTAAGTGTTCAACAAGTGATGCTGCCACTGCCAATAATAATAGCTGGGTGTGGTGGCTCACGCCTGTAATACCAGCACTTTGGGAGGCTGAGGTGGGTGGATTACCTGAGGTCAGGAGTTCGAGACCAGACTGACTAACATGGCGAAACCCCGTCTCTACTAAAAATATAAAAATCAGCTGGGTGTGGTGGTGTGTGCCTGTAATCCCAGCTGTTCAGGAGGCTGGGGCACGAGAATCACTTGAACCCAGAAGGCAGAGGTTGCAGCGAGCCGAGATCGCCCCACTGCACTCCAGCCTGGGCAACAAAGTGAGACTCCATCTCAAAAAAAAAATAACAACAATAATAATAATACTAGCAAACACTAACTGAGCACTTACTAGCTCCTATTCTGATTAATCCCCAGTCTATAGTATGGAGTAGGTAGTATTATTACTTTCAGATAAGGAATCGGGGAAGGAGAAGTTAAATGACTTGCTGAGGTCACAAAGATATTAAGTGTGAGAGGTGCCTTCCAAGTTCATGTCTTCACGCTCTAAGCCACTGCGGTGATGGCTATGACCGCCGTGCATTTCTTTTTCTCAGCAGTGCTTCCGTATCCTCTGGTCCTGTCTCCATTTCTCATCTGTCACTCAGCTGCTTTCTCAGCATCTGCTGGAAAACTGACTATCAGCCCTACGACCAGGGCCTCGGGGAACGTTGCCTGAAGGCTGTCTTCCCCTCCCTGCTTCAGTGTCAGGACATGGCTGGGACCTTGTCCATCTTTTCTTTACCTCCTAATCGTCACGTTAATAGTCTGAGTTAAAATGGACATTTTAAATTTTAATGCATTTTTAATCAAATCACACCCATAATAAACAGGCCATCCTATAGTCCTAGAAGAATTTATTGTTGAAATACTTGAGTAATTTTTTATGCCCCTTCATTTCTCCTGCTTCCACATGCTCCTTATCTGCCCTTCTCTCAGCTCAGGTCAGTTGGCAATCAGATTGGACCCTTGTTTTTGTAATCTAGTGAGAGGCAGCAGATCCCAGAGGTTAAGAATAACAGGTCTATAATCAGATTGCCTGGGCTCAAATTCCAGCTCTGTGACCCAGTATCTGCATGACTGGGGAGAAGGTTTCCAAACCTCCCTGTGCCTTGATTTCCTCCTCTGCCTCATAGTCCCTGGGCAGCATCAACGTTCCATAAATTATAGAGTGTCACAGGGCAGGCCTCCACCTGCCCACCTGCCCACCATTCTGGAATATTCAGACATTCTCTCCTACTCAGATGTTCTTTGTGACCTGGCTCCACAAATATAGGGAGGCCTGCACTTAATCATATATTGTACAGAGTGAGTCTGCTAATGGGTCAAAGCGGGAGGACAAGTATAGAACATGTATTGTCCATATACATGTAATGATTGTTTTGGATCCATTTTCAAAGCTCCCGTAACAAGGGCACATTTATCCAAAGTTCAGTTTGTTTTGATTTTGTGGGTTATCAATGAGGAATAATAATATCCCTGAAAGTACCATAAAAATGTAATTCAGGTTGATAAAATTCCCTGAATAGAAACTTGTCACAACAGTAATAGCAGCAGCATCATTTCTGTTTTTAATAGTAAAAAAAAAAAATTACTCTATGTTAGGCACACTTCTGAATGTCTTACATGCATTATCTCATTTAATCCCCACAGCACCCCATGAGAAGGTACTTTTATTGCTTGTACTTAACAAATGAGAGAAGTGAGGCATTACCCAACAATCTGGCCAAAGTAGCCACCTGTCCCACTCCCATAATTATTCTCTATTTCGTTAACATGTTTTATTTCCTTCACAGCACTATTCACTGTCTGAAATGATCTTACTTGTGTCTATTTTCCCTATGAAAGTTATTTAGGCAAAGGCCTTGTTTTAATCACTGCTGTATCCTCAGCTTCTAGAACAGGCCTGGCTGCCTTGATAATTGTATGTTGCATGAATAAATGAGGCTTAAAAAGTTTAAATACCTTGCCCAAGATCACAGAACCATAAGAGCCAGTATTCAAGCTGCACTGTAACTCAGGAAGATGAGAGCTGGCTTTCTGCTGTAGCTTTTTATAGTTGAAGACCCCCCAGACATAATCTAACCCAAGGCTATCATTTTGCAGATGAGGTTACTGAAGCTCAGAAAGGATAAATTACTTTCTAATATCTTACAGTTTGTTAGTGGCAGAGCCAGAATCAGACCCCAGATCCCTAGGTAGTGTTTTTTTGCACCATGAATTCAGCCTCCTCATTTCATATAAAATTGAAGGAAAATCCTATATGCGTCTGCTGTACATCATCCGCCCACTTATTCATGCCATAAACCTAAGTCATACTTGACACTTCCCTCTCCGTTACCACCCCCTTCATCTAATTAACTAGTAAGTCTTGTCAGTGTACCTTCTAAATATATCTCAAATCTTTCCACTTTTCTTCATCTCTGCTAACCATCACCCAAGCCACCACCAGCTCTCATCTGGATATTAGTAGTAGCCTCCTGCCTAGTTTCTCCCTGCCTCCTCTTGCCCCGTTTCATCTAATTTCTTAGAGTAGCCAGAATTATCTTCTAAACAGTATTATAAATCTGGTCATACCACGATGCTGCCTAAAACGTATCATTTATTCTCAGGTGTGACTTAAAATTCTTAACATGGCCTCTGGGCCTGAGGGGTCTGGCCCCTCACCACCCCTCCTCCAGTCTTATCTTGTATTACTCTCTTCCTTTCTCATTTATTCTAGAGTTCCACTGACCTTATTTCCATTCCTACAACATTAAGCCCTCTTGTTAAGACTTTGTTTCATGGAGCTCCCCTTCTGTGGACCACTTCTTCCACTTTGTCCTCCTCTTCCTTCTTTATTGTGTTCTTCCCCCTCTGGGTCTCAAACTAGACTGAAGCCCCAGTGACCATGCTATCTCCATCCCTGTTGATCCACAGGACCCGAAACATTGTAGATGCCCAATAAATATTTGAGGAGCATTCTGTAGTCCTCTTGTGGATTTCTGCACTGGGTTGACACATCAGTGACAAAGCAGAAATGTGAGTTGGATTAAAAGAAAAGGAGACAGAGTACAAAGACTGAAATGAGCCCAGGAAGCTTCCATACTCATTCCAACATGAGCAGCTTTTCTTTTTAGTAACATCTACCCGTGCATTTATTCTTCCAGAAGGTTTGATGGCTTAGCTAAGTGTGTGTTGGCCTCTCCACTTGAGTCTCAGATTTGAGAGAGGCCTTTTTTTACTGACTCCTGTGTGATAGGCTTGATCACTTCCCTTGAGGGAGCTAGAGAAAGGTGCTGCTTCGATGGACATCAGCTGATCACAGAAAAGCTGTATGTCTGCTGTGAGAGCTAGATGTGTTGTCATCATGGAGCAAGTACAAGCAGTTGGTGGGGAGGAGGGAGCCAGCAGTGCTGCTTGTTGGATGCTGTCGATCAAAGCCTTAGGACTGTCCTCCAGGACGAACTATGAGAAGTGAAAAGCTCGCAAATGGAACTGATCTAGAAGGCCCCAAGCTTAGCTGGATCCTCAGGTTACTGAATTTTAGGATTTGCTCAGTCTTCAGGTTAATCATAGTTGTGCTGTTTGTTTCCAGATTAACTATGAAACTTGACATTTAAAATAATTCTAGGCCAGGTGCGGTGGCTCATGCCTGTAATCCCAGCACTTTGGGAGGCTGAGGCAGGAGGATCACTTGAGCCCAGGAGTTCGAGACCAGCCTGAGTAACATGGTGAAACCCTATCTCTACCAAAAATAGAAAAATTAGCTGGGTGTGGTGGTGCACACCTGTAGTCCCACCTACTTGGGAGAGAATCACCTAAGCCTAGGAAGTCAAGGCTGCAGTGAGCCATGACGGTGCCACTGCACTCCAGCCTGGCTGACAGAGTGAGATCCTGTCTCCAAAAATAAAATAAAATAATTCGAAACTAGCTACTTCACTAACAATAACAACAACAAAGTGGTTGCTTATATTAAGTAGATCACATTGCCAGTTTTCCACCTCACTCTTGCTACACAGACAGCTGTTTTAGTGTTGGCTGGCTATAGGCTTTCTAAAGTCTGACAAATTCAACAGGCCCAGTTCTGACAGAAGCAACTGCAGGGAACCAAGCCTTTGTTCAAAAGAAATGTGATAAAACAAAATGACCATAGATATGCAAGTATAGTGTAGTACTCTTCCTTTTCCAGACAGAACTCTTGTTTAGCCAATGCTTTTATGGAGGCCCAAAGGATGAAGGAGGCCTTTCCTCCTATGAAATAAACTCATTTGATTTATACAGAAAGCACTAAAGAATAGGAAATGATATGCTTCTTAATAACGTTTATAACGTGTTTAGAGAATACTTTACCTAGAATAAACTATTAATTTAAAGTTTGGGGATGCTTTTTTAGATTAACACTTTAGCTACTATAAATGCCACTTTGGGCATTCTGCAGCACTTCATTGAGTGACGTCAATAATGTAGCAGAAGTGCTATAATTTTCAGATAAGCATTATAATCTATTTTTTTAAACTTTTATTTTAAGTTCAGAGGTACATGTGCAGGTTTGTTTTACAGATAAATTGCATGTCACGGAGGTCTGGTGTACAGATTATTTCATCACCCAGTTAATAACCATAGTACTATAATATTATTAAGGGAACATAAGAACCTTGGGATCTCATCATTAGTGTTCTTGTCTTGTACGTCCTTCTCCTAAAAATTATTCTCACCACCTTTCCAATGAATTTCTCTCTAGTCTATGAAGTCCCCCTACTCACTATTCTTCCAGAATGAGTGAATGAAACCCCACCATTCTGAGCTTAAAGCATTGATGCTAAAATGTACTCTGGAAGAGATAAGAATATGTCTTGGATTCCAGAACTGTCCTACAAAACTATATTCAAAAGACCATGCATTTCTAGGTTTCAGGTAAACTTGGAGACTGAACAATGCACTCCTTTAAGAAACCTCACTAAACCTCTACATAGGGATGTTTTTTAAGGCATAAACCCACGTGAATGACACATTGGCCATTTTAAGGGGCAGCATGCAATAGCAATAAAATTTTGGAAGCTGGAAGGCAAATGCATTGACTTAGCAGATATGAGAAAGCCAGCAGTTGGCAAAGCTGAGAATCAACCCAATTTAAACTTCTGGAGCCTTGAAGGCTCGGAAATCGGTGGCATCAGATGTAGCTGGTTCTCCGTATCCATGGATTCTGCATCTGAGGATTCAGCCAACCTCTGATCCAAAATATTCAAAAAAAAAAAAAGACTAAAAATAACACAAAAATTTTTATTTTATTTTATTTTTTGAGACAGGGTCTCACTCTGTCACCCAGGCTGGAGTGGAGTGGCGTGATCTCGGCTCACTGCAACCTCCAACTCCCAGGTTCAGGCGATTTTCCTGCCTCAGCCTCCCGAATAACTGGAATTATAGGCGTACACCACCATGCCTGGCTAATTTTTGTATTTTTAGTAGAAACGGGGTTTCACTATGTTGGCCAGGGTTGTCTTGAACTCCTGACCTTAAGTGATCTGCCCGCCTCAGCCTCCCAAAGTGCTGGGATTACAGGCGTGAGCCACTGTGCCCGGCCAAAAATGTTTAAAAACATTATAGCAAATATTTACATAGCACTTATATTGGATATGCATGCAAATACTACATCATGTTATATAAGGGACTTTAATATCTGCAAATTTTGGTATGGAGTGGAGGAGTCCTAGAACTAATCCCCCACAAATATTGAGGGGCAGTTGTACTTCTAAAAGAAGGAGTTGAAGGGGATGAAACTAAGGAGAATTGATTGAAAGTTGTTTAAGAAGTAGTTATATCCCCATTTCAGGTGACTGGGCAACTCTTCTCCCTCTACTCCAACAAAAAACTGGAGGTTTATTCTTTGGAGAGGGTTAAACTGGGGATTTTGGGCTTGGGAGACACCAGGTACAGTTGAAAGCAGAGAATACGAAAAGCCAGGTGGAGTGACTAAGTGAACATATGCAGACTGAATGATGAGCCCCACACCCTCACCCCACTCACCTACACTCAGCCTTCTTTACTTCCAGAATTACCAGATACCTGAGGGAAGCTTTTAATGTGACAGATAACAAAACCAAGAAACAGAAAAAAACAACTTGAAAAAAACAGACTTTATAAAGATGAGAAAACTTAAAAGAAACTATAATTAATACTTTCAAATAATTAAGACATTGCATTCATGAAACAGGAATAGGATGCTTATAAAAGAAACATTCAGAGAATGACCATCAATAACAATAGCATATATTAAAAGAACAATAAAAAGGTTAGAAGATAAAGTTGAGGACATTTCCAAGAAAGTAGAAAACAATAAGAGATGCAAAGCAAGAAAGAAAAGATTTTTTAAAATAAAAGGATGAGTTCAGGAGATTCAACATCCAAATAATAACAGTTGCAGAAGAAGAGAACAGAGAAATATGGAGTAAGGAAATAATCGATGATACTTTGTAAGAAACTTTCCAAGAACTGAAGAACATGGAGTTTCTGGATTGAAATTACCCACTGAATCATGCAAGTTCTTAAACATTTACCTCTCCTACCCCCTTTTTCAAGAAACTACTGGAGGACGTGTTACACTAAAATGAGGGAATAAACCAAGAAAGAGGAAGACAATGGGTAGAGGAAACAAGAGATGGAACCCAGGAGAAAGGCAAAAGGAGCCTGGGATGATAGTGAAGATTAGGCTGTCAGCTGTGTACCAAGCATAGAGGGCATTCAGTCCAGACTAAGGCAGGTTAGAAGATACCAGGAGAGATTTCCTCATAAGGTTGATAGAACACCCATTGTGAATGAATGTATTGAGAGGAGAAATTGACAACTGAAGTTTGAGGTTGCCTAAAAATCTTAGCAAATGAGGGGGGAAAAGACCTTTATAAACTCCAGAGAAAACAAAAATGTGTGCATGAAAGAAAAAACAATCATAGTTTACTACATAGCTGTTTTATTTCCTAGTCATAATAAAATCAACTGGGGAGTGATCTTACCAAAATTTTAACATTATAACTATTATTGTAATATTAAAATATAATATTAAGCAGATGGCGTGGGGTGGATAAGGGGCACACATATGTGATGTGGGAAGAGGAATAGAGATAAAAGCAAAAAATGCTAATTTTGCACAGTGAGGGGTCAGTAGATTTTGCTTGAAACTGAAAAATCAAGAAGCAACAATACAAACTTATTATGTAGAAATATAAACACAATTACCAGAAGAGTTAGCTAAAAGAGTTGAAAGTAATAGTTTCTGGGGAAGCAGAAATACTGGGGAAAGGGGCTTGGTGCTACTGTTTGTCTTAGCCATTCTAATAGATCCCAATGGCTCTTTAAACTATGTGTCTCTATAACTAATTTGAAAAGAAAATCTTTTTGAAAGGCAATTTTATTCCCACAAATAAGAATGAGAAAACTTTAAAAAGTAGCAGCTTTATTGAGATATAATTCACATACCATACAATTCATCCAGTGGTAGTTAGTGTATTCACACACTTGTGCAACTGTCACCACAATTTTAGAATATTTTGTCACCTCCAAAAGAAACCTTATACTCATTGGCAGTCATGCTCCATTTACACCTAACCATTGTTGCCCTGGGCAGTTACCATGCCACACTCCATCTTTATGAATATACCTATTCTGGATATTTCATATAAATAAAAACATACAACATGTGGTCCTTTGTAACTGGTTTCTTTCACTCAGTACAGGCATACCTTGGAGATATTGAGGGTTTGGTTCCAGACCACTGCAATTAAGTGAATATCACAATAAAGTAAGTCACACAAATTCTTTGCTTTCCTGGTGCATATAAAAGTTTGCACTATACTGTAGCTTAAGTGTGCAATAGCATTATGTCTAAAAAGATGCACATACCTTACTAAAAATACTTTATTGCTAAAAAATACTAATGATTATCTGAGCTTTCTGTGAGTTGTCATCTTTTTGCTGGCAGAGGGTCTTGCCTTGATGATGGCTGCTAACTGATGGTTAGCAGGGTGATGGTTGCTGAAAGTTAGGGTGGCTGTGGCAATTTCTTAAAATAAGACAATGCAGTTTGCCACATTGGTTGACTCTTCCTTTCAGGAAAGATTTCGCTGTAGCATGCGATGCTATTTGACAGCATTTTACCCACAGTAGAACTTCTTTCGAAATTGGAGTCAATCCTCTCAAACCCTGCCACTGCTTTATCAACTCAGTTTATGTAATATTCTAAATCCTTTGTTGTAATTTCGACAGTGTTCACAGCATCTTCACCAGGAATTGATTCCATCTTAAGAAACTACCTTCTTTACCCGTGCGTAAGAAGGAACTCCTCATCCTTTCAGGTTTGATCATGAGATTGCAGCAATTCAGTCACGTCTTCAGGCTCCATTTCTCATTCTAGTTCTCTTGCTATTTCCACCTCTCAAAATCATCCACGAATGTTGAAATCAATTCTTCCAACTCCTGTTAACACTGATATTTTGACCTCCTCCCATGACTCACAAATGTTCTTAATGGCATCTAGAATAGTGAGTCCTTTCCAGAAGATTTTCAACTGACTTTGCTCAGATGCATCAGAAGAATCACTGTATTTGGCAGCTATATCCTTATGAAATGTATTTCTGAAATAATAAGATTTGAAAGTCAAAATGACTCCTTGATCCATGGACTACAGAATGGATGCTGTGTTAGCAGGCATGGAAACAACATTAATCTCCTTGCATATCTCCATCAGTGCCCTTTGGTGACCAGGTGCATTGTCAATGAGCAGTATATAATATTTTGAAGGGAAGTGCTTTTTTCGGAGCAGTAGGTCTTAGCAGTGAGCTTAAAATATTCAGTAAACCATGCTATAAACAGATGTACTATCATCCAGGCTTTACTGTTCCATTTATAGAGCATAAGCAGAGTAGATTTTGCATAATTCCTTTTCTCTTATTTTTTTTTTAAGAGACAGGGTTTCACTATGTTGTCCAGGGTGGAGTGCAGTGGCTATTCACATATTCAATCCTAGCCCACTACAGCCTCCAGCTCCTGGGCTTACTCAAGCAATCCTCCTTCCTCGCCCTCCTGAGTAGCCCGATAGGCACCTGCCACTGAGCCAGGCTAGACTTAGCATAATTCTTAAAGGCGCTATGATTTTTAGAATGGTGCAGAGCATTGGCATCAACTTAGTCACCAGCCGCACTAGCCCCTAACAAGAGACTCAGCCTGTCCTTTGGATCTTTGAAGCCAGGCAGTGAATTCTCTCTAGCTACCAAAGTCCTAGATGGCATCTGCTTCCAATGGAAGGCTTCCAATGTTTGTCTGCATTGAAAATCTGTTGGTTAGTGTAGTCATCTTCATCAGTGATCTTAGCTACATCTTCTGGATAACTTGCTACAGCTTCTACATCAGCACTTACTGCTTTGCCTTGCACTTTTGTGTTACAGAAATGGCTTCTTTATTTAAACATCTTGAACTAACCTCCACTAGCTTCAAACTTTTCTTCTGCAGATTCCTCACCTTCAGCCTTCATAGAATTGAAGAGTTAGGGCCTTGCTCTGGATTGGGCTTTGGCTTAAGAGAACGTTGTGGCTGGTTTGATCTATCCAGACCACTAAAACTTTCTCCATATCAGCAATAAGGCTGTTTTGTCTTCTTATCATTCGTGTGTTCACTGGAGTAACACTTTTAAGTTCCTTCAAGAACTTTTCTTTTACATTCACAACTTGTCTGTTTAGTGCAAGAGGCCTAGCTTTCAGCCTATCTCAGCTTTCAACATGCCTTCTCCATAAGTGGAATCATTTCTAGCTTTTGATTTAAAGTGAGAGACATGCAACTATTCCTTTCACTTGAACACTTAGAGACCATTTGTTAAGTTTATTAATTAGCCTAATAATAGGGAGGCCTGGGGAGAGGGAGAGAGATGGGGGAATGCCGACTGGTGGAGAAGTCAGAACACACACAAGATTTATTGATTAAGTTTGCTAGCTATCTTATATGGACGCAATTCATGCCGCCCCAAAACAATTACCATAGTAACATCAAAGGTCATTGATCACAGATCACCATATCAGATATAATAATAATGAAAAATTTTGAAATATTGTGAGAATGACCAAAATCTGTCACAGAGACACTAGTTGAGCACATGCTGTTGGAAAAATGGCACCAATGGACTTGCTCGGTGCAGGGTTGCCACAAACCTTCAATTTGTAAAACTGTAGATATGCAGCATCTACAAAGCACAATAAAGAAAGCTGCAATAAAATGGAGTATTGCCTGTATAACGTTTTCAAGTCCCATCTATGTTGTAGCATGTATCAGTTCTTCTTTTATTGTCAAATAATAATCCATTGTATGGACGTACCACATTTTATTTATCCGTTAGTCAGTTGATGGACATTGGGGTTGTTTCCACTTTTGGGCTACTAAGAACAATGCTGCTATGAGCATTCGTGTACAAGTTTTTGTTGGACATATTTTGATTTATCTTGGGTAGCAGTGGAATTGCTGGGTCATATTATAATCTACATTTAACCTTTTAAGGAACTGCTACACAATTTTCCAAAGTGGCTACATGATTTTACATTCCCACCAGCAGTGCATCAGGGTTCCAATTTCTCCACATCCTCACCAGCCCAACATTCGTTATAACCTGACTATTTGATTGTAGCCATCCTAGTGGGTGTGAAGTGGTATCTCATTTAGGTTTTGATTTTCACTGAGATAACTTTTAAAAACTTAGATTAGCAAAAATTAGTTATGTTGAAAAAATCCTATCTGGGCAAGGCTTTGAGGAAACAAACACTCTGATTAGGAGTGTAACTTGGTGCACATTTTATGGAGGTCAGTTTGATATATTTAAATGCAAAATATATGTAACCTCTGACCAGATATCCCATTTCCTAGTATTTGACCTAAGGAGAAAACCATAGGTTGGGAAAAGATGGGTTGTCATATTGTACTACTGTTGATGTTAATGGCAAAAACCACAATTACTTTTGCATCAACACAATAATCTCATCATATCAACAACTTTGAAACTAACTTAAATGTCTGTCAAGAGGAAACTGGTTAAATGAATTCTGATTCACACATAGAATGTCTAAGCAATCATTATAAATAATGATGCAGGTAAAGTACATTTTTATTTTCTAGTAAAGCTATCTACCACATATTGAATGAGGGAAAATCAGGTTATTGAATATCTTCATGAAAAGATCCCATTGGTGTAAAATATCTGTTTGCCTAGAAAGATCTTTTGAGATGACGTCCAAAATGTTAACAGTGATTATATCCTAGTGGTCACATTTTACGTGATTTTTTTTTTTACTTTGTTCTTTGTATGTAATTTTGTTAAAAATCAGCCTCTATAATTTTTTGAGACAATTATAAAACTATTACAAAGTACTGCATTTTAGAAGTCGCATTTTTGTACTTAATCAAGGCTTAAATTTTAGTTAGATACTCTTTGTCTATCATTTTTTTAAAACCTCAAGCTAAAGGCATAAAGAAATTCATTATAGTGGTGATTATGTTCACTTGGTGTAGAGCATTGTCTTATGCTCTTCCTTCAGAGACTTTTATTTATACTTTGGTCTTAATAGAGTTATTTTTATGTGGAGATATGACCGGTATTAGGATTTGCAGTAACAGGTCAAAATGGTTTTCCATTTTTCTGGTTATTGGGATACGAATTTTGGATTCACATATTCTCTCTTCCACTCTTCCATCCCTCTTTGCTGGAGAATAACATTAACAATGCTTTCTTTTTCTTTGATCTTATTATGTGTTAGGAACCATTCTAAACATAGGCATGTATTTTACTCATCTCTCAGGCCAGTCCTGTGAGGTTGACAATACTGCAATGATATTTTACAAATGAGGAGCATGAGGGATAGGCAGGTTAAGTAACCTGTCCAAGGTCACTCCACAGGGGAATGGCAGAGCTGGCACTGGAGCCCAATAAGTCTGGTTCCAAAATATCTGTGATCTTAACTGCCACATTCCACTGCCTCTCTTACTTTCCTCCTAAATATGACTCCAAACACTTCTTGCTGGTTTTCCTTGTTTCTCCCTCAAGCTGTCATTCCTACCAGAAATGCCAGAGAGGCTGAGGTAGTGTGTACACCTGACTGGGCTTCCCTGCAACAAATGCTCTATGGAGACACCTCTTTGCTGTTTATATATTTACCCCCTGAATCTCTTAGGAGTTTACTTAACATTTCTTTAACACCCTCTTCTCTGAAATGTTTGGATTTCTTAGTCCTCAAAGTTGGAGGTTCATCTAGGGGAAAAAAATTAAGCCTTTTGTAGATGTTTCAACCTTGCATTAAGACCATCAGCAGAGTGCTTGGTGTTGAGTCAGAGAACATTTGCCACCCGTTCCCAGGACTGCATGGTGCTCTCAGCCTTAGGAAGTGCAAGATGCCTGGTGCTCTGACTGATCTTTGAGTTTGATTAATTGGGGGAAAACATAATTTTTATAAGGTTATAGTTTATTCTAATTATAAGGGTAGTATATGCTTATTGTAAAAATTTTGGAAAATACAAAAAAGCATAAAGAAAAAAATTAAAAACACTTATAATCCTACCATCCTGTGATAACAACTAGAAACTACAATTTCCAAGCATGTTTGTCTTCTCTTTAAGCAATTCATATCCATTCATGAAGACTAAGTATTTGAAATCAGTGATTTATGGATGACAATTTTAGAAAATGTCCATCCATGCAATTTAGCAGGTAGAATTATTGTTAAATTTAAAGATGTACCAAAGTTGGTGAAATTAAAATTTCTTAATCTTACACAGCAGTTTGATTTTATTTAACTGAAGAAAGACATAATTGTGGCCAGGCACAGTAGCTCACACTTGTAATCCCAGCACTTTGGGAGGCCGAGGCAGGCAGATCACGAGGTCAGGAGTTCGAGACCAGCTTGACCAACATGGTGAAACCCAGTCTCTACTGAAAATACAAAAATTAGCTGGGCGTGGTGGTGTGCACCTGTAATCTCAGCTACTCAGGAGGCTGAGGCAGGAGAATCACTTGAATCCAGGAGGCAGACTTTACAGTGAGCTGAGATCTCGCCACTGCACTCCAGCCTGGCGACAGAGCAAGACTCTAAAAAAAAAAAAAAAAAAAAAAAGACAGAATTGTGCATGTTTAAAAATATTAGCATGGAATCAAACAAAAAAGTGTAGTGACGTCAGTGGTTTTGTTTGCTCCTGTGTGTGATCGTCCCATTTATTTTTGCCTAATATGGGCTGCATATATAAGCAAGTCTTCAACTGATACTAATTAATTTTATGTGCACAAGATGAAGATCTATGTGAAGTACCATCAAAATTTAACTTGATATTTGTGATTTTGGTTGTTACTGTTTTGGCTATCTTGTGATCAAAATTTAGTATAATTTATTTAGGATATTTTTCTATTATCCTTGGGAAAGAGTTATAAATCTCACCACTATAAAAATAACAACAATAAAAGACACCCGTGACATGACATATTATAAGTAATAACAATGTTGTTTGATTGAAGTTGAAATAGCTTGTACTGAACATTATTTTTAAAAGCCGTTTCTTAAAAGAATGACTTCTATAATCAAAAGGTTTATCCTCTTGTGTTTTCTAGGCATCTGGCCATCTGAAGAGGTTTTGGCTTACTACTGCCTCAAGCACAATAATATATTCAGGTACAGAGCTGCACTTAAGATATTTTTTAGCCCATCACGGATATTGAATCAACATATTAAAAATTGCCATGATTATATTCTTCAAATTAAATTGTTAGAAAAAAATATAAGAAAAGAAAAACAGGAAGAAAAGGAAAACAGAAAGAGGGGAAAAAGTTCACAGTGAACACATGTTGCTTCTCAAGTGAAATCTGAATTGCCTTGGGTACTAATATTGCACAGCAAGGTTTTTGCTATATGTCAAAGGCTTTTGATTTCCACTCAAGGCATTTTATTTCACTTTGATTTGGGGGAAACAAAAGTGAAGCTCCAATCAATCCTTACTGATTGTGAAGGTCAAAAAAAAAAAAAAAAAAACCAATAAAGACATTCTTTAAACTTCTGCTGGGGAAGTCACTACAGAATGTCTGATAGATAAATACCTCACAGCTATTATTTAATGATGCCATCCCACCCCTGGTTTTAAAGGTAGTTTTATATATCTAACAATATGTATTTGTGAACTATAAATTACCATTACGGATTCATGCTACGGAAATAAGTGTTTTCAACTGTTAGTGTGCATTACAGATCGAACCCATGGATGGAATTTAGGAAAAAAAAAAAAAACTTTATTTGAAAATTCTAAAGATGTTTGGTAGACCCAGAAAATATAGGTTTTTCATTTTAATTCTCATTTTATAAAAGTCATTCAATATATACTTCCTGAATAGCTCATTATGATAGCAGATAAGCCGCTAGTGATCATAGCGTGTGTTTTAACCGTATGTACTTACAAGATTGGGTCAATAATATGTATTTTTTTAAGCTCTATGGGTCCATATTTACCAACCAGTCTACAATTGCTTTAAACAACCAAACACTCATTAAGTGTGTTTTGAAATATTAATGTCCTTGCTTGGCTTCTTCTCCTCCCTTTCCCCCTCTTCCCACCTCTCCCTCTCTTTTAATTTTGCTTTTTTTCTCCTCTTGAGGTAATAAACTTCCCAAACTGGGAAGAGGAAACAATCCTAAGAGTCTAAGCATATAAATAAGAACAGGGCAATTTTGAATGTGGGCTGCAGAGCTGCCCTGGAAGTCTGGCATTTGTTCATCTCGCTGTGCTTAAGCTTGACTGGAGCTCCAATCAGCGAGCAGTGGGCCAGGGCGAGAATGTCACACGTTAAGGGCTGATATTTAGGCACAAAGGGGAAGGTAAGTGCAGAGTGCCACCCTAGACTGTCAGCTTTAACTCTGAGCCGCTTTACTTTTGAGCTGTGAAGTCAGAGCCCAGTCATTACTTTAGCCTGGGTTTGCTGGCTTAACCATATTATGTCCCTGCATTGTTTATTCACTGTGTTGTGTTGGGGTCAATTGTGATTTAAGTGTTAATTGCTAAATGCTCTTTGTGTAATTGTTCTTTATGGGGACTGTTCAGCTTTCCAAAATGTTTCAGTTTGTTTAAGAATTTTTTTTTAAAATTCAGGATTGCATCTATTTATTTTGTGTGTGTTGTTTGTATGTAACTATAATATAGGTATATACACACTCATATATATTCTTCATTTACTTGTCTAACTGTTTTTGAAGGAATGAATGTGGATTAACAGTGTTATCCTTTCCTAACACTTCTCTTTCGCTACTCTAGCTAGTTTAGTTCTAAAAGACAGCGCCATTGACAAGGGAAAAAAAGGGAACCTTCTCAGATTTTTCAGCTCAGCGGTGGTAATGTTGCAGTGAACACTAATGAGGGAACCCCCACTGATTTGCCTGCTTTGTGACTTTTCTATTTCATAATTATTTTTAAAACGCAAAACGACATGAGGTAGCCTAGTCATGTCTCTACAACTTCCTGGTAGCGCCGTTCTTACTGCAGATGGCAATTTGTTCTTGTAACATATATCTCTCTCTGACCATTTTCATCTAATTTGTATGGGTTCTACCATTTCTTTTCTCTCTTTCAGGGCCCTTGCTGTGTGTGAGCTAGGGGGTGGCATGACATGCTTGGCTGGGCTCATGGTAGGTCTTTTCTCCATTCCAATCCCATTCAGAGGGAGGAACAAAAGGAAAAATGTTCCAGGGCCTCCAACTGCTGGGTCAGAGAACCGTCAACAGCATCAGCTGCGGTCAAGCTGCCGGGTCTTGAGAGACCTTCTAGATTGACTTACTTTCGGATCATATTGATTTTATGGTTGCCTCGATGAGCAGAAACATTTTACCTCAGTGTAGTCAATATTGCTTGTTGTGACATTCCAGGCCTCGCACAGTCTTTCTTTGCCATAGCGAAAGCATTTTTTTTTTTTTTTTCAGATTATAGTCCCATTTGCTAAGATACAGGAATAGCCCGGCGAATCACAGTTGGAGCACCATGATATAGCTGCTAATGTTTTGCCTGCATTATTACACCAACAAACATGATCCAGAGCGCTCAGTAATTAGATTCTTTTGAATTAGATTGGCCATTCAGGAACGTCGTTCCCCATTCTCTGGGTTCTGAGTCATGTATTCAGGAGATATTATGTAGCAGCACAGTGCATTAGACAAGTTTTTATGTCTCTACAAATAAAAGCATATTGTTACACTGATTGGCATTTGACAAACCTGTCGCTCTTATACAATGTGTCGAGGTTACAGCCCAATGTGCGAGCATGTCAAAGCTCACAAAAAAATTACCCTCACAAAGCCATCTGCCTGCAATGCAAAGTTATATGAAGGGCATCAGGCAGTCAGACAGAAGCAAGCTGAAAGGCAGAGTGACAGCCTTGTATGATGGCTCTACTAGATAAACAGAAGCCCACAAATGAAAGCCTCTCAGAATACCATCATCCGCTGTCACAATGCAATTACCGAACAGAATGATAGCAAGATAGAGGCTCCCGCAAATGGAATGATAAAAGTATTGACTGATTTGATTGAATGATTAAAATAATGCAGACATAAAATGAAAAAAGATTGAAGATTGTTACAGAGAAATAGGTGAGGAAGCATGATACTGAAGGCTTGTCACTCCTGTCTTCACTTCCACACAGACAAGCATATTTGCTCATTGTTTGCTGTGCTCCCTTTTTTTTTTCAGGTTGCTATTTCTGCAGATGTCAAAGAAGTTCTGTTAACTGATGGGAATGAAAAGGCCATCAGAAGTATCCTTATTCAGATAGAAAACGGGTTTGTTGTGCTCATTCCTTTTTCCTGGCTGAGTAACAATTGATATAAAGAAAGACAGCATGGGGTATTAAAAGAGAGTTTCCCCCCTACATACATGATAAGTAATTAAGAAAAAGTAGAAATATATGAATTCCTTGCATACAACTCCGTAGGTTTTTTTCTTTCCATAGATTTTTATAGACATCTCTCATGAAAGGAGCCTATTTTTGTGGACCTCCCGAGGCAATAAGAAAATTTGTTTCATAATAATTTTCAAGCATTCTTGTTCTTTTATTTCCATTGGAATTTGCCAGTGTAAAACAAATTATTTGGTATTTATTGTATTTGGATATTGCTGGCAAATATTAACTTCCAGCTTCATGTTTGTTATTACATTTATACACTTGATATTGTATGTACTGTATAATATTGTGCCTGGTCTAATTGCTGAGGGTACCTATATCCCCCACTGGAACAGCTGTCAGTTCTTCATTATTTCCTTTTATTTAGGATTTTATTTAGGATTATACAAGCTATCTCTATTTTTCTGCTATGCTATTGCAGTTCAAACTCCATTAGATTATGCTTTACTAATATGTACACAGAGTTCATGAAAATTGAACTGTACTTTAACTAAGAAAGCAAGCATAAATGTAGCTACTTTAGCAGTCGAGCTGATTTGTTCAGGGGCAGTTAACAGCTGTTAGAAACTGAGAGGAAAAGTGGCAGATATGTTTGCTTTGGATTTTTTTTTTTTTTTTTTTTTTTTTGGTGTGCCTTACATTTACATTATGAGGGAGACAATCTACTTATTTGAATTTTAAGCTCCTAAACTGCCAAAGCAGTTTTGATTTCTGTGGCATCTTACATACAATCTATTTCTGATTTTCTTTTTCGACTTCTGCCATATGATTTTTTCAAAATATGCAGCAGCTTCATCAAGCTGCTCAAACAGGAGAAAGGAGGAACGAGAAGCACAGTAGCTAATATTGTTCAGTAACACTTGTATGCTCTACAGAGCCCCACCCAGCTAATTGCCTGACAGACTTAAAAAAAATTCAGGAAGGAAAAACAGCCAATCACAATCTTGGCCTTTCACACAAGGGAAGGAGATCACAAAAGGTGCTTCCTTTTTTTAAATGCAGGATTTTAATCACGTTCTTGAGACTGTCTCAAGTTTTTCAAAATATTCCTGAAGATGAGCAGATGTTTTTTCATTCACTCTGCTTTATTCTGAGTTATTTCGTGCATGTATCCATGTATCATTTCACTGTGCTCCTCCTCCTTATGTCAGGGAATACAGAGCAAGAGGAAGCTCAGGTATGCCAGCTCAGCCCCAGAGAATTTTTAGAGGGTGGGGGGAGCAGGATTATTGGACAAGAGAAGATTATTTTAGCCACAGAAACTTTCAGCTTGGGCCCGGTAACCTAAGGTTTTTTTCAAGTCAGCAGGTGTCTTATTTAATAGCGTCAGAAACCAATTAGAACTTTTATCAAACTATGGGAAACATCTGTAGTCAGTATGTAAGTCTAATTGTTCTAAAATTATTATTGAGCTAAACTACAGAGCTTCCAAAGAAGGGAAGCAATGCTAATGTCATTAATTAACACACCTTTGCTTTAAACAACAAAGATGCCATGCCAGCTTTTGAAATCAGAGAGGAAATCTCAGATTCTGTATTCATTCTGCCGGCCTTTCAAAGAAATGATTGGTACAGCCCCCTCCCAAGAAAATGGATTTTTAACATTTGGTCCTCAGAAGCTCAGCCCTGAGAGTGCTTTATTGTGCTGGGTTTTACAATGGGTTTAATATAGCGGGGTGCCAAAGGGCAGGAGGGGAAGAACTTTACAAAGTAGATAAAGTAGGTCTTTTCAGGATGCAGACCAAAACTGGTAGTGTGTTTTATTTCATCTCTTAGGACTTTCCTGATGGAGTTCCGTTTTTACCATGCAGTTGTTCTGTGTTTGTATGCCTTTTTCTGTTGTAACCAGATCTAATTTTTTTTAATTAAGAGAAAAAGCATGCATAAAGCCTTAAAATTGGCAATGTGTTTTTCCTGCTTTTAATACTAATGTTATTCTTGATTTGCTAACAGAGCTTACAATTGGCATTCGTTGTCATCTGTTTTACTGACTGAGGTTAATATGAATGATTTTTTTTTCTATTTGCATGCCCACTTTCTGTAAGAATAACTAATTCACTGAATCACATACTATTGATGCATATAGATTGAAACAAACTTATTTAAAAATTACTGTTTACATCTTTCCTTTAAAATTTTAGGAAGTCTAAATTATATAGCAGTTGTAGGATATTATTCAAAAATTACTTTCTAAGAAGTAAAAGTGGATGTCAACAAAAAAAGGGGGAGAAACATTGCCAGAAGCCAGAAAATCTGTTAGTAAAGCTGCTAATTATTCTTAATGGGCAAGATGAGCACATTAAGAAACAAATGAATACATCAGTGAAATGTAATTGAAAATTGGCCTGGCAATGGCATATCGCATCTGAGTATTGGCCTGTATATTATTCTTATCATTTTAAAAATTATTTTTTTTGTTCTTGGCTTCTGAATTTAATGAATCCAACTGAATCTTCTTAGTCTCTTAAGCTTCTAAGATTCTGATTTTTACCTTTTTTTAAAAAAAAAAACAGCATTTCCTGATATTTCCTTTTAATTTTATATTATTTCTATTTGTTTTAGTATGTGAGGCAATGAATGGATTGGTTCTGAATCTTTATATCACAGAAGCATGTCAACCAGTTTTGAGTTTATTTATTATCTCCCTAAAATGTATCAGATGGATTGCCTATGTCTTCTTGAGTTTTCCAACTTGACTCTGAAAAGCTAGATGTTGATCTGAGATTTATTAAACAGAGATGTCTGGAAAGATATTAAGACTTGAGGTAAAAATTTTTAAGTCACAAATATTTTCTTAGATTCATGGGTAGTTTTCCCTAAAGTCTCCTTGATCCTTAAACTGCATTGCTGGGTCTACGAACTCAAAGCCCCCACACCTGAGAGCTGCTCTTCCCTACAGATGCCATTTTATCTGTACCCCAAGAGAACAAAGGATAAATTAGAAATGGGATCATTTGGTTTGTCCAGTTCTCAAATTTATTCTAAAATAGTGTGAAACATGTTCCTTTTCTTTTTTTTTTGGCAATGCCCCTTTAGTGTCAAGAAAGAAATCTTCAACTGCCCACATATAATAATTACTCCATAAGGTTTGTAACTTGTGATAACAATGACCTAGGAATAGGAGAGAGACATGGTATACTGAGTTATTATTGATGCTAAGCCTCTTCTAAATTATAATGAATAAAAGTAGAACTCCTGAAGGTGAGCAACCCTCTCTGGCTACAATCACTAATGTGCCCAGCACAAGCACCCTGCCTTAGTAAACATCTAGCAGTTCTATGCAGAAAATTCCAATGTTTGGTGACCCATTTCTCTGTAAGCATCTTATCCCCAAAGTATGCACAGTGTGGATCATGATCTTGAACTTAGGATTCTCCAAAAATGGGTAAATCCCCTGTGCTTTTTAAAGGAGACACCCCTGGTTTAACATTATTTTTATTTAATACAATCCCTGACTTGAGTAACTAATAAGTGAAGCTTCGTGTGGGCTGTGCAGCCTGTACCATAGATGGTTAATAACACGGAAATCCCGGGCCATCTTCCTGTGTCCAGGCTTCTTCTTCCAATGCCGGCTGTACTTCCATCTACTGATGAGTCATAAGTAAACTATATGTGCCTCAGATTGGGTAGCAGCACAACAAATATGTATTTTTTGGAATTAAATTAAAATTAATTCAACCAATATTAATGGCATGTCATTACAGGTGCTAAAGATACAATAGTGAACAAGATAGGTCTAGTACCTATCCTTGTGGGGCACAGATTTTGCCTTGGCTAGAATACATTTATATACATGAAGGGCAGAAGTTCTTTGATAACTTTGGTTATTTAAATTCTACAGTATAAATGTTCACATAATTAATTCTAACTTTTTTTCTTCTCCTTTTTGTGGAGAATGAGGTCTTGCTGTGTTGCCCAGGCAGTCTTGAACTTCTGGGCTCAAGCTATCCTCCTGCCTCCACCTCCCTAAGTGTTGGGATTACAGGCGTGAGCCACTGTGCCCGGTTCAGGTAATTAATTCTAAGCAGCAGGAAAAGAAAATAAAGTGTAACTGCCAAACCTCATGTTAGTTACTTTACCCACCTCTTCACCCTACCAAAGCTTTTGCCTGAATTATACACTAAGATAATGAATTGACGTGAATTGGGCACCTACTGTGTGCCAGGCCCATCACACGTGATACTCCATTAAGCCTAACAAATAGGTATCATTACTTCTGTTTTAGAGATGGAGCTCAGAGAGATTAATTTATCCCAGGACACGCAGCCCCCAAATATTAGAACCAGCACTAGAAGCCAGGTTCATTTGACTTCAAAGCTTATGTTTTTTCGACTTAAACCATTCTGGGTCACCAAAAACTAAAATGATTTGGTGAACGTCATCTTGCATTTCCTTACATGCTCTGGAAATAAAGGCCTCTCATCCACGAACATAACAATTGGCATTGCTAACAGAGTTTATAGTACCTCTATGGTATCTTCTCAATTCATATGAGTAATAAGCACATTTAAGAATATTTTGCAGCCTTAAATTAGCAAATATTGCCACATTAAGCATTAAAAAAAAAACTTGAGAGATCAAAATGAATAGGGTTTATATTATAATCTCATAGTTTCCTACCCTCATTTTTGGTATTCCAGCGAAAATAAAGATAACATAAACCAAGAAAGTGGTGCTTTGTGAATCACAGTGTTATTATTTTTGAAATATCTTCTTGCTTAAACAACATGCCAACTCTCAAAATATATATATAACTACTGATAAATAATTGCTAATTGCAGGAGGAGGCTGATATTTTTAACAATATGATGCATACATATAACATGTATATAATTTGTTTAAATTACTATTATATAAAAATATTTTTTAAGAATAAAAATCAACTGAAACAAAATTGAAATGGAGCCCTACCTCTGAACGGGGCTTTATTTGAGAAGAAAACCTAGAGTTAGAATTCCGGTTTCTTTTTAGCCACAAACATATATCCTGTAGCTCTGGAAGTCCAGTTGCCTAGACAAGGGGATTGGAGGCAATTACTCTGTATTCATTTAATCAGAAATCACATTAAGGCTTTCTTTGCACCCAGTCCCTCCCACTGAAGTCCTCCAGAAGGTGGGTGCGGTTCAGAGAACACGATTTGGCCCGTTGTGTTGAACACTATCCTGGACATATCGACTCAATGTGATTGGATTTCCTTTATTACACTGAGGTGACACAGAAGAATGATAAAATCTATTATTGGACAACACAGTGCCGTCCAGAAGAACCATCAAAATCTGACCTAAAGTAAGGGGTGGGGAGCAGGATGTCTGAATTTATCTCTTAAGGTAATATTTTAATATACTGTTGACATTTTTTCTTCTCATGCTCATTTTAATATTTAAAAAAACCTCTTAAACCACAAAACTTATTTCCTGTCCAGTTCTAAAAATAAAGCAGCCTAAATACTGCTGTCGAATTTTTTTATTTAAAAAATTGCTTCTAGAATATAAATACATATGTTTGCTTCAGCCTGACCACCTGGAGTCACAGGTTTATAAATTGTATAAAAGTATATAGTGTTAAGATGTTTACTAAAAATTATTAATAGGTTTTCTGAGTTATATAATTTAACTTCCCTGAGACTATTTTATAAAAAGTATTACCTCCACTAACAAAATAATATGTTTTGCTTGATAGATTAGTCATGTACTCATACGACTCTACAGGTGTACTGGGCACATTATGGCATGCGGTTGGATGCCATGGAAACTCTAAGGAGGGTGTGGCCAGAGTGTGGGGGAACTTAATCAAAAACAGTTGTCAGCTGACTCTTTACTAATTTTGTTCTTCTCAGAATAAAGATGTCAGCTGTCCTTTTCTGCAAGACATTTCATTTAGAAGACTTTCCTGAAATAATTTCTTCCTGAAATAGACAGAACTGTAGGCCGATGTGTCATTTTAGTTAATCAAAACAAGTAGGCAAATTAGTCTCTTTTATTTTTTTAATGAATGTAATTTAACGGTATTTAATTTGCATACAGGAAAGTTCACCCAGGAAAAAAAAAGTCTGCATTATAGCACTTTTGTAAACCTCAACAAAGCCCTTCATTAGCAGACCTAATTGATTTTTCCTACCCACCCCTGGGGGAAGAAAGCTATCACAGTACCTGCTTATTCACTCAGAGAAGAAATGGGTGTGCCTGGTGGTTCAAGCAGAGATTTGGGTTAAAAAGTCCTGTGGCTCTGTTTTTGCAGGGAGATCTTGGTCAATGCTTGCTTTGAGCATTCAGGAAATTTGTTTTTCTGAGCAATAGGAGAACATCGCTTGTCTGCTTGGTGTCCTCCCCATGGGCCCAATTTAGTTCAACTTGCAGCCTTCACTGGAATTATTTTATTTCTTGTTTATGTAAACCTGCCTTATTCCAAAAGAGGGATTTTGAGGCTTCTTACCATGACACATAGAATATATCATATAAAATGAATGGGAAAGTGAGGGCAGTTGGAAATTGGAAAGCCAGGAAAATATGATGAAGCCAGGAATAGAGGTCAGTAGAGAAAACATACGCAACAGGGTCTTTTGTGGTTGTTAGAGTTAGGCCACACATTTGGCTCTGAGTTGCACAGGTGCTGGAGCAAAGAAAAAGAGGATCAACTCTAAGAGTTATAGTGCCAGGAAGTGGAAGCAACATCCCTTGATCTGCAGACCAGCCTTTCCTGGTGCTGAAACCTGACTATTTTTTCCAACAGGCCCTTGTAAATATGGCGCTGGGTGATGTAATGAACCAGCTCCTGAAAACATGTCTTCCATAAATGTGGCTCTTTTGTACAAGTCCTTCCATGCCAAAGGCCATAGCGTAAGTCTGTAAAGACAGTTCTTCAGGGGACTTTTCACTCAACTGACTTTCTTCAGTAATTCATTTTCTCTCAAAGATTCTCCAAGATTTTCTTCATCTTTTTCTTCTCACTTCCTCCCAAGTGTCATCCTGCTGCTCCTCTCCACCCCTCCCTAGCAGCATTTAGGAGATTGGAAATACTTCACACTGGAAAGTCTCAGGAGACTGACATTGCTCTCCCTGCTGACAGAGAGGCTTGCCTTTGGACTCCTTGCCCTTTTAAGCAAGTAGGACATGGCACCTATGGGACAGTCATTTCCCACCAGCACTCATAACTCTGGGGCTTGCCATGATGATCCATCTCAGGTGATAAAATGCAGCCCAGGGAAGTAAAAGAGCTTGCCTGTGGCAAGTCAGCATCCTGCTTCACACCTCACATACAGCTCTTCTCCTTTCGCTGTGCTCATCCCATGTATGATAAAAAGATTGGCCAGGCGCAGTGGCTCACACCTGTAATCCCAGTATTTTGGGAAACTGAGACAGGTGGATTACCTGAGGTCAGGAGTTCGAGACCAGCCTGGCCAACATGGTGAAGCCCATCTCTACTAAAGATACAAAAATTAGCTGGGTGTGGTGGCTCATGCCTTTAGTCCCAGCTACTAGGGAGGCTGAGGTGGGAGGATCACTTGAACCCAGGAGGTAGAGGGTGCAGTGAGCTGAGATCACGCCACTGCACTCCAGCCTGGGCAACAGAGCGAGACCCTGTCTCAAAAAAAAAAAAAAAAAAAAGATAACTGTTTCTGGACCTTTTTTTTTGGTCACTTCACAATCAGTGCAGATGTTTTCTTAACTGTGTCCTGTAGATGTGCAAGACATCATCACAAGGAATCAGAAGGCTGGTGTGTTTAAGACCCAGAAAATATCAAGCTGGTAAGATACCTTTCTGCATTAAAAAATTCCCATTGAAATTGCTTTTCTTGATACTATGGATGGTTATTAAAAATAATAATAGCTAACATTTATTGAGCACCTGCTGTGTGTCAGGCACTGTTTTAAGCACTTTACAAGTATTATCTCATTTAATGCTCATTGGAATACTATGAGGCAGACAGACACTCTCATTAGCTCCAATTAATAGATGAGAAAACAAGATAAGTATATTAAACACTGGGTTGGGGATGATTTATGATTATACAGTATGAGGTTGGGAGAAGCCAGGCCTGGGAACTCCTTAAATGGCTCTCTTCCAGTGAGTCTCAGCCTAGGAGCAGTTTTGCCCCCAAGGGGACTTTTGGCATTCCCTGGAGATATTTTTTTTTGTTGTCATGACTTGGTAGGAGAGCGGGGAATGTTGCTACTGGCATCTAGTGGTAGAGACCAGGGATTCCACTGAACATCCTATGTTGCTTAGGACACCCCCGTACAACAAAGAAACATCTGGCCCAGAATGTCAATAGTGCCAACACTGAGAAACCCTGCTCTGTTTCATGATTTTAAAATAGTCTAGGTGTCCATTCGCTTTTAGATTCTGTTAATTCTTATACAAACTAGGAGGAATGCTTGCTCTTAGCCACAACAATGGTGTGTTCTGTGATGCTACATTTTATTTTTGCCCTGTTGGTAATGGATCTAGAGAAGTGAGTAATCATTTCATAGTTTTCACATGAAACAGCTGTATTTGTGCATTTTTTGTCATTCATTTAACCACAGACTTTATTAGAATAACTCTCTGTTAAATTAATTGTTTTCTTTATTACTGTGAAGCTGTCATCATTTGGTATTTTGAATTTTCCCTATGGTAAAGACACTTTCCCACCCCAACTTCCCAGTTTGATTTTTTTTATTAGTTATATAAACTACTCATTAACAGACAAAGCCCACAGACTGATTTCTCTTGGACACACCCACGATACAGCCCCGGCAGCCAGTGATCTTGGTGTGCTGGCTTCGGACATGAAAATAGCTACAATGCTTAAAAACCAAAGTGATGACACATATTGGTGTGAGGCTATGGAATAGCAATAATTTTTTTCTCTTATATTAATTGGTGAATGTAATGAAGTGTCCATAGTGTATTTTTAAATCCTGTTTAAAATGTTGGGAGTAAGCTGGTGGCACAGGGGACAGCATATTCTGTGTTTCTCATATAAATGAACAAACCACTTCTGTTTCCCAGAAAACCTGGGGTAGGTTGAGAGAAAGAGAAAGGGTCTGCCGTTACCTGTGGGGTCCTCATTGTTAGGACAGCCTTTCCTTCACAGTGCAGACGGCCTTACCCTTCTGGAGAGGACTTCGTTTTTGGACATGATTTTCAACCTGGTCTTTTAGTTATCAATCAAAAGTGCATTTTCTATGTTGTCCTCATTTACATTTATTTAATGTTTAAGGTCATTTGTGAGCATTTGAGTGTATTTCAGCATATGGAATCAGGGAATAATAGATTTCAGCTTCATGCTGTGAAGAGAGATTGTGTTTTTACAAGACATAATGTTGTTTACTGGGTGTTAATAATCACTAATTAATAAACATATCTAGACATCTAAAATGTTGCATTTTGAGGAACAAAAATGTCAAGTGTTTAACTTATGGAGTGCAATGGTATTTTCTGTCATCTCTTCATAAAATAATTAAGTTACATAAACAAGCAAAATGTCATTATTCAACAAAGGACATATACCAAATGCTTAATACATGGCCTTTGTTTCTATTTTTCTGTTCTCAAAAATGCTATTTCTAGATATATTGCTCTGATATGTACCTGGACATATAGACTATATGTCAATAATAGTCATATAGAAACCTCCAAGATGAGGATGGGCTTTTTTTGTCATCTTCATCTCATACTAATTGTGGTCAGTTTCTTTTCTTTTGACCCCTGTAAGCATTTTGTTCAAAGTCTACTAAAGCACTTTCTAGTGAACAGGTAGATGAGTTAGTCCTTGAAATGCCTTGATCTTATATTAAGGAGTGACCTGATCACTTAACTGTCAAGAAGCTAAGAGAAATGGCCAGCCACTGATGTAATAATCAGTATTCTCCCTCCATCCACTGCTTTCCCACCCATAACCAGTACAATGTGATGAAAGTATTAGTTCCATGAGAGAAGAAATAAAAGGAAGCCATTCACAAAAGAGCTAAGATAGAGTTCAATATTCTTTTTTAGTGCCTCAGTGCATATGCAGAATTTCTCCTCCAAATTGGAGATGTGGAATAAGAGTAGTGACAGATAACTAAGAAGTATTTACCATAGCTATAAAGCCCACATGTGAGCCAAATATTTCTGCTATTAAATAGCACTTCAAAGCTTGACATGAGGTTTGTAACAGCTGAATGTCTCTTGTGACTTCATTTGCAAAGAAGATGTATAAGCTGAAAGGAAAGTCGTGGTATGAGAACTATAAGCCTAAGAAATGGTATTTAAAAAAAAAAAAAAAAACAAGCTGCCCAGAAATTTGACTGGCACCCAAGCTCCTATTCCCACTACTCCGATGATGTTCTCAGTAACTATCAGCATTTCTCCTGCTACCAACCTCTTCCTACCTCTTACACAGGGGCAGACCCAGGTTGTGTGGGGCCTGAAACTTATTTTGAGGGCCCACTTAGGAAGAATGAATTCTATTATACCTTACTTTGATAAATTTTACAGAAATATATGACCATGTGAACACATTACTAGGGCTTGTCCAAGGGCCTTGGAAGGGGCCTTGCAAGAGGCTCTGACGCTGAACCTTCATTAGCTTCACAGTCAATCCACCTCTGCTGTCATAAGCACCACCATCCTTGCCTAAAGTAACTCTTCTCTTAGCTACCAAACTTTCCTGCTCCCTCTATCCATTTTAATCATAGTCTGATTGTAGCTAAATGTGAAAGACATGCTGGTGAAAGTCTGGAAGCCTTAGCCCTAGCTGAATCTAAGATCCACATATATGAAGAATTATATTCATTACATCTCAGCTTAATGCAGTCATTTGGTTTATTTGTTGTCCATCCATGCAGCCATCCATTCACTTAACAAGTATGTCCAAAGTACTCTGCTTTTGAGAATATAAATATGCAGTTATCAAAAATAATTCTTGAACAAAGGAAACCATGCTACTAAATATAGCTAGAGATTGATGAAAGAGCAAGGATATTTACAGTATCTCAATTGTTGGGTTTATCTAAAGCTGTCTTCAAAATTGTGACTGTTTAACAAAGAACCATTTGGAGCTTTTGACGTCTACGTATTTCTAGGTCTTCCAGAATTAGTGAATAGCGTCATTCTCTGGTTAATATTAGTTGAGAGTTCTTAAAAAGTCTATTAAATTTACCCTGCTGTGATGATGTAAGTAAGTTTCACTTAAGAATGTATGTATCTTTGTGTGAAAGTTGCTAGTGAATTCAGGTTTATGACCTTTATTATTCTTTGATAATCCATGAATTTTAGTAAACTATGGAACTTGTGTTAAGACTTTTTTTATAACCCAAACTTTACCTTTATGTGGGCCCCCAAGATTGGTTATTGGTCCCATTGCCCTATTGCTTTTTAAAGATTTATGCCTCCTCTGAGACTCAGTTTCCTTTAGAGGTTAAAATGGGGATGTGGAAAATGATTTTTGAAAGGTACGTTCCAACCAAGTAGAATCCAGTGGTTGATTTTCCTGGGCCTTCTGCAGTCTGCCCTTATATCCACATCTCATCTAGCTGCTGCCTCCTCTTTTGGTTACCCTGGACCCCTCACTTGCCTCCGACAGATATGATCTCTCCATCTCTAGTCTTTGCCATTCTTGTTTCTCTCCTCTTCTCCATCTAAATCCTTCCTTCTAGGATGGCTCCACTGCCATTTTCCCCTTGCCTTCTCAGCCTACCCTAATCTTTTTAATTTCTGCTGCCCTTAGAATAGTACCACAGTTGAACATGGCATAGTTTCTTTTTGTTCAAAGCATGTTGGCTTTGTTTGCATGTTCACTGGTTTATCTACTTGTTGACAAATATTTTGACCACCTTCTGTTTGCCAAGTCCTATTCTAGATGCTAGAGATGGAGTGGTAAACAAGATGGAAAAGGCCGTGCCTTCTTGGAGTTTATGTCCTAGGGAGGGAAACAGATCATGTTCTTGAAGGCAAGAATTCTGCTTAATATGTTTTTGTACTCCCTGAAGCAATTAGTACACTTTATCCTTGGTATATGAAAGCTTTTAAAATTGGTATTTAGAGAACATTTTGAAAGACATGAATCCATAAGGCTTATGGAACCAAACCATTTTTAGTAGAGGAAAGTCAAGCTCTAGAGAATCAGACATCCATTTCTACATCAGATAGCTGACTTTCATTTCAGTGTTGGCCTCTTCTCAGGCATGCGCATGTAGTGTCTGTAGACAAACTGACAGTGTGAGTAGGCATTTATCTGTTCTTTGTCAGGTTGAAGAGGAAGGTTAGTAGAAGGTAACTGAGATAAGGAAGCTGAAGGCTCTCTTTAAGAAATTTTCTGATAAAATATACCTGTTAGTGAGTTTTGCTAGAATTATAGTAACAGAATCCTGAAGACCGCTGAGAATTCTAGAGATGCCACACTCCTGTTTCCTTCTGTTGCTATCTTGGCTATGACAAAATGAAATTATCATGTGTACTTTCTGTTACTAACATAACACTGTTGATTTGCTTAACAGGTTTATAGATGGGCTCATATCCCTACTATTTAGTGTTTTGCACTGAAGACACCAACTCCCATAAGAACGTTAGCCGGTTCAGCTATTTTTGATAGAGTTATCCTTTTTGTATTAAAATGAGCCAGACTTTAAAATAGGAGGATGCTGTATTTTTAGGGACCCTCTTAAACTACAGTCAATTAAAAATTAAGGCCTTTTATTTTAGAATAACATTGTATTGATTCTTTGGATTTGCCCACTTCTACTTTTTACCAAGGTCAAAATCTCACTACCAAAAATAGGCCAGGTGCTGTATTGATAGCTAGGTATGCAAGTCAGACTACTGTATTCTCTGTGAAAATGTCTTCTGGTTTTAAGAGAGAAATCCTTCTCCCTTCACAGAATTTTATATTGCAGAAGTTACATATCAATAAAAATATTTTTATTTTCAAAGGAGTTCTTCACTTAAAAATAGAGCCATCTTAAAAAACTTTTTTAGAGAATGGCCACATGATAAATCATTGTTAAACAATCATTTATTTTTTACCTTAATAATGGACATTAGTTTGTTTTCAATATTTTGTTATTATAAACTGCTGCAGTGAGACACATCTTTACATAAATTATACATTTGCAAGTGTGTCTACACAACAGATTTTCAGAAGTGGATTGTGTCTATTTGTACAACCCTACCAAACTGCATAATTTTTGTCACTATAACTTTGTAATATATTTTCATATTTCATATTTACTAAGACTTGACATTTTAAAAACTGGGAGTCTTTCTATGCAAGAACAGGTATTCTCTTTTTAAGTTTTTAAAGGTGTTTCACTAGCATTTTTATTTCTCTTAAGTTTATTTTTAGAAACTTTTTGTTGGTCTTACAAATAGGGTTTTTTCTTCGATTATATTTTCTACTTCCATTATGTTTTACTATGGGGTTTGATATAGTAAGCGTTTAGTCACCTCAGTGGGTTATTGTTTTGAATATTTTGCAGGTTTATCCTCTTGAGTTTTCCAAACAAACAATCACATCATCTGCAGATGATGACAATTGTAACTTCTTTCTAATTCTCATACCTCCTTTTTCTCTCTTGTATAATTTTATTGGATAAAAATATCCACCATGATTATTAAATAATAGGCATCTTTGAGTCTGACTTTGTTGGGAATCTACTAATTTTTCACCATTAAGTATGCATTAGCTTTTGAGTTGAGATAAATATGATATTTTTTATCTTCTTAAAATTTCTTAAGAGATGTTATCACAAGTAAATATGGAACTTTAGCAGATATCTTTTCAGCACCTATGGAGATGTTCAAATTGCTTTCCCTATTTTATTTGTAACTATGACAAATCATATCAAAAGGTTTCCTAATATTGAAACATCCCTGCATTTCTAGTAGTTACTTATTCACAGTGTCTTAATTCTTCTTTTAATATGCTTCTGTGTTCTAATAACAAATTATCTGAGATTTTTGAAAATTACAACTTTATTGAGATATAATTTACTTACTATACAAGTCACCCACTGAAAGCATATATAATTAAATGGCTTTTAGTGTATTCACAGAGTTGTGCAAGCATCACAATCATTTTAGAGTATTTTCATCACCCCCAAAAGAAAGCTCATACTTGGCCAGATGTGCTGGTTCACACCTATAATCCCAGCACTTTGGGGTGCCGAGGTGGGAGGGTTGCTTGAGCCCAGGAGTTCGAAATCAGCCTGGGAGTTTGAAATCAGCCTGGGCAACATAGTGAAACCCCATCTATTGAAAAGAAAAGAAGAGGAGAGGAGAGGGGAGGGGAGGGGAGGGAAGGGGAGGCCCTCATACTCATGCCCCTTCCTCACTCCTCCCTCCTCCCTTCCAGGGCTAGGCAACCACTGATCTATGTTCTGTTGCTATGCCTTTGCTTATTCTGGACATTTCACATAAATGGAAGTGTATAATATGTGGTCTTTCACATCTGGAATCTATTGCTTAAAATAGTGTTTTTAAGGTTATTCATGTGTAGCATATATCAGGGCATTTGTCATTTTTGGTACTATTCCATTGTATGGATAGACCACACTTTATCCACTCATCAGCTGATGGACATTTGAGATGTTTCCTTTTTCTTTTTTCTTTTTTTTTTTTTTTTTCTATTCTGGATAATGCTGCTATGAACATTTGTGTACACATTTTTGTGACAAGTTTCATTTCTCTTGGGTTTATATGGTCACATGGTAACTATATTTAACCTCTTGAGGACCTGCCAGACTGTTTTTCAAAGTGGCTGAACCACTTTAAGTTTTCTACCAAAAAGTATATGATGTTTTCTGAGCTGCTTGCTTAGATATTCATCAGTAAAATTGGTCCAGAATTTTCTTTATTGTGCAATCTTTGTCTGATTTTAAATAGCACTGACATAATAGCTATTTAAAAGAATTTTGAAGTTTGTCTTATCTTTTGAACCACCTCTTAGTGGGTTGCCCTACACTGCTACCATAATTCTAGATCAGAACAATTTTTACCCCATTATTTTGTACGTGATATTTGGAGATATAGTGGCAAGAAAGAACAAAATTACATTAAAAAATGCACTGCACTTGAAAGTATGTAAGTTTGAAACATTAAAAAAAGGAAGAAAAATAAATGAAAACACCAAAAAGCAATAAATAATTTTGTGATTTCATCTGAGATGGTATATAATTGTACTTTCTAGTCCATTCATTCTAATATTTTGTTGTCACTTTGTTTTGCTACTATGTAAGTTAATCAGCTGTCATAGGATCAGAGATACTTGAAACGGAAAATATAATTAGTAAAATAATTAGTACCTTTCATTTCAAGGTCTTGAAACCCTTTCTAGTCCTCTTTAACCAGTGCAGAATATACTGGTCCCCAGCATGAGGGGGGTCTGAATGTTAGGAAAATATCCCTCTTTTGGACTCTGAAATAAGTTCATTTCTGCTAAATTCCAAACAAAAACACAGAGCTGGGATCAGTTTTAAAGTCAGTCCAGAAAAATGTAAGTGATAAGCTGGAACAACAGTTCTCAAACTTTGTTCTCAGAATCATTTGTAGAGCTTGTTATGACACATTCTAGATCCCCACACCCTGAGAGACTGAGGCAGGCCTGGGGTTTTGCATTCTAACAGGTAACTCTGACGCCTGGTCTGGAGCCCTCACGTGGGGACCACCAAACTAGAGTTCTCGCTGAGAGCTTCTCATTCAATTCTGCAGTGTTCCATTGCTTTAAAATTGTTCAAATTTTCTTGCCGGGAGTTGTAGCTCATGCCTGTAGTCCCAGCACTTTGGGAGGCCAGGGTGGGTGGATCACGAAGTTGGGAGTTCAAGACCTGCGTGGCCAACATGGTGAAACCCCACCTCTACTAAAAACAGAAAAATTAGCCAGGCGTGTCGGCGGGCACCTGTAATCCGAGCTACTTGGGAGGCTGAGGCAGGAGAATTGCTTGAACCTGGGAGGCAGAGGTTGCAGTGAGCGGAGATCACACCACTGCACTCCAGCCCAGGAGACAGAGCAAGTCCATCTCAAAATAAATAAATACATACATAAATAAATAAATAAATAAATAAATAAATAAATAAATAAATAAATAAAATAATAAAGTTGTTCAGATTTCCATTCATTGAAGCCACTTCCATCCACTGTATTTTCTTGCTTATTTCGTAGATGTTATGCACTTACAAGAAAGGAAAGGACCTGACTTACAGTCAGCTCTCATTTGTCTGGAATTCATTAATCTTACAGGTCTTCTGAGGTAAACATTTCATTGAGACCTAATTTTTCTTCCCCCTCGCCTTTCTCCCAGCCTTATTCCTAGTCCAGAAATGTAAAATAATTTTGTTTCATGATAAAATCAATGAAGTTGATCAGATAATCTGTTTCAAGGAATTTACATATGTGAAATCCTGTTTTGGTTAATCTGTGATGTTGCTTCCTTCTCTGAGATAAGGGAAGTGTTCTTAATCAAGTCTGTCCTTAGGGGAACTGTCACTTCTCTGGAATGGCACTTTCTTTAAATGCTTGGGACTAAAAAGCCTAGGCCTGTGGCTAAAGAATGTTCTAGCCAGGTGCAGTGGCGTGTGCCTGTAGTCCCAGATACTAGGGACGCTGAGGCAGGAGGATTGCTTGAGGCCAGGAGTTCAAAGCTGTAGTGTGTCATCATCCTGCCTGTGAATAGCCACAGTACTCCAGCCTGGGCAACACGGCAAGATCCCCTCTCTTAAAAATTTTTTAAAAAGAATATTCTAAATGTAAATTCATACAGGTAGAGATCTTCTGAAACGAGATTTTCAAAGTGGTTCATGACCCATCATCACCTGTAGTGCTAATTTTAAAAACAGGTTTCCAGACATCACATAAACCTTGCTGAAGCAAACTCCATAGAGTTGAGGTTCATTTGAACAATCCGACATTTGAACAATCTGACAGTTGAATCACCTTCTCAGGTGATTCTAATATATCTGAAGCACAGAGCATGCTTCGAGAAGCCCATTTTATATCCCTGGATTGTTGCTCAGATGAGTAAACTGAAAGCGTGAGAGTGAATCCATGGATAGCCTCTGTTTGTCATTAGAAGAGGCATTTTTTCACTCTCATGTGAGAGCTTTACTCCCCACATTGGACTCTGAATTTCTATGGTATCATCTTAGTGAAGATGTGACCTCAGTGGAAAGGGGAAAGTTGTATAGATAAGAAAGTAATTCTGATTCGTTTCTTGTCTACATCACAGCTTTTAGTTGTTGGGATTCAACAAGAAGCACATATCGGAGGTGGACAGGCCTGAGGGGATAGTCCAACCACAGCTCTCAACCAGAAGTGGACTGTGTGTCCACCTCTGCACTGTTTGTAATCATATGGGACATTTTTGTTTTATTGTCACAATAGCTAAGTGCTATTATGGTACTGGGAAGAGCAGCAACTGTAAATATTCTGCAATGCAAGGGACAGTTCACCACAATGAAGAATTGTCCTGTTCCTCAAGACTATCCCAGCTGAGAAATATTAGTTCCAGACTAGATGAGAAATGGAGATCCAAAAATATTGCCTGGATCTCTTTTACAGCATTGTCTTGCTTTCTGGACGTGTGTGTGTGTGTGTGTGTGTGTGTGTGTGTGTGTGTACCTGTATGCATGTGAGTGCTATATCGGTCTTACATACATTCTTCTTTAAATAAGGGCATGGAATTGATTTTTCTAATGAATAAAAGTTTTTTGCCTAAAATATTTTACTAAGTTGCTATTCTAGTCCAACTTTTATTATTCAGTTCAGTGCAATGAAATATAATTTAGTGTCTGCTATGTGTAAGGTACTATGATGGGCTTTTTATGGGTTATAAAGATTAAGGTGAGGTTTCTGCCTTTAGTAAGCTCAAGATGTCCAGACAAGAGATGGACATTTCCCCAGCTACCAAGTTACAAGACAGAGTCTGCTCTAATTGAGTTAACCATGCTATGTGAGTATAAAGAGATCTGCCAATTCAAGGTGGAAGGATCTGAGAAAGCTTCATGAAGGAGGTGGACCTTGAGCTGTGATCTAGCAAATTAAAGATAACGAAAGGAAAGAAGTTGAAGTGGGCATTCCTGGTATAAAAGGCAGGGAGGAAATAAGAGGTAGAAGTAGAAAAGATGTGTCCAGCCAGATTTAGCTATTTGTGATAAATAGAGAGAGGCTAGAGGCAGAAAGACCAGTTAAGAAATCATCACACTGGGGTGAAAGGGGAGATGAATGAGACAGAGCACATGAAGGGACTTCTAAGGTTCCAAGAGAAGTTCTATTTCTTTTTTTTTTTTCAACTTTTATTTAAGATACAAGGAGTACATGTGCAGATTTGTTAGATGGGAATATTGCATGATGCTGGGATTTGGAGAACAGATCCCATCACCCAGGTAGTGAGCATAGTATCTGATAGGTAGTTTTTTAAAACTGCCCCCCACCTTCTAATAGTCTGCTGTGTCCATTGTTCACACATATTTATATCCATGTGTGCTCAATGTTTAGCTCCCACTTATAAGTGAGAATACGTGGTATTTGGTTTCCTGTGCCTTTTTGGTAGAATGATTTGTTTTCTTTGGGGTATATACCCAGTAATGGGATTGCTGGGTCGAATGGTTGCTCTGTTTTAAGTTCTTTGAGAAATTTTCAGACAGCTTTCCATGGTGGTTGAACTAATTTACATTCCTATCAACAGTGTGTAAGCGTTCCCTTTTCTCCACAGCCTCGCCAGCATCTATTGTATCTTGACCTTTTAAGAATAGCCATTCTGACTGGTGTGAGGTGCTATCTCACTGTGGTATTGATTTGCATTTCTCTGGTAATTAGTGATGCTGGCATTTTTTATATGTTTGTTGGCCGCTTGGTGTATCTTCTTTTGAGAAGTGTCCGTTCACGTCCTTTGCCCTTTTTAAATGAGGTTATTGTTTTTTGCTTATTAAGTTCCCTAGAGATTCTAGATATTATGCCTTTGTTGGATGCATAGTTTACAAATATGTGCTCCCATTCTGTGTATTGTCCATTTACCCTGTTGGTAGTTTCTTTTGATATACAGAAGCTCTTTCGTGTAATCAGGTCACACGTGTCTATTTTTGTTTTTGTTGCAGTTGCTGTTGGAGACTTAGCCAAAAATTATTTGCCAAGGCCAATGTCAAGAGAGTATTTCCTAGGTTGTCTTCCAGGATTTTTGTAGTTTGAGGTCTTACATTTAAAACCGTAATCCATTTTGATTTAATTTTTGTATATGGCAATAGGTAGGGGTCCAATTTTATTCTTCTGCATATGGTTAGCCAGTTATCTCAGCACCATTTATTGAACAGGGTGTCCTTTCCCCCTTGCTTGTTTTTGTCAGCTTTGTTGAAGATCAGATGGTTGCAAGTGTGCGGCTTTATTTCTGAGCTTTCTATTCTGTTCCATTGGTCTATGTGTCTATTTTTATACCAGTACCAAGCTGTTTTGGTGACTATGGCTTTATAGTATAGCTTGAAGTCAGTAGTGTGGTGCCTCTGGCTTTGTTCTTTTTGCTCAGGATTGTTTTGGCTATTTGGACTCTTTTTTTGGTTCCATATGAATTTTAAAATAACCTTTTTCTAATTCTGCGAAGAATGACATTGGTAGTTTAATAGGAATGGCCTTGAACCTGTAAATTGCTTTGGGCAGTATGGCCATTTTTACAACATTGATTCTTCTCATCCATGAGCCTGGAATGTTTTTCCATTTATTTGTGTTGTCTTTGATTTCTTTCAGCAGCGTTTTATAGTTCTCCTTGCAGAGATCTTCTACCTCCTTGGTTAGCTGTATTCCTAGGTATTTCATTTTCTTTGTGGCTAATTTAAGTGGGATTGTGTTCCTGATTTCACTCTCAGCCTGGACATTGTGTAAAGAAATGCTACTGATTGTTGTACATTGATTTTGTATCCTGAAACTTTACTAAAGTCATTTATCAATTCTAGGAGCCTTTTGGCAGAGTCTTTAGGATTTTCTAAGTATAGAATCATATCAACAGCAAAGAGAGATAGTTTGACTTTTTATTTGGATACCTTTTATTTCTTTCTCTTTGCTAATTGTTCTGCCTAGAACTTCTAGTACTATATTGAATAGGAGTGGTGAGACTGGGAATCCTTGTCTTGTTCCAGTTCTCAAGGGAAATGGTTTGAGCTTTTGCCCATTCAGGATGATGTTGGCTGTGGGTTTGTCATAGATGGCTCTTATTATTTTGAGGTATGTTCCTTCTATGCTTAGTCTGTTGAGGTTTTTTATCATGAAGGGATGTTGGAGTTTATCAGAAACTTTTTCTGCATCTATTGAGATGATCATATGGTTTTTGCTTTTGATTCTGTTTATGTGGTGAACCACATTTATTGATTTACATATGCTTGTTTGTTTTTAGAGACAGGGTTTTACTCTGTCACCCAAGCTGGAGTGCAGTGGTGTGACCATGGCTCACAGCAGCCTCAACCTCCCGGGGTCAAGCATTCCTCCTTCCTCAGCCTCCCAAGTAGATGGGACTATAGGTGTGTGCCACCACACCAGGGTATTTTTATTTTTATTTTTTGTAGAGACAGGGTCTAATTTTGCTGCCCAGCCTGGTCTTGAACTCATGGACTCAAGAAATCCTCCTGCCTCGGCCTCCCAAAGTGCTG
Source organism: Homo sapiens (assembly GCF_000001405.40). Classification (NCBI taxonomy): domain Eukaryota; kingdom Metazoa; phylum Chordata; class Mammalia; order Primates; family Hominidae; genus Homo; species Homo sapiens. Next base: position 44,728,195 of record NC_000002.12, read on the forward strand.
GGATTACAGGCGTGATCCAGTGCACCTGGCTGTTTTGTGTATGTTGCGCCAGCCTTGCATCCCAGGAATAAAGCCTACTTAATCATGGGGTATTAATTTTTTGATCTGCTGCTAGATTCAATTTGCTAGTATTTTGTTGAGGATTTCTGTGTCTGTGGTCATGAGGGATATTGGTCTGAAGTTTCCTTTTATCATTGTGTCTTTGCCAGAGATTGGTATCAGGCTGATGCTGGCTTCATAGAATGAGTTAGGGAGGAGCCCCTCCTCCTCAATTTTTTGGAATAGTTTCAGTAGGATTGGTATCAGTTCTTCTTCATATGTCTGGCAGAATTCAGCTGTGAATCCATCTGGTCCAGGGCTTTTTTTTGTTGTAGGTTATGACTGACTTAATTTCAGAAGTTGATGTTGGTCTATGCAAGGTTTCCATCTCTTCCTGATTCGATCTTGGGAGACTGTGTGCTTCCAGGAATGTATCCATTTCCTCTAGATTTTCTAATTTGTATGCATAGAGTTGTTCATAGTAGTCTCTGAGGATCTCTTATATTTCTGTGGCATCAGTTGTAATGTCACCTTTGTTGTTTCTGATTGTGCTTATTTGTATCTTTTATTTCTTTTTCTTTGTTAAGATAGCTAGGGGGTCTATCCTTTTTTTTTTTTTTTTTTTTTTGAGAACCAACTCTTGGTTTCATTGATCTTTTGTATGGATTTTCTATTTCTTAATCTGGGTGGTGGTTAGAAGGGTGTTTGCCTGATAATAGTTAAGGCATGTATTTATTCCGTGTGGTTTACTGTGTCTTATTTCACAATACAACATGTCTTTTGTTTTTTTAAAAAAAAAAAGCCATTTCAGTAGTACCGGAGAGAGAAAAAGAGGGAGCCCCAGCCTGAATGAGAGTGGAAAATGGTGAGCAAATACGGGGTCATTCCAGAGAAGTGACTGTACGTAGAATGTAAAATAGAGGCAGAGTAAGAGATAGCCATTTGGAAATTTACATTTGAGGTGGCAGTAGAATAGATATGTGACAGTAACTACAAGAGGTTAGAAATAAAAGTTCAGATCTCAGAAAAAATATTGTGCTAGAAGATTTGGAGATCAAAATCAAGTGATCAGAACATAACTACGGGAATTGGAAAGTCAGAAGAGAAGATGACCAAGGACAGAATCTTAGAAAATGTCTGTGTGTCAGGAGTAGTAAAAAGAGCCAGAAAGGGATACTAAGAAGGGACTGGAGAGCAAGGTTGATGGCTCAGGGTGGTACGGTATAATACCACTTCTTAATGGAAGAAGTCCAAGAAAGCATTTCAAGGAGAGTGTGGTTGGCTGCTGCAGATTACTGAAGGTAGGTCAGGCAGATTGCAAAGTAGTTCAGTGACTGTTGGAAGAAAGGTCATATCATCAGGGCAGGTGAAGCAATGGGAGTGTCCACTCCCATAAGAATGTTGGTGGCAAAGGGAGAGAAGTTGTGTGTGTGCTAAGGGGAAGCTGAGGTGGAAGAGTTGAGCATGTGATCAGGCAAGCCGCTACAGCCAAGAAAGAAGAAAGAAGAAAGAAGTGGAGACAAGAAAGGGAAATATTTGATGAGGCAAAGATCTAGATCAGGGCTTCTCAAAGTGTGGCCCCCTGACCAGCACCACCAGCATCAGTTGTATACTTGTTGGAAATGCATATTCCAAGGCCCCACCTCAGACCTGCTGAATCGGAAACTCTGGAGTTGAAGCTCAGGAATGTGTATTTCAACAGACTATCTAAGAATTATGATGTATGCCGAAGTTTGAAAACCACTAGGGAAGAGGAAGGGGTGGCTTTATCCAGCACACAGATGGAGAAGTTCTCCTTAATGAGAAGAGTGACCCTACTTCCTTTTAGACAAGAGGAAAGGAGAAAAAGAAGAAGAGGAGAAAGATGGTATCAGATAGATAGCCTCAGGCTTTCTGTAAGGTCACCTGCTGAGAACAAAGACTTGGGATATTTGGGGAGCTTAAAGCGTGAGTGTGTTCATTCCAGCCTCCAAACCCTGGCCTCTTCTTTAGGCTTTGTCTGATATGTCCTCTTGCTTCTTCATTCCCCATCCAGATCCTGTGTGTAAGATCACATGCAGTTCCACCTTCTTCAGGATACCTTCCCCAACTTGTCCAGTCCACAGTGATTACTCCTTTGGTAGTACCTTACTTACATAGGGCCATCGGTAATTCTTTTGTTTCATTTGAATGTCTTGTCTTCCGAATATGACTGTATGTTCCTTTTGACGATTATGATTTTGCTACTTGAGGAACATGTCCTCATTGTACTGCTGCTCACAGCATCCACTGAGGCTTCAATAACATTTATAGACAGACGACTCCCAAATTAGGAAGTCAACGGATCAATATCCCCTTTCATTCTGAGTTTTCAATTCCAGATTTAGATGGTGTCCTTTTCTCTAAGTGTTTAAAACACTTTCTTAGAGAGGCTTCTATGATATGGAAGTTTAAAACTCTATAAAAGATAAGGAAAATTGGAGGAGAAAGTGGCAAATAGGAAATCATTTGAAAGAAGAGAAGTGATTCACTGGTTTGGGTAAACACTGTAAATGACTTGAACACTGTAAACACTGTAAATGGCCCTCTACAAGAGTGAGCTGTGCCAACATAGACTTTGAGAAGTGACATAAAAGAAACTGTGGGAAAGGATACTGGAATCCTCTGTAAAGAATGCCTATAATAGCCATACAAAGAACATGGCTGCCTTCCCTACTGCTGGTAAGATAGCTTGTTTTTGAAGTTCATTACATTTAGCAAGCATGATCAAGAATTCTATCAGTGCACTACTTTCACAAATACACAAGAAACTACCTTTTTAACAGCAGAGTTTAAAACCAAGACTCAGCCGGGCACAGTGGCCCACACCTGTAATCCCAGCACTTTGGGAGGCTGAAGCGGGTGGATCACTTGAGGCCAGAAGTTTGAGACCAGCCTGGCCAACATGGCGAAACCCCGTCTCTACTATAAGTACAAAAATTAGCTGGGCATGGTAGCACATGCCTGTAATTTCAGCTACTAGGGAGGCTGAGGCAGGAGAATTGCTTGAACCCAGGGGGCAGAGGTTGCAGTGAGCTGAGATTGCGCCACTGCACTCCACCCTGGGTGACAGAGCAAGACTCTGTCTCAGAAAACAAACAAACAAAAAACAGGACTCACTCCCCTACAGCCAGGAGTCTGAAAATATAAAGGTAAACAAAGAAGTACTAAACATGAGAATATGAGAAAATAAATTCTTTAAACCTCTATAGGGAGAGTTATCTGTGATCACTGCAATGAAATACAAATTAGGGTGAACCCATTTGACATTAGGTTTTATTACAAACTTGAAACAGAGACTCTCTGTTTGAGAAATTCTTTCAGTGTGAGTTTTGCATCACAAGGTAAAAATCCTATCAGAAATTGACTTGGTTTTGTTTTTCAGATTGAAACCCCAAACTCAAAGCCAGAATGAAAGGACATAAGTTAGTACAAGAATAAGGGAAGGGAAACTAATATTTCTTGAGCACCTATAATGTGGTTTCATTTACTCCATCTCTTTCAATTCTTAATGAGTCCTGTGATGCAACTCTTACTGTCTCTTTTTTACAGATGAGGGCAATGATACTCAGCATCTCTCATCTTCACTGCCTTGCGTTTGAACTCAGAGCTATCCAGCTACAAAGCCCATGCATTCTTTCTGCTATACTATACCTGTTAAACTTCATAGGTTTGGCATGTCCATAGCTGTTATGATTTTTCTTTATTTTTAAAATTAGAGACAGGATCGTACTTTGTCATCCAGGCTGGAGTACAGTGGCAAGATCATAGCTCACTGTAACCTCAAATTCCTGGACTCAAGTGATCCTCCTGTCTCAGACTCCTGAGTAGCTAGGACAACAGGTACATACCACCACAACTGGCTAATTTTTTATTTTTTTTGTAGAGACAGGGGTCTCACTATGTTGCTTAGGCTGGTCTCAAACTCTTGGCCTCAAGCAATCCTCCCACCTTGGCCTTTCAAAGTGCTGGGATTACAGGCATGAGCCATAGTGCCCAGCCAAGATTTTTCTAAAACATGGAGAATTCTATAATGATTATTGATTTTGTAATGTTTCTGCTTACAAAATTGTATTTTACTTTGTAATGAATTTTGAATGGAAATAAGATTTTAATATTGTGATGAAATAAAATGGAGAGAATATAAATTTTACTTTGGTGTCAGTGTAATTACAAGCAACATGTTGACATGATTTGATGTCTGGTAGAACCATCCTTTACATGTCTTCGCACATGAATGTTATGCTTTAGATGGTAAAACTTATATAGGTAAGGGTCCTACTTGTATGCGCCTTGCTCTTTTTCAGAAAGCATTTTCTGTTCAGTTTGTTTAAAAAACAGTTTTGTAGCTGGGACTATAGGCACATGTCACCATGCCCAGCTTGGAGTTCTAATTTGAATTTCCCTAGGGACTAATGATGTTGAATATATTTTCATGTACTTATTTGCCATTCACGTATCTTCTCTGGTGAAGTGTCTGTTCAAATGCTTTGCTCATTTTTTAAAAAATTGGGTTGCTTGTTTTTCTTATCATTGACATACTCTGGGAGTTCTTTATATATTCTGGATATAAGCTTATATCAGATACTATATATGATTTGCCATTTTCTTCCAGCCTGTAGCTCGTCTTCATTCTCCTCACAGGATCTTTCAAAGTGCAAATGTTTTTAATTTTAATAAAGTCTGATTTACCAATTTGTTCTTTTAAGGATCAAGACTCTTGTGTGTGTCTAAGAAATCTTTACCTAACTCAAGGTTACAAAGATTTTCTCCTGCATTTTCATCTACAAGTTTTATAGTTTTGGGTTTTACATTTAGGTTTATGATTCATTTTGCATCAATATTTGCATATGGTGTGAGATATAGATTGAAGTTCTGTTTTTAAAAAATGGAGACTCAATTGTTAAAACATCATTTCATCCTTTGCTCACCAAATTGCCTCCATTTACTTAGGTCTTATTTAATTTCTCTCATCCATTGTCAGAATTATCTTTAAGTGTTTCATATTTTTATGCTATTATAAACAGAATGGTTTTTTAATGCTGTTGTAAACAGTATAAAATTGGAAATTCCAACTTCCAATTATTTGTTGATTTTATGAAGAAATACAACTGATTCTTGTACATTGATCTTGTATCCCACAATCCTACTAAAGTCACTTATTAGTTCTAGAAGCTTATTTTTGTATATCTCTTTATACAGAAAGGGACTGTAATCTCCAGTGCAGTGTTGAAGAATGAAAGAAAACATACTTTTCTTATGCCTGACGTTAGGAAGAAAGCATCGGGTCTTTCACCATTAAGTATGATGTTAACTATAGGTTTTTCATAGATGACCTTTTTCAGGCCAAAGAATTTCCTTTCTATTTTTAGGTTGCTGAAAGTTTTTAGCAGGAACAGACATTAATCTTTGTCAGAAGCATTTTCTGCCTTTATTGAGATGATCATATGTTTTTTCTTTTTTGGCTTGCTAATATAGTAGATTATATTGATCAATTTTCAAATGTTAAACCAACCTTCTTATATTCTTAAGATAAGCCCCACTTGATCATGATGCATTGCCATATGTATGTTCATATGTATATTATGGACAACTTTGGATATGTTGTATTAATATTGCATAAATATTATCCTCTTAATATTTATGGACTCTGTATTGATGGCACCTCTCATATTCATGATATTGGTGATTTATATCTTCTCCCTTTTTTCCTGATAAGTCAGGCTAGAGGTTTATCAATTTTATTGATCTCAAAGAATCAGTGTTTGGTTTCATTGATTTTTCTCTATTATTTTTCTGTTTCCCTTTTTATTCACTTCTGCTCTAATCTTTATTACTTCTTTTTTTTTTTCTGGTCAAGTTTAACTTACTCTTCTTTTTCTTGAATATTTAGCTAGAAACTGAGTTCACTAATTGAGACCTTTCCTAATAATAGCCATTTAGTGCTATTAATTTCCTCTAAGTACTTCATTCGTGGCATCCCATAAATTTTGATGTGTTGTATTTTCATTCAACGCAAAATAATTGTCAGTTTATGTTTTCATTTATTCTTTGGACCCCAGGTTATTTAGAAGTATATTATTTATTTTCCAAATATTTGAGAATTTTACAGAGATTATTGATTTCTAGTTTAATTCCATTGTGGTCAGGAAACATTCTTTTTTTTTTTATTTTTATTTTTGAGACAGGTTCTCGCTGTGATGCCCAGGCTGGAGTGCAATGGTGCAATCTCAGCTCACTGCAACCTCTGCCTCCTGGGTTCAAGCTATTCTCCTGCTCCAGCCTCCTGAGTGGCTGGGACTACAGGCATGCACCACCATGCCAGGCTAATTTTTGTATTTTTAGTATAGATGGTGTTTCACCATATTGGCCAGGCTGGTCTCAACTTCTGACCTCAAGTGATCCACCCCCTCAGCCTCCCAAAGTGCTGGATTACAGGGATGAGCCACCATGCCCAGCCAGGGAACATATTTTTTGTATGACTAGAATCATTTTAAATTTATTGAGACTTACACTATGACCCAGAATAGGTATATATTGGTAAATGGTCTATTTGAAAAGAACATCTGTTCTGCTATTGTTGAGTGTATTCTATAAATATCAATTAAGTCAAGTTATTGATAGTGTTGTTTAAGTCATCTGTAGCTTTGCTTATTTTCTGTCTACTTGTTCCATCAATTACTGAGAGGGGAGTATTAAAATCTCTGACAATAATTTGGTTTCATCTGTGTTTTTTTGTAGTTGTACTTCTATCCATTTCAGCTTCATAAATTTGAAGCTCTGTTATTCAGTGCGTGAATATTTAGAATTGTTATGTCTGCTTCTTGACCCTTTAACATTGTAAAGTGATCTTCCTTATTCCTAGTACATTCTTTGCTCTGAAATCTACTATGTCTGATATGAATATAGACACTCCAGCTTTCTTTTGACTAGTGTTGCTTGGTATAGCTTTGTCCATCTTTTTACTTTTAACCTAGTTGTGTCTGTATATTTAAAATGCATTTATTGTAAGCCACATGTACTTCGGTCTAGCTGTTTTGTCCAGTCTGACACACTCTGCCTTTTAATTGGAGCGTTCAGACCATTTTTGTTTAGTACAGTTACTGATGGGGTTAGATTTAAATCTGTCATTTTACTATTTGTTTTGTGTTTCATCTATTCTTTGTTCCCCCTTTCATCTTGTTCTGCTTGCTTTTGGATTAAATGAGTTTATTTTCTTATTCTATTTTATCTCCTTTGTTGGCTTATTAGCTGTAACTCTTTGTTTTTTATTTTAGTGGTTGCTTTAGATTTTATAGTATGTATCTTTAACTTATCACAGACTATCCTCAAATGATATACCATTTCATGTATATTATTAAAACCTGTGGCTGGGCATGGTGGCTCATGCCTATAATCCCAGCACTTTGGGAGGCCAAAGTGGGCGGATCACTTAAGGCCAAGAGTTTGAAACCAGCCTGGCCATCATGATGAAACCCCATCTCTACTGAAAAAAAAAAACAAAAACAAAAATTAGCCAGGCGTGGTCGTTGGTGCCTGTAATTCCAGCTACTCG